>NC_000003.12:136735877-137038907 GCF_000001405.40 Homo sapiens
GACGGCTAGCTCTTTGGAAAGTGAAAGGTTGGGGTGGCGTAGGCCTCATGCCACGCTGATTGGTCAGTAGACGGGGGCACATGCCAAACACCACAGGGCATCAGGGCATCAGATGCCACTCTGTGTGCCCACAAGTGTTCCCTGTTTCATCTGGGCCTTCAAAGGGAGCACACCCAGAAGCAAGCAACTGAAGCGAAGGGGCTTCCTAAGGTGCCCCTTCCAGGCTTGTCTATGAAGTCACAGCAACATCATTTTAAAAAATATGTTTAACTGTATGAGTTCCACAAACTACCCACGAAGTTTCTAACCATCACAATTCAGTGAAGTACAAAACACTGAGTTACAGGCTGTGGGAAGAGAAGGCAGCACCAATGGCGGCACCTTCTAATCCTGGTTGTTCTAGGGGCAAGGAGAGGGGAAGGCCTTTTTTTAAACCAAGCCCCGCATTTCAATGCACAAAAGAATTACTCTGATCGATATTAAATTGTATTGAAAAAATGGACTGAAAAGCAAATACTACTCTATGTTGGGGTGGAAGTGGGAGGAAAGAATGAGTCCTTCGAAGCAGGAAGGGAGATAGCAGGGGGAAGGTTCTGTGCCTGTGACCCCGGGTGGTCATTCACGCTGCTCCATTTTTACTTTCGGTGGTCTCAGGAAGGTCCGATTTATCTTCTCTTTCTTCCCCTTTGTATTGGCTTGGAAGTTTCGCCAGCTGTCCACACAACCATCTCGACTTTCCTCAAAGTTTTTCTGCCACTCTCTTTCCCGTTTGGCTTTTTCTTGAGCTTCAATCTCTTCTCCCCTTTGTCGTTTCCTTTCAGCATCTCTTTGGCTTCTCTCTCTTTCCTTTTAATTTCCAGCTCAGCAAAGAGTTTCATTGTCTGTTTATATACAGCTTGTTTGAACAGCTCAGGATCATCCTCCTCTACAATTGTAGGTTTTCCTTCCTTCTTTGTTTTTTTCGCTCTTTCACAGTGTGGTCAACGTATTCTTTTCCTGCCTGAATTACATCCAGGGTCCTCTTCTTTTGCTCCTGATCTAGTAGCAACTTGTAAGCTTTGTCCACAGCCTCAAAAGCCTTTTGTGCTCTGTCAGCATCATCTTGATTTTTGTCAGGATGCACCAAGATGGATAACTGCCGCTTTTTTATTTCTTCATCTGTAACTTCAGGATCTGAAGAACCTCAAATGGGGTGAAACTGAAGTAAGAGGAACCAGGACAGGTCAGTCTTTCAATCTGATTTTTTCACGTTAGAACCAAGTCTCTCTTCTCTATTTGTTTCACCTCACTGTAGAAGGTCATAAATGCTGCCTCCGCCACACGAAGTCCCGCTCTCTCCTGAAGCCGCCACTTCCCCAGCCCAGCCACCACGTGACCCCCATGCCCAGTTAATTTTTTGTATTCTTAGTAGAGATGGGGTTTCACTATGTTGGCCAGGCTGGTCTCCAACTCCTGACCTCGTGATCCACCCACCTCAGCCTCCCAAAGTGCTGGGATTACAGGCGTGAGCCATCATGCCGGGCCAATTTTTGCATTTTTAGTAGAGACAGGGGTTTCGCCATGTTAGCCAGACTGGTCTCAAACTCCTGACCTCATGTGATCCTCCCGCCTCAACCTCCCAAAGTGTTGGGATTACAGGCATGGGCCATCATGCCAGGCCTTGCCTCTGCATTTTATGTTCACTTTTTCAACTTCTACCTAGTCTGCCTTTTTCACCATACTACCTCTTGCTTCCTGGCTTTCAGTTAATGATACCGCTTACTATATTCAACAAATATTTGTTAGCCCTTACTGTGTCAGAATCTATTCTAGGTAGCAGTATAAAGGAGGCAGATAAGTTCTCTCATCACAGAGCTAACATTCCAGAGGGAAGAAATAGACAATAAATGAGCACTTTAAAAATAGAATAAGGCCAGGCGCGGTGGCTCACGCCTGTAATCCCAACACTTTGGGAGGCCGAGGCGGGCGGATCTCAAGGTCAGGGGTTCAAGACCAGCCTGACTAACATGGTGAAACCCCGTCTCTACTAAAAATACAAAAATTAGCCGGGCATGGTGGTGTGCACTGGTAATCTCAGCTACTCAGGAGGCTGAGGCAGGAGAATCGCTGGAACCTAGGAGGTGGAGGTTGCAGTGAGCCGAGATTGTGCCATTGCAGTCCAGCCTAGGCGACACAGTGAGACTCTGTCTCAAAAAATAAATTAATTAATAAAATATAAAATACTAAAAAATGCTCAATTCATAGAAGCACAGAGAATAATGAATGGTGGTTACCAGGGATGGGAGCAGGGATGGGGATTAAGAAGACACTGATCAAACAGATACAAATTTTCACCAGGCCCAGTGGATCAGTCCTGTAATCCTAGCACTCTGGGAGGCCAAGGCGGGCAGATCACCTGAGGTCGGGAGTTCGAGACCAGCCTGGCCAACATGGTGAAACCCCATCTCTACTAAAAATACAAAAATTAGCAGGGCATGGTGGCACTCATCTGTAATCCCAGCTACTTAGGAGGCTGACGAAGTAGAAACGCTTGAACCCCGGAGGCACAGGCTACAGTGAGCCAAAATCGCACCACTGCCTTCCAGCCTGGGCGACAGAGCAAGACTCCATATCAAAAATAATAACTAGCTGGACACGGTGGCACGCGCCTGAGGTCCCAGCTACTTAGGAGGCTGAGGCATGAGAATCACTTGAACCCAGGAGGCAGAAGTTGCAGTGAGCCGAGATCGATCGTACCACTGCCATCCAGCCTAGGCAACAGAACAAGACTGCTTTCCTCCTCTCCCCCAAAAAAAGTATACAAATTTTCATTAGACAGGAGGAATAAGTTCAAGAGATCTATTGCACCACATGATAGCTATAGTTAATAGCAATGTATATTGGATACTTGAAAATGCTGAGAACAGATTTTAAGTGTTTTCACCACACCAAATAAATATGTGAAGAAAAGTATATATTAATTAATTAGCATGATTTAGCCATTCCATAATGTACACATATACCAAAGTTATTCACCATAAACATAATTTGTCCATTTAAAAATAAGTCAATTTTTCTAAAAATAAAAAAAAGACTCTAAACTGTATTCCCATCTTAAAAATGAGAAAATCGAGGACTCCAGAAAGTAATGTCCTACCCAAGATAATTATTACATAATGGAATAGGGAAGAAAATCAAATCTCCCTAAAATAAACTTCAAAATGCAAAGTATTTCAACATGCAGAAATGAGGCTGAGAGAAAAATGGCCTTTTAAGAAATTTAGAGACTGGGTTCTGAAACAGCCTAAGTTCAAATTCTGGCTCTATCATTTACTAGCTGTTTGGCCTTGGGACAATTAATTTCAAACACTACACACTGGGTGAGGCTCGGTGGCTCACAACTATAATCCCAGCATTTTGGGAAGCCAAGGCTGGGGGACTGTTGAGCCCAGGAGTTCAAGACCAACCTTGGCAACATGGTGAGACCCTGTCTCTACGAAAAAACGTATTTTAATTAGCTGGGCCTGGTGGCACACACCTGTGGTCCCAGGTACTCCCAGCTAGTTGGGAGGATGAGGTGAGAGGTTGAGGCTGCAGTGAGCCGTGATCACGTCACAGCACTCCAGCATGGGGCAACAGACTCCGTCAAAAAAAAAAAAAAAAGAAAAAAAAAAAAAGAAAGGCTAGGTGTGGTGGCTGACACCTGTAATCCCAGCACTTTTGGGAGGTCAAGGCAGAGGATTGCCTGAGGTCAGGAGTTCGAGACCAGCCTGGCCAACATAGTGAAACCCCATCTCTACTAAAAATACAAAAAAAAATTAGCCAGATGTGGTGGCAGGCACCTGTAGTCCCAGCTACTCGAGAGGCTGAGGCAGGAGAATCACTTGAACCTAGGAGGCAGAGGTTGCAGTGAGCCGAGATCGCGCCACTGCACTCCATCCTGGGCAACAAGAGCAAGACTTCATCTCAAAAAAAATAATAATTATATACATATATACACACACACACATACACACATATATATTACACAGGATACTGTGCCTTATAAACACTGCCACTTACTAAACCTTATGACGCCAACAATAAATGCAACGGGATAGATACAGAGGATAAAGATTGGCTGAAGTTATCTGTAAAGATTTCACACAGATTCCACATCTTACTCTGCGTTTGCTTTTTCTTTTCTTTGTGAACTATATCAATTATACAGTACATTATGTAAAATTCTAAATAACAGTTTAAAGAATTTTAAAGCACGGTGGCAGGCACCTGTAATCTCAGCTACTCGGGAGGCTGAGGCACAAGAATCGCTTGAGGCGGAGGTTTCAGTGAGCCAAGATCACACCACTGCACTCCAGCCCGGGCAACAAAGCGAGATTCCATCTCAAAAAAAAGAGAGAATTTTAACGCAAACACTCCATGTAATTATTACTAAGGTCAAGAAATAGACTACTACAAAAGCTTCTCCATAATATGTCCCTCCCTAATTACAAACTTGGGAAATTTAATCCAAGCCTCAGTTCCTCACCAGTAAAAGGGGGATAACACCAACATAACAATAACTACCCCACAGGGTTATTGTAAAATGTTTATTGGCATATAGTAAATGCTCAATGTTCTTTTTTGCTTTTGTTCTTTTTTTGAGACAGAGTCTCACTTTGTCACCCAGGCTGGAGTGTAGTGGCGCAATCTCAGCTCACTACAACCTTGACCTCCTGGGCTCAAACTATCCTCTGCCTCAGCCCCCCAAGTAGCTGGGACTACAGGTGCGCACTACCACACCTAACTAATTTTTTGTATTTTTTGTAGACACAGGGTTTCACTATGTTGCCCAGGCTTGTCTGAAACTCCTGAACTCAAGTGATCGCCCGCCCCAGCCTCCAAAAGGGCTAGGATTACAGGTGGAAGCCACTATGCCTAGCCAAGCGTTTTCTTACACACACACATATTCACCAGAACAAAGACGTGGGGAAAGACAGGATACGAGTATGTAATCTAATTTGGTGATAACATATAACCATAGAGAAGTACAATGAAGAGATAAAGCTGGAAAGCTAGGTTGTAGCCATGTAAGAAACAAAAGAAAAACTTAAGCAAATAACAAAAGGGAAACTGAGAAAATTCACTAGACAGTTTTGGAAGACAACTCTCCATGGAGTCTCTTGATTTTCTGCCTGTCTTGAGAAGAGAAGCACTGGAAGCCTTTGTTCCAATCTTTTCAGGATAGTTATATAGTGAAGGGTCCTGGAAGAAAGACATGTCCCAGAGCAAAAAGCGTATTTATGACCCATTATAAAAGATCTGAGTTTCTCTAAGCTTGGGATTTCACTACTTGTGCAGGTTTCACCTGGACCTCTTCCCAATGACCTATGCAAACTGGAGCTCAGAAATCTGATGCAAATGCTGACTGTCTGGCTACTGACACAGTGCATCGTTCTTCATCTATGACCAAGTCATTTCAATGACTTCTACCATAAGCCATTAAACTATGCCAAGTTAACTTGTCAGCCTATAAATAGGGTAAAACTTCAAACTCTTCATAGTTCTTGACAGACATTAGCATATGATCAATGATTATTATAACTGAAAGATTCCACTTCCATGTTGTTGGAAGGAATTTTTTTTTTTGGAGATGGAGTTTTGCTCTTGTTGCCCAGGCTGGAGTGCGATGTCGCGATCTCAGCTCACCACAACCTCCACCTCCCGGGTTCAAGCGATTCTCCTGCCTCAGCCTTTTAAGTAGCTGGGATTACAGGCGCCCACCACAATGCCCGGCTAATTTTGTATTTTTAGTAGAGATGGGGTTTCTCCACGTTGGTCACGCTGGTCTTGAACTCTTGACCTCAGATGATCCGCCTGCCTCGGCCTCCCAAAGTGCTGGGATTACAGGCATGAGTCACTGTGCCTGGCCAGGAATTTTTTAAAAAGCAATACTCGACTATATACTACCATCAAAAGCAATTTAAATATAATGAAGAGTTTTGGGTAAATAGGTAGAAAAAGATATATTATGGAAACAGTAAGCTCAAGATCGCTGGAGTGGCTATATTAACATCAAATAAAGCAGACTTCAAGGAAAAGATTATTACCAGAAACAGAGAGACATTTCATCACAATAAAAAGGTCAATTTGTCAAAACAACATAATAATCATAAGTTGTACATGTCTTACAACAGAGCTTCAAAATGAGTGAGAAAAACTTGACAGAATTAAGGGAAAAACAGATAATTCCACAGTCATAGTTGGATATTTTAACTTTCTTCTTGGCAGCTGATAGAATGAGACAAAACAACAACAACAAAAAACAACAACAAATACATAGATTATTTGAAAAGTGCTATTAAAACACCTTAACCTAATTGATAGTTACAGAATACTACACCCAACAACTGCAAAACACACTTTCAAGTATAAAAGATACATTAACCAAGATGGACCATATGCTGGCCCATAAAATAAGTTTCAATAAATTTTAAAGGATTAAAATCATAAAGATATGACTCAAAATGAAACTAAGTTAGAAATCAGTAATAAGTTATCTAGAATAATCCCAAATATTGAAAATTAAACAACAAGGCTGGGCACGGTGGCTCATGCCTATAATCTGAGCACTTTGGGAGGCTGAGGCAGGCGGATCCTTGAAGTCAGGAGTTCAAGACTAGCCTAGCTAACATGGCAAAACCCCGTCTCCACTAAAAAAATACAAAAATTAGCTGGGTGTGGTGGTGTGCGCCTGTAATCCCAGCTACTGTGGAGACTGAGACAGGAGAATCACCTGAACCTGGAAGGTGGAGGTTTCAGTGAGCAGAGATTGCGCCACTGCACTCCAGTCTGGGTGACAGAGCAAGACTCCATCTCAAAAAAAAAAAAAAGAAAAGAAAATTAAACCACACACTTCTAAGTAATCCATGGGTAAAAGAAGATATCACAAATTAAAAAGAATGTCAAGGTAAATTATAAACATAAAACACATCAAAGTCTGAGTAATGTAGCAGTGCTTAGAGAAAAATATATAGCTTTAAATGTATTTATTAGAAAACAAAAAGTGCCTAAAATCTATAACCTAAAATTTCACTTTAAAAGGCTGGAAAGAAAGCAAAGCAGAAGAAAATTTTAAAAAGCAGAAACCAATGAGATACTAAAGACAAATACTGACAATTACCTCAGTTGGTTATTTGAAAAAATAACCGATAAATCACTAGACTGGTCAAGATAAAAAGAACATACTGGCCAGATGCAGTGGCTCACGCCTGTAATCCTAACACTTTGGGAGGCCGAGAAGGGTGAACAGCTTGAGGCCAGGAATTCAAAACCAGTATGGCCAACATAGTGAAACCCTGTCTCTACTAAAAATACAAAAAATTAGTCAGGCGTAGTGGAGGGCACCTGTAATCCCAGCTACTCGGGAGGCTGAGGCAGGAGAATCAGTTGAACCCAGGAGGCGGAAGTTACAGTGAGCTAAGATTGCACCACTGCACTCCAGCCTGGGCAACAAGAATGAAACTCCTTCTCAAAAAAAAAAAATAATAATAACAATACCAGAAATTAAAGAAGAGATATCACTACAGATCCTACAGACATTAGAAGGATAGCAAGGAAATCTTACAAACTCCTGCCAATCAATTAAGTAAAATGAACCAATTTCCCTAAACTGATACAAGATGAAACAGACCAAAATTGACACAATATGAAACAGAAAATTTGAATAGCCCTATATCTAGTATAGAAACTAAATTTGATTTTGTTATCAAAACCATCCCAAAAAGAAAATTCCAAGTCCAGATGGCTTATCACTGGTACATTCTAAAATTCAAGGAAGAATAACACTATTACACAAACTATTTCAGTAAATACAGGGAACACGTCCCAACCTTTTTTATGAAGCCATCATAACCCAAATACCAAAACCTGACAAAGACATTACAATAAAACTATAAAGCAATATGCCTAGTGAAGAAATAGGCCAAAAATCCTATCAAAATAATAGTAAATACAAAAGGGATACATAATACACTGTGACCAAGTTGGCTTATCCCAGTAACCAAAATTATTTTAACTTTTGAAAACCATCATTAATTTAACCATTCTACCACTAAAGACATACGGTTTATTTCTGAATTTTGGCTACTGCAAATAAGGCTACTATGAACATTCTGTTCACACATCCTGGTACAAAAATACAAGGATTTTGGCTGGCCACGTGGCTCACGCCTGTAATCCCAGCACTTTGGGAGGCTGAGGCAGGCAGATCACCTGAAGTCAGGAGTTCTAGACCAGCCTGACCAACATAGAGAAACCCCGTCTCTACTAAAAATACAAAATTAGCCAGACATGGTGGTGCATCCCTGTAATTCCAGCTACTCGGGTGGCTGAGGCCGGAGAATTGCTTGAACTGGGGAAGCAGAGGATGCGGTAAGCCGAGATTGCACCATTGCACTCCAGCCTGGGCAACAAGGGCGAAACTCCGTCTCCAAAATAAAAATACAAGGATTTCATTCATCAGGAATATAAAGACAGGAGTACAACTGCTGGGGTTAAAATACATGAAGCTTGAATTTACTATCTTACTAACATCTTTCAGAAAATGATTGTATCAATTTACACTGCTGACAAAAGTGAGAATGTAATTTCTCTACATTCTCACCAATACTTGACATTATCAGACTTTTAATGCTTGTCAATCTGATGGAAGTGAAATGGTTTCTTCTCATGGCTCTACTTTGCACTTTCCTTTTTACCAATGAGATTACAATTCAATGCTTTTCCCAGTGTTAGCTGCTGTGAGTCGTGACATTTCTTAGGTAAACTGCAACCATCTTTTTTTTTTTTTTTTTTTTGAGACAGAGTCTCACTCTGTCACCTACGCTGGAATGCAGTGGTGCCATCTCAGCTCACTGCAACCTCCGCCTCCAGAGTTCAAGCAATTCTCGTGCCTCAGCCTCCCGAGCAGCTGGGACTACAGGCACATGCCACCACACCCAGCTAATTTTTGTATTTTTAGTAGAGACGGGGTTTCGCCATGTTGGCCACACTGGTCTCCAACTTCTGACCTCAAGTGATCCACCCGCCTCGGCCTCCCAGAGTGCTAGGATTATAGGTGTGGGCCACTGTGCCCAGCCACAACCAGCATTCCTAATAGAAAAGATCAGAAAATATCAGAGTGCACTGCATAAAGATAAAGTATTATTTCATGAAACTTATTTTCATTGTGTGTGGATGTGTGTGTTTGTACTAGGCTACAATGTAAAATGTTTTTGTAACTGCTAGCAGAAGCTAGAAAACAAGTTAAAAGCCATTGCTATTATGTTTACAGCAAAATTCCATTGAAATTCTTGGACAACTAAATGGTACATCATTTTGGCCCATAGCACAAAGGAATGTATTTCATAAAGAAGGTAAGACATTCTCACATAACCCATAAATACATACACCTACTATGGACTCACAAAATTAAAAATAAATAAAAAACAAACGGGGGGCAGGGAAGAAGGCAAGATTTATGACATCCTTCACTACTGACTGGCAAAAAGGAGTAGCCATCCCCAACGTTTTTGGTACCAGGGACCAGGTTCGTGGAAAAAAATTTTTCCACGGATGGGGTGGGGAATCAGAAGGTTTCAGGATAAAACTGTTCCACCTCAGATCATCATGCATTAGATAAAGCACGCAACGTACATCCCTTGTATGTGCAGTTCACAATAGAATTTGCACTCATATGACAATCTAATGCTCCCACTGATCTGACAGGAGGTGGATGGAGCACAGGTGATAAAGCTAGCTCACCTGCCTCTCACCTCCTGCTGTGCAGCCCAGTTTCTACCAGGCCAAAGACCAGTATGGGTCCACAGCCCAGTGGTTGGGGACCCTTGATTTAGAACACAGGTATCCAATCTTTTGGCTTCCCTGGGCCACATTGGAAGAAGAATTGCTGTAGGCCATACATAAAATACACTAATGATAGCTAATAAGGTAAAAAACAAACAAACAAAACAAACCTCATAATGTTTTTAAAAAGTTTATGAAATTTGTGTTGAGCCACATTCAAAGCCATTCTGGGCTGCATGCAGCCCATGGGCCACAGGTTGGACAAGCTTGATTTAGAAAAGGAGGAGAAAAATCTGAGGGAAGCAATAAGGGGTATGTTATATAAAGAAAAGATTCTATAAAACCAACTGAATTATAAGACACTTTCAGCACTAAAAGGCAGGAAGCTGACTGTCCCCTTAACCACCAAAATAACAGAAAACTTCCTACAGACACAATTCTAATTCCTTCAAGAATCACCTCATTCTGTGGCTTATGCAAGAATATCATTTTAGCTCTCTGCTTCCTAGTTTTTCCCTACCACTCTAGCAAGAATCATCTAAATTCTAAAGATTTATATTTTTATTCAGTCAACAAAAATTTACCAAGCCCCTATTATATCATTTCTGTGTTAAAATATATCTCCCTAGCAATTTTAATTCCCAGTTATATCCTTTAAAGCAAGGGTGTCCAATCTTTTAGCTTCCCTGGGCCACACTGGAAGAATTCTCTTGGGTCACCTGTAAAATAAACTAATTATAAATGATGAGCTAAAAAAAAAAACTCACAATGTTTTAAGAAAGTGTATAAAATTGTGTTGGGCCACGGGTTGGACAAGCTTGCTTTAAAGCTTGATTATCCTTGGCTAACCTGTCTTAATTGCCTCTTCATGAAAATATTTTGCTTCTTGGACTGCTAAACCGTATGCCATGACTAAACTTCTGCTGCCTTCTTTGTTCCACCAATAATACCCCTACTCTGAGACTTGCAAATAACTATTCTCTTCATAAGAATTCTCTCCTCAGTCGGGCGCAGTGGCTCACTTTGGGAGGCCAAGGCAAGCAGACTGCCTGAGGTCAGGAGTTCGAGACCAGCCTGGCCTTAGGCAGGTGCTGAAACCCCGTCTCTACTAAAAATACAAAAATTAGCCAGGCAGCCAGGCACAGTGCCTCAAGCCTGTAATCCCAGCACTTTCGGAGGCCGAGGCAGGCGGATCACCTGAGGTCAGGAGTTCGAGACCAGCCTGACCAACATGGAAAAACACTGTCTCTACTAAAAATACAAAATTAGTTGGGTGTGGTGGCACATGCCTGTAATCCCAGCTACTCAGGAGGCTGAGGCAGAAGAATAACTTGGATCCAGGAGGCAGAGGTTGCAGTGAGCCGAGATTGCACCACTGCACTCCAGCCTGGGCAACAAGAGTGAAACTGTCTAAAAAAAAAAAAAAAAAAAAAAAAAAAAAATTAGCCGGGCATGGTGGTGCGTGCCTGCATTCCCAGCTACTCAGGAGGCTGGGGCAGGAGAATCACTTGAACCTGGGAAGCGAAGGTTGCAGTAAGCGAAGATCATGCCACTGCACTCCAGCCTGGGCGACAGAGCAAGACTCGTCCCAAAAAAAAAAAAAAAAGAATTCTCTCCTCAAAAGCTGCTAGACCAATCACACCACAGCAACTGTCTGACGCAATGATTGTGTGACTCTGCCACTTAAGAGGAGTGTGATCCAAGGCATTTAAATTCCTTAACTTCGGCCACACACACTGGCTCACGCCTGTAATCCCAGCACCTTGGGAGGCCAAGGCGGGCTGATTACTTGAGGCCAGTAGTTTGAGACCAGCCTAGGCAACATGGCAAAATCTCATCTCTATACAAAATACAAAAATTAGCCGGGCGTAGTGGCATGCACCTGTAGTCCCAGCTACTCCAGGCCCCACCTGAGCCTGGGGAGGTTGAGGCTGCAGTGAGTGAACTGTGACTGCACAACTGCACTCCAGCCTGAGTGACAGAGAGAGACCCTGTCTCAAAAAATAAAAAATAAATTCCTTAACTTCTCTGAGATTCAATATCATATCAAAAACAGGTAAAACAAAAGGCATCAAAGAATGGCAAGAATTACGTAATTTTTTTTTTTTTTTTGAGACGGAGTCTCACTCTGTCACCCAGGCTGGAGTGCAGGTGGCACAATCTCGGCTCACTGCAAGCTCCGCCTCCCGGGTTCACACCATTCTCCTGCCTCAGCCTCCCCGGTAGCTAGGACTACAGGTGCCCGCCACCACACCCAGCTGATTTTTTCTATTTTTAGTAGAGACAGGGTTTCACCGTGTTGCCAGGATGGTCTCGATCTCCTGACCTCGTGATCCACCCACCTTGGCCTCCCAAAGTGCTGGGATTACAGGCGTGAGCCACCGCGCCTGGCCAAGAATTATGTAATTTTTAAAAAATAAAAATAACTGGCCGGGCACGGTGGCTCATGCCTGTAATCCCAGCACTTTGGGAGGCCAAGGTGGACAGACGGTTTCAGGTCAAGAGTTTCAGGTCAAGAGACCAGCCTGGCCAACAAGGTGAAACACTGTCTCTACCAAATATATAAAAAATTAGCTAGGTGTACTGGCACATGCCTACAGTCCCAGCTACTCGGGAGGCTGAGGCACGCGAATCGCCTGAACCCAGGCGGTGGAGGTTGCAGTGAGCCTAGATCATGCCATTGCACTCTGGTCGGGGCACACTCAAAAAATAATAAATTTTTTTTTTTTTCCTGAGACGGGGTCTCACTCTGTCACCCAGGCTGGAGTGCAGTGGCGTGATCCCAGCTCACTGCAAGCTCCGCCTCCCAGGTTCAAGCAATTCTCCTGCCTCGGCCTCCTGAGTAGTAGGATTACAGGCAAGTGCTACCACGCCTGGCTAATTTTTGTATTTTTAGTATAGACAGGGTTTCACCATGTCGGCCACGGCCAAGCTGGTCTGAAACTCCTGACCTCAGGTGATCCACCCACCTCGGCCTCCCAAAGTGCTGGGATTACAGGTGTCAGCCACTGTACCAGGCCAATAATAGTAATTTTTTTAAATTTTTTAAAAAGGTGTTCTTAGTGGCAGAAATGAAAGAAAAAATAATTATACAAACTCCCTTCTCCCATTGCCTCCCTTCTTTATAACGTTTTAAATTTTCGTTTTTATTTTTAATTTCCTCTCAATGCAATAAAATTATTTCATAGAGGAAGGCATGTAAACTAAGGTACCAGGAAACGGGAAAGGAAAAAAGGTGAGGAAAAGGCAATATAAGTAAGAGTAAGCTGATCAAGTGGGGTTACTGCTCTGCCTAGGTCCTCTCCTTGTATGTCCGGAATCTGAAGAGGTAAATGTGAAGATACTTCTTTTCCTACGGCAGGCAAAATTCTTAAAAGCCTCCACTAACCCACACCCTTGTATCATGCCCTCCCCTTGAGTGTGGGAGAGACCTGTAGATATAACGGGATATCATTACGGTGATTATATGACAAAATATATGTTTGCATATGTAATTAAGGCCCTTAATCAGTTAAGTTTACCACAAGGGCCTCAGAGCTTAGCTGGTGAGCTTTTAAAAAAGACCTTAAAGGGGGGAGTCAGAGGTCAGACACACAGGAAATAGGGAGACTGACTCCTGCTAGCATGGATAAAAGCTAACAGCCATGTTGTGAACTATGTGGCCACACGGCAAGGATCTGAGAGCAGTCCTTGGCCAACAGCTAACAAGAAGATGGGGACTTCAGTCACACTATCACAAGGAAATTAATTGTGCCAACAAGTAGTGACCTTGAAAGACAACTCTGGCCGGGCACAGTGGCTCACAACTGTAATCCCAGCATTTTGGTAGGCTGAGGTGGGCAGATCACGAGGTGAAGAGATGGAGACCATCCTGGCCAACGTGGTGAAACCCCGTCTCCACTAAAAATATAAAAATTAGGTGGGCATGGTGGCACGCACTTGTAGACCCAGCTACTTGCGAGGCTGAGGCAGGAGAATCGCTTGAACCCAGGAGGCGGAGGTTGCAGTGAGCCGAGATCACACCACTGCACTCCAGCCTGGTGACAGAATGAGACTCCATCTCAAAAAAAAAAAAAAAGAAAAACAACTCTAAGCCTCAGATATGCACTGCAATCACAGCTGACACCCTGATTTTAGCCTGAGATGCTCAGCTATACCTCCCCAAACTTCTGACCTATGGAAGCTGAAATAATTGTTAATCTGTTAAGTGTGAAATTTGTTATGCATTAAAAAAAAAAAGAAAGAAACTAATATACCCCCCTAAATAAAGATATAAAGATACAGGACAAAACAACAAATAAAAGGGGAAACAAGAACGTATCTTTCCCAGAGTACATTATTTCTTCTCACAGCACTGAGATTATGAACATACACAGAGTCAGAATCAAGGAAAAAAAGATTAAAACTGTACAAAATTCTGTAAATTTTAAGTTACAGCAATTAAATGTGTGTTTTTCACAGACATCTTGTTACACAATCACCGTAAGATACTATCCCCATTTTATTTTATTTTTTTAAAGAGATGGAGTCTTGTATGTTGCCCAGGTAAGCCTCAAACTCCTGGGTTTAAGGGTTCCTCCTGCCTCACTACAGAGTAGCTGGAACTACAGGAGTGCACCACTGGGCCCAGCTCCCCATTTTTAGAGATAAAGAAAGTAAGGCTCAAAGGTAACACCCTGAACACCACAAACCCAGGGGACGTTCAAAGTAACTTCGGTCCAGGACCCACTCCTTCTCCCCTACACCATAGTGCCTTTAAGGCTTTAAAAGAGCCAATCAAATCTACAGTCATTTTATTAGTCTCTTCAAAGGAGGCAATCCTAGTAACACAACAAACTTCCATATTTTGCATCTATTTAAATATTCCTTAGCCTTATCAGAACATCGAAACTGAAGTGGATACAGAAAAATTTCCACTCAAAAGCAGTTCGTTTGTGAAAATGACCACTGGTAGATCACTTGAATTAATTTAGTTTACTCGAAGTACGTTTTAAATATGTAAAGGAAAATGCGTGGCAAAACACCTGTAGATCTTCTACAACTTTATTTGGGTAACAATTTGTCTTATAAGTATTCTTAATCATCAAAAGCAAGGAAATAACATTTCTGCTTCTTTCCATTCCATATTTCCCTACTTGGTTAAAATTTTTCAGTCTGAATTCCTCATACATTATGAATATTAGAACAAGGTACGTTACATTACCATACAATAAACAAGTTATTTTTATTTTCACTCTTCTGTATATTTCCCTAAGTGCTTCACCATCGGAATGTGCAATTTTCTTAAAACACGAGGAAAACTAAAATGTAGAGTCATTCAAATTCCAGATAAGTTACAAATCACACAACTTTGTGCCAATTCAGATACTTTCTCAAGTAAACACTATTTTTGCGAAGATGCAAGTCTTTCTAGTCAGAATCACGAGAATAAACTCTATCCATCTTAACACCAACTTTAACAGCAAATAATTTTTTTTTATGACAAATTGCGTTTTTTTTTTTTGTTTTTTTTTTGTCTGTAAGTGTCCAAAACTATCCTATGACTTATACTCCCGGAGCACGATTCCCTGCAATGTGAAGAGAATCGACAGATAACATTTCAAATGTGGGTAGATGGGGGTGACGTGACAATCCTAAAACCTGAAAATTTCTTAGTACCCATACCATACAAGAAGAACCCAGTTCGGACCCTGCAAACGGGGCTCAGGTCCAACTCCAAGCACTCTAGTTTCCCACCCCGCCCCCACCTCGAGAAAGGAGGGAAAACAACTTTTATTGGCCTCGTCTCTCAGGGGACTGGCAAACTAGCGGGGCAGTGCTTAGGCCTGGACACGTTTCACAAGGAGGCCCCCGTCGGGGGCTGAGAGGGCAGATAGCTGGAAAGCCCAGCATTGATGCATCTCCCCCAGCCGCCACCCCGCTGCCCCACCCCGCCAACAAGAAGCCTGGGCCAGCCGCCCCGCCGAGCGACCCCCCAGGCCCCTCCGCTGAAATGAACTCGTTGTCATGTGACGCCGCCGCCGCTAAAACACCGCAGAAACGCAGGTCGGCAGGCGGCGGAAGGCATTCGCGCCAGCCCGCGTCGGCCCGGCCCCGCTGGGCGCGGGCGACTCCCGAGAGCCCGGGCGGGGGGGGGCGGAGGGCGGGCTTGGCGGCGGGCCCGAGCGCGCCACAAAGGCTTCCGCGCCTGTCGCCGTAGTGCCCGGGCGGGCGGGGGCAAAATTTTTGGTGCCCGCGGGAGGGGTGGCAAGCGACGAAGACGCCGGGGTGCCCACCGCGCCCACAGACGTCTCTCCGGGCACTCGGACGGCCCACGACCGCCGCACCCCGCACAGGCCCGCGCGGCCTCCCTCCCCCGCACGGGGCCCGCGCCCGGCCCGCCCGCTCGCCGCTCGCGCTCTCTCGCTCTCGCCCGGCCTCCATCTTGGATCGGCGCTTCCAGCCCCCGCGCCGCTGCCGCCGCATTCCCCCTCTTTCCCGCCCCCCGCCGCCGTCGCCGCCGCCCGCACTCACCTCAGCTGCCCATCCGGGCGCCGCCGACCATCGACCTAGTTTCCCCCCAAAAGTCTCCGGTGTGTTATTCCCGATGTGGGGGGGTTGTTACGGGGTGGTCGCCGGGGGTTCGGGAGCGGGGGCCGCGCCTTCAACGGAGCTGCAATCCTAACCCGCCATCTGGTGGCATTTTCCACACGCCAATGGCGCCGCTGCAGACTTGGGTCCGGACCGCCCTCTGCTGGCCGCGGTGCTCACTGCCTTGCTGACGGGACGGGCCTGCCCGGAAAGGGGAGGGAGCTGAGGCGCGAGCTAGGGGCCGCGGCAGGGGCGCGCGCAAACGCTTTCCAGTGGGGATTGCGCGCACGCGCACCAGCGGGGCGGGAAACGTGGCCGCTGCGTGGCGGCCCCGCCCCCACACGGAGCGCTCGCGCAGTTCAGCCAATCGCGAGAGGCGTAGGCTTCTGGATAAGGGCGCTGTGGACGGTTCTTGGGCCGCCCGCGGCTGGCGGAAGGACGGCCACGGTGGCGCCTGCGCGTCCGGCTCGCCGAGTTGCCGCCCGCCATTTTTGGAGCTTCTTGGAGATCTAGGCAGGAACCCGCCCCGGGTTCCTTCACCGAGGCTCCTCCCTAGGTCTCAGGGCCGGCGCTTTCCTCTGTTCCCGCCCGGCTCCTGCTGCCCCCATCCGCAGCTCTCGAGACGCCCTGCGGAAACCCGAGGGTGAGGCCGCGCAGATCCCTGCTCCTACTTGGATTTAGCAAGGGCCTCAGAGCTTAGCATTGTATTCGCGATTTACGGCTGACAAGCGCTTTCACCAGGCAAGAGTGAAAAGGTTTCAAAAGGACTATTGGGGACTTCCCTCGCCATTAATCTAGACGAAACACCGCCGGCCCTAGGCCGATTGGCGTCATCCTGCCTCTGTAAAGCACATCTTTCCGTGGTGTCGGCTTTGCATAAGGCGGCAGCATTGGCTAGTTTGTGAGAGGAGAATATAACTAGACTGAGAAGATAGACTCAGCTGTGAAAGTGGATTTCTCCCTCCACAACCTAGGACTACTTTCAGTAGCTCTGAAATACACATGAGAATCTTAGCCTTCTAGATGCCAAAAGAGAAATAATCAGTAAGGTGAAATCATTAACAAACTATTTATGTTTAACGTCGCCTCTTCCCTGATCTCCACCTGCCCGTCCGTGGCCATGGATCCCTACCTTTCACCTGCTTACAACTTTTCACCACAAAAGTGAATCCTTACTCTCCTGGATCATTAGCCCCATATATGACTAACTTCTCTATCGCTATAGCCAACTCTATTTCAGTATGGAATCGCTCAACTACTTTATAGTCTTAAGGGCCTGTCTCCAGTAGGTTACCCCTATTTGTGTTTTCTCTCTCAAGGGTTTGCAAGATGTGTGGCTTTTCGCTGGAGGAAGTCATAACTGACCAGATTGGATATGAATTCGTGACTGGACTCCTACTTATAATTTTCTTGCGTTTTCTTCTAATCTCTGGCTGATCTCCTATTTTCCACAAAGACTGTTTCAAGCTTTCCATGTTGTTAAAGATGCCAGTCCCAGTCCATACTAATAGATAAATTCATCCAGTTTCCTGGGCTCAGAGCTATGGGACTCCAATTCCGGTTTGACCTTGCCTCCATTATAAAATATCTGTGACCACCTCCTGTTCGTGATCCCAAAACTTCTAACCAAATTAACCCAGAACCCTTCTCTCCAAAGCCACTCCCTCTGCCTGAAACTATGCCATCCCTTCCCACCTTCTCCTTCCACCACTACTTTCCTAGCGCCTTATAATGTAAATATGTTCTTATCCACTGTCTTCTTCCTTTCTGTTTCTCAGAAGTTTCTGTTGTCTTGGCTGGGTGCGGTGGCTCACACCTGTAATACCAGCACGTTGTGAGGCAGAGGCGGGCAGATAACATGAGGTCAGGAGTTCGAGACTACCCTGGCCAACATGGTGAAACCCTGTCTCTACTAAAAATACAAACAGCCAGGCGTGCTGGTGTGCGCCTGTAATGCCAGCTACTCGGGAGGCTGAGGCAGGAGAATCTCTCGAACCCGGGAGGTGAAGGTTGCAGTGAGCCGAGATCACGCCACTGCACTCCAGCTTGGGCGATAAGAGTGAGACTCTGTCTCAAAAAAAAAAAGTTTCTTTTGTCTTTTTTTTTTTTTTAATTCAGTGATGTTACTCCCTCCAGTTGCTATGCTATCAACGTTCCTTTCATTGACACATTCTCAAAAGAAACAGTTACGGTTTTCACCAATCCCCATCCCCTACTTGAAACCCTTTTTCCCTTTCTTTTAAGACACTTCCCCGGATCTACACCTACCTAGTTTGCTGGTCTTCTGATTTCTTTGCTAGCACCTCCTCTTTCTTCAATCTGTTCTCTACTACATGCCTTCTCTTAGGTCTCCCAAAATTAGTCTGTTCTTGATTTTTCCTTAACTGAGTTTCCTCGTGTTCAGCTACTTGCCAGAAAGCTGCAGCTCAAACACTTAAAATAATTCATCTCTCTTATTTGAATTTCCTAATTTATCCTAACATTGTAATTTCAGCTAGTGTAGTGATTAAGAACATGAACTGTGAAACCAGACTGCTCTGGAAAGCTTTGTAACCTTAGACAAATCTCTTTCTGTCTCAATTTCCTCAACTGCAAAATGGAAATAGCAACAGTACCAATCTCATAGGGTTGTTACGAGTGTTAAACTATTTAACTATTTAATATTTAAACTATTTAATATATTATAGAAATGCCATCAGCATTATTACATTTATTGTTTTTAATCTTACTAAGAAGTTTTTAGCATTTTTTTAACTCTGAGGGCATGGGTAATCAACTTTCTAAGTTTATAGAAATCTAAAATTGTATTTTGCCCTCACACTTAATAATTGATTATAAGTCATTTTTATAATCAATTTTATAAATTGTTTATAAATAATTACATAGCAGCCTAGGCTCTAAATTGTAGGGCCAGACTTGATTATTTTCTTTCAAAAAAGCCTAAGTCCCACCATACCTCATTCAGATGGCTTGCTTTTTTTTCTACTGCTGCCATCCTTATTCAAACCCTTCTCCCCTCCCATTGCCTTACACCAAAACTATTGCACTAGCCTTGTAAACACCTCTCCCTTCATTCACCTCCCTTTTGTTTGTGTTTGTTTGTTTGTTTTTGAGACAGGGTCTTGCCGTGTTGCCCAGGCTGGAGGGCAGTGGTGCAGTCATAGCTCACTGCAACCTCTGACTTGGGCTCAAGTGATTCTCACACCTCAGCCTTGCTAGGTCCAGAAGTAGGTGCCATTGACCCACCTTCCCTCTACTCCCCACTCCTGCTTCACTTCTCTTTTTAAAATGCAACATTGTTATACCTACACAAAAGCGTTCTGTGATTCCTATGGCTTAAAAGATATCATCTAAAATAGTTAATGACATTCAAGGCATGCCTTGATATTTTTTCATTTTTTTCTCTATTTCATTAGAAATTATTCACACTAGCTGACCTGTCTGATTAATCATAAATGTAAGTGAAGGGCAGATTTATTCATCCTTTACCTATCTGGTAAGATAAAGTAATAAAGGTCCCATAACATGTTGACTTTGTTACAGAATTACACATAAAAGCAGAGGCTGCTTTTAAGAAATTCTTCCCCACCCCCACCCTCCCTGGACAGAGTTTTGATCTTGTTGCCCAGGCTGGAGTGCAATGGCGCGATCTTGGCTCACCGCGGCCTCCAGGTTCAAGCGATTCTCCTGCCTCAGGCTCCAGACTAGCTGGGATTACAGGCATACTCCACCACGCCCAACTAATTTTATATTTTTAGTAGAGACGGGGTTTCACCACGTTGCCCGGGCTGGTCTCAACTCCCGACCTCAGGTGATCAGCCCACCTCGGCCTCCCAAAGTGCTGGGATCACAGGCGTGAGCCACTGCGCCTGGCCAATGAAATTCTTAATCAAGATTCCAATTCTCTTGGCAAGGATTTTCAAACATCACAATTTTTATTAACAGCTTCAAGTCATACATATGATCAAAATATTATTGAGGCACAGTAAAACGATTCCCCAAAATACAGCACTTCAGCATGCTCAATGCTTTGAAAATTGAACGGCCTCAGAACCAAGGTCTGTCTCTTACCTTTCCCTGTCTCCCTGATCCTCTTTCCCGAAGCACCAAGGGTACACTCTCTTTGGAATTTCCTTATCTGACCAAGAAAGCTTTTTTCCAAAAGAAAGGCAATGTTGGCAGGGCAGGGCATGGTGGCTCATGCCTGTAATCCTAGCATTTTGGGAGGCCGAGGCAGATGGATCACCCGGGGTCAGGAGTTTGAGACCTGCCTGGCCAACATGGTGAAACCCTGTTTCTACTAAAAAAACAAAAATTAGTTGAGCATGGTGGCGCATGCGTGTAGTCCCAGCTACTGGGGAGGCTGAGGCAGGGGAATAGCTTGAACCTGGGAGGCGGAGGTTGCAGTGAGCTGAGATTGCACCACTGTACTGCAGCCTGGGTGACAGAACGAGACTCTGTCTAAAAAAAAAAACAAATAAATAAAAAGAAGAAATGCAATGTTGTAAAACTCCCTCCCTAGTAATCTCATCAAACAACCAGGAAATATCAACCACTAGAGAATAGATTGACAGTCACTATGACCTGACAGACTTTTCATCTGTTCTTCTGAGGGCAGCCCCAAGGGATTACCTGGAGGACTTTCTCTGCATAATAAGACAATCTTTGTTCCTGTGCAGCTCTACACCTCACCTTCCCATTAATGTCTGCCTTCCACCTCCAAGGTCCATTTGTTCTCCCTAATGACTTGCTGTCACTCAAAAGAATTTCTACATTCTCCATCTCCCCCTTCCCTTATGAAAAAGGGTATATAAGTTTCTTTACCACACTAAATAATAGGTAATCACTCTGGATTATTCACACACACACGTTAATTTAAAAAGTTTGGTGTTTCTGAAACAGGATCTCACTCTGCCACCCAGACTAGAGTACAGTGGCACTATCACAGCTCACTGAAGCCTAAAAGTCCTGGGCTCAAGCGATCCGCCTCAGCTTCCCAAGTAGCTGGGACTACAGGCACACACCACCATGCCCACTAACTAAAAAAAAAAAAAATCTTTGTAGAGATGAGGTCTCACTGTGTTGTCCATGCTGGTCTCAAACTCCTGGACTCAAGCAATTCTCCCTAACTTGGCCTCCCAAGATGCTGAGATTACAGGTGTGAGCCACTGCGCCCAGCCTAATGTGACTGTCGTCAGTTAATTTTTCAGCAAACCTTCAGCAGAGGGAAAACTTCCCTTTGTTATTACATATAAAAGTTTTCCCTTCACCCCTACGATATGAAAAATAATGTAATTCTTCAGACACATGCCCATCAGAACTTTAATTCAACTCAATCTCTTAGCCAACCTGGTCCAAAAGTAGATATTTAATGTTATAAATAGAAAAAAAAATGCATTCTATAGCCTATGAAATGGGAAGACATTGAACAGGGGTTGCAATAGTTTAAAAGATTTTTATATAGTGTTGTTTTACTGGGAGCTTTAGATTGCTTTTCTTGTTTTCCTTGCAAATATACCAAATTGTGTTTCTGAAAATGCATTAGTTCTAATTAACATTTATTAACCAATAACATGAAGAACTTTGCTTTATAACCCAAAGAATGAGTTTCTGATTGTGTAGATTGCACAGTTTCTTTAAAATTTGGGCCAGACTTATGTCTTTTTCTCTCTGGATAATTTTAGCACACAAAAGATTTCAGTTATTCTATTGGCCTTACAGTTAGAGTAAGACACATTAAATCAACTTTTTTTGCGTGAGGATAATGGTGATATTTCTTACACAGAAAGGATTTTTAAAGTAAAATTTGGGCCGGGCGCGGTGGCTCATGCCTGTAATCCCAGCACTTTGGGAGGGCAAGGTGGGCAGATCACTTGAGGCCAGGAGTTTGAGACCAGCCTGGCCAACATGGTGAAACCCCATCTCTACTAAAACACAAAAATTAGCCGGGCGTGGTGGCGCACACCTGTAATCCCAGCTACTCGAGGGGCTGAGGCAGGTGGCAAGAGAATCGGTTAAACCCATGAGGCAGAGATTGCAGTGAGCCAAGATTGCGCCACTGCATTCCAGCCTGGCTGACAGAGTGAGACTCCGTCTCAAAAAAAAAAAGAAAAGTAAAATTTGATTCGTCATTCTTCCCTTTCCTTCCCCTTTTTCAGAGTTCCAAGTGCAACTGCTCGATATCTAGAGCAAAGAGAGGTCTTCTGATCAAGCTTCCTCACCCTTCATTTTTACCACCTCCACAAACCCTGTGTTTCAGGGATCATGACCACTGTCTCATCTTAATCTCCCCCAAATCAAGTATTCCTTTGCATTTTTCACTTGGTCACAAGGCATTTGTTCTTTCTTACGTTGGTAGACCTTTGCAATTATCAGAAATAATTTTCCCTTCTTTTCTACTCTTGCAATTAAGGTGTGCTGCCAATTGGTGGCAGTAATATGCCATGGTGTCCTCCCTACTGGATTTAAACCATTATTTTTCCTTTTTTTTTTTAATTTTTTTTCTTTTTGGAGACAGAGTCTCACTCTATTGCCCATGCTGGAGTGCAATGGCGCGATCTCAGCAAACTGCAACCTCCGCCTCCTGGGTTCAAGCAGTTCTCCTGCTTCAGCCTCCCGAATAGCTGAGATTACAGGTGACTGCCACCATGCCCGGCTAATTTTTGTATTTTTAGTAGAGACAGGGCTTCACCATGTTGGCCAGGCTGGTCTCAAACTCCTGACCTTAGGTGATCCGCCTGCCTCGGCCTCCCAAAGTGCTTGAATTACAGGCGTGAGCCACCGCGCCCAGCCTAAAAACACTATTCTTTCTACAACTGAGCAAGCAGCCAGGCCCAGTGACTCACACCTGTAATCACAGCACTTTAGGAGGTTGAGGCAGTCAGATCTTTTGAGGCCAGAAGTTCAAGACCAATCTGGGCAACATAGGGAGACCCCATCTGTATAAAAAATAAAAAATTAGCTGGGCAGGATGGCGCACACCTGTAGTCCCAGCTACTTGTGAGACTGAGATGGGAGGATCACTTAAGTGAGCCATGATCATGCCACTGCACTCCAGCCTGGGTGACACAGCAAGACCCTTTCTCAGATAGGCAGACAGACAGATGTATAACTAAATCAATAAATTCTGCCCCGTTCTTGGTAATAAGATGGTAAGAGGGATCCAGAATACCTTCCCTTTCAGAATCAGTAACCTGGTTATAGGCAAAACTCTATTCTCAAAAAGCAGAGGATCGGAATTGCTCAGATATTTTTTTAAAAAGAAATTTTGGCCAGGCGCGGTGGCTCACGCCTGTAATCCTTACCCAGAACTTTGAGAGGCCAAGGCGGTGCGGATCACAAGGTCAGGAGATCGAGACCGTCCTGGCTAACACGGTGAAACCCCGTCTCCACTAAAAATACAAAAAATTAGCTGGGCGTGGTGGCAGGCTCCTGTAGTCCCAAATACTTGGGAGGCTGAGGCAGGAGAATGGTGTGAACCCGGGAGGCGGAGCTTGCAGTGAGCCGAGATCATGCCACTGCACTCCGGGCTGGGTGACAGAGCGAGACTCCATCTCAAAAAAAAAAAAAAAAAAAACTCACAGGCAGAGGGCTGGAACTAGTGTGGGTAGGAGCTAAGAGTTATTATTATTTAGAGACTCAAGTGCCAGTAGAACAACCGTTTTCTTAGTCCAAGTTTCTTGATGTCCTTGGGATTCCACTTTATGGCTTATTTCAAAAGACCTGTATGAGGCCTGGACTACTTTGAGGAATCATCCTTTTTTTTTTTTTTTTAAAGTCGGAATCTTGCTGTGTTACCCAAACTGGAGTGCAGTGGCATGATCTTGGCTCACTGCAACCTCCGCCTCCCGGGTTCAAGCGATTATCCTGTCTCAGCCTCCCAAGTAGCTAGCATTACAGGTGCACACAACCACACCCAGCTAATTTTTGTATGTTTAGTAGAGACAGGGTTTCACCATATTGGCCAGGCTGGTCTCAAACTCCTAACCTCAGGTGATCTGCTGGCGTCGGCCTCCCAAAGTGTTGGGATTAGAGGCGTGAGCCACTGCACCCCGGCCTGGGAATCATTCTTGATAGAATAGCTATCTAAAACATTGTTTCCATATAGGCAGAAAAACCAGCCTCTAATTTTATTTTCTGTAAAAGAAATGCACAATGGCAACAAATTAAAGGATACAAAATAAATTGTAACATATCAAACAGGACAAAAAAACATAACGTTGAAAAGCAACCAAGCTTCATCCTAACTCTACCGCCAGGGCCACTGCCCAAGGACAACATCTTTTACATGTTTTTGTTTGTTTGGAATTACTTCAATATTTCTAAATATGCTCATTCAACTTTAAATAAAATCTAATGACTCCCTGCTACAAAGGATAAAGATTATGTTAATACCCACTGGTCCAATATTTAACAGTTGCATTAAGTTTGCGTCTTTTGTTGGTTTTCTTTGTAACTTTTTTTTTTTTTTTCCTTTTTGGAGACACGGTCTCCCTCTGTTGCCCAGGCTGGAGTACAGTGGCATGATCTTGGCTCACTGCAACTTCTTCCTCCCAGGTTCAAGCAATTCTCCTGCCTCAGCCTCCTGAGTAACTGAGATTACAGGTGTGGGCCACCATGCCCAGCTAATTTTTATATTTTTAGTGAAGACGGGGTTTCACCATGTTGGTCAGGCTTCTCTCAAACTGACCTCAGGTGGTCTGCCTGCCTCAGCCTCCCAAAGTGGTGGTATTACAGGCATGAGCCACCACGCTTCTTTGTAACTCTGAATAATACAAGATAAAACACTAGATAACATTTCAACTTTAGGTAGTATTACAACTCTCCACTATTAACACCACCATTCTTCCTTCACACCTTTTTCTCACCTCCCTTAAACACAAGAAGTCTTTTGTGTTTTGTCCATAGGTTGACACAGTTAATAGCCAACTTCCAGACTAAGGAGTGTGCTAGGATTACATCTTCTCTTTTACAGAACCACTGAACCACCGTGAAAACCACTAGAAAACCACTCAAAGGAAAATATAGAAAGCATCAGGATCAAATGGATTATCTTCCCTTATTAACAATTGCCCAAATATCTTTGCTTCATATTTAGATCACAAACGGGCTGGGCAGAGTGGCTCACGCCTGTAATCCTAGCACTTTGGGAGGCCGAGGTAGCAGATCACTTGAGCCTGAGAGTTCAAGACCAGCCTGGAAAACATGGTGAAATCCTGGTTCTCCAAAAATAAAATACAAAAAATTAGCTGGGCATGGTGGCACACACCTGTAGTCGCAGGTACTCAGGAGGCTAAGATGGGAGGATCTCCTGAGCCTGGGAATTCAAGGCTGCAGTAAGCCATGATAGCACAACTGTGCTTCAGCCTGGGTGACAGACGCCATCTCAAAAACAAAACAAAACAACAACAACAGAGAGCAAACTTCCCCGTCTCTACTAAAAATACAAAAATTAGCTGAGCGTGGTGGCAGGTGCCTGTAATCCCAGCTATTCAGGAGGCTGAGGCAGGACAATCACTTGAACCCAGGAGGCGGAGGTTGCAGTGAGCTGAGATCGCACTGTTGCACTCCAGCCTGGGTGACAAGAGCAAGACTGCGTCTCAAAAAAACAAAAACAAAAAAGCAAACTTGTATGGCTTTGTTTTTCCTGGAGTTTTAAATTACCCTTTTGCCTCCTGAATATTTTATCTAATTTATCATATCAAGTTTTTCCATTTACAGAGATGCTCTCTCTTTTGCCCCCTGGTACATACCCCTGAAGAACATTTGGCCTTCTGCTTCCATTTAATCTAATTGTTCTTTAGTTCTGCTGTACCACTGAGGACTTCCCTTTACTGCACTCCAAAGTTAGAGCCACTCTTTTCTAGTATCTATGTCTTCGATATGGTTTGGCTGTGTCCCCACTCAAATCTCATCTTGAATTGTAGCTCTCTCAATTCCCATGTGTTGTGGGAGAGACCTTGTGGGAGGTAATTGAATCATGAGGGGTGAGTCTTTCCTGTGCTATTCTCGAGATAGTGAATAAGTCTCATGAGATCCGATGGTTTTGTAAAGGGGAGTTTCCCCGCACAAGCTCTCTTCTCTTGTCTGCCACCGTGTAAGATGTGCCTTTCACTTCTGCCATGATCGTGAGGTCTCCTGCCACTTGGAACTATGAGTCCATTAAACCTCTTTCTTTTGTAAATTGCCCAGTCTCTGGTATGTCTTTTATCAGCAGTGTGAAAATGGACTAATACAGTAAATTGGTACCAGAAGAGTGGGGCACTGCTGAAAATATACCCAAAAATGTGGAAGCAACTTTGGAACTGGGAAACAGGCAGAGGTTGGAACAGTTTGGAGGGCTCAGAAGAAGACAGGAAAATGTGGGAAAGTTTGGAACTCCCTAGAGACTTGTTGAATGGCTTTGGCCAAAATGCTGATAATGATATGGACAATGAAATTCAGGCTGAGGTGGTCTCAGATGGAGACTAGGAACTTGTGGGAACTACAGCAAAGGTGACTCTTGTTACGTTTAAGCAAAGAGACTGGCAGCATTTTGTCCCTGCCCTAGAGATGTGTGGAACTTTGACTTGAGAGAGCTGATTTCGGGTATCTGGCAGAAGAAATTTCTAAGCAGCAAAGCATTCAAGAGGTGACTTGGGTGCTGTTAAAGGCATTCAGTTTTCAAAGGGAAACAAAGCATAAAACTTTAGAAAATTTGAAGCCTGGCAATGAGATAGAAAAGAAAATCCCATTTTCTAAAGAGAAATTCAAGCAGGCTGCAGAAATTTGTGGTGGCACATGCCTGTAGTTCCAGCTACTTTGGAAGCTGAGGCAGGAGAATCACTTGAACACAGGAGGCGGAGGTTGCAGTGAGCCAAGATTGCACCATTGCACTCCAGGGCAACAGAGAGAGTCTTCATCTCAAAAAAGAAAAAAAAAGGCACATCAGAGACCTTTGCAGCAGCCCCTCCCATCACAGGCCTGGAGGTGTCATGGGCCAGTCCCAGGGTCCCTCTGCTCTGTGCAGTCTAGAGACTTGGTACCCTGTGTCCCAGCCACTCCAGCCATGACTAAAAAGGGCCAAGGTACAGCTCAGGCTATGGCTTCAGAGGGTTCAAGCCCCAAGCGTTGGCAGCTTCCACATGCCGTTGAACCTGTGGGTGCACAGAAGTCAAGAATCGAGGAACCTCTGCCTAGATTTCAGAGGATGTATAGAAATGCCTGGATGTCCAGATAGAAGTTTGCTGCAGGGGTGGGGCACTCAGTGCTAGGGCAGTGCAGAAGGGAAATGTCAGGTGGGCACCCCCACACAGAGTCCCCACTGGTGCACTGCCTAGAGGAGCTGTGAGAAGAAGAGGGCCATCATCCTCCAGACCCCAGAATGCACCATGTGCCTGGAAAAGCTGCAGACACTCAACGCCATCCTGTGAAAGCAGCCAGGAGGGAGGCTGTACCCTGCAAAGCCACAGGGGCAGAGCTGCCCAAGACCATGGGAACCCACCTCTTGCATCAAGGTGACCTGGATGTGAGACATGGAGTCAGAGATCATTTTGGAGCTTTAAGATTTGACTGCCCTGCTGGATTTCAGACTTGCATGGGGCCTTAGCCCCTTTGTTTTGGCCAATTTCTAACATTTGGAATGGCTGTATTTACCCCCATTTTGTCTAGGAAGTAACTAACTTGCATTTGGTTTTACTGGCTCATAGGCAGAAGGGACTTGCCCTGTTTCAGATGAGACTTTGCACTGTAGACTTTTGAGTTAATGCTGAAACGAGCTAAGACTTTAGGGGACTGTTGGGAAGGCATGATTGGCTTTGAAATGTGAGGACATGTGATTTGGGAGAGGCTGGGGCAGAATGATATGGTTTGGCTGCGTCCCCACTCCATTCTCATCTTGAATTGTAGCTCCCACAATTCCCACGTGTTGTGGGAGGGACCCAGTAGGAGGTAATTGAATCTTGGGGGTGGGTCTTTCCCGTGCTATTTTCGTGATAGTGAGTAAGTCTCAAGAGATATCTGATGGTTGGCCCGGCGCAGTGGCTCACACCTGTAATCCCAGCACTTTGGGAGGCCAAGGTGGGCGGATCACAAGGTCAGGAGAGCGAGACCATCCTGGTTAACACGGTGAGACCCCGTCTCTACTAAAAATACAAAAAATTAGCTGGGCGTGGTGGTGGGCGCCTGTCGTCCCAGCTACTCGGGAGGCTGAGGCAGGAGAATGGTGTGAACCCAGGAGGTGGAGTTTGCAGTGAGCTGAGATCACGCCACTGCACTCCATCCAGCCTGGGTGACAGAGCGAGACTCCGTCTCAAAAAAAAAAAGAAAAAAGAAAAAAAAGAGATCTGATGGTTTTATAAAGGGGAGTTTCCCTGCACAAGCTCTCTTCTCTTGTCTGCTGCCATGTGAGACATGCCTTTCACCTTCTGCCATGATTGTGAGGCCTCCCCAGCCATGTGGAACTGTGAGTCCATTAAACCTCTTTCTTTTGTAAATTGTCCAGTCTCAGGTATGTCTTTATCAGCAGCGTGAAAATGGACTAATACAGTCTTCTTAGTTTATCTTCTTATTTGCTGGAGAACATCCCCAGCTACTTATGAAAGAATGGGAGATAAACTTCCAGTTTTTGGATATTTGAAAATATCTTCATTCTGCTGGTCACTCTGACTTAGTTCGAATTTACATTCCCTCAAAATTTCAAGGCATTATGTAGTATAATACATTCTAGTTTTCAGTGATACTGATAAATTGGATGGAAGTGTGGTCTTAATAGATAATTAATTAATTATTTTTTTTCTTAAAGATGGAGTTTTACTCTTTCACTCAGGCTGGAGTGCAGTGGCACAATCTCAGCTCACTGCAGCCTCCACCTCCCAGGTTCAAGCAATTCTACCTCAGTCTCCCAAGTAGCTGGGATTACAGGCATGCACCACCATGCCTGGCCAATTTTGTAGTTTTTAGTAGAGACTGGGTTTCACCATATTGGCCAGGCCGGTCTTGAACCCCTTACATCAAGTGATTTGCCTGCCTTGGCCTCCCAAAGTGCTAGGATTACAGGCATGAGCCACTGTGCCTGGCCAATAATTAACTTTTTAATCCCCTCATTACCACCAGAAATTTTTCCTTTCATGTTTAATTAACTTAGTTAGCTATAAATCATCTCTAGGTTAAAATATATTATGGAAACATATTCAGATCACTTTTGCAATCTTTCATTACATATATTTCATAGTCAAGTTATTTCTTCTTCCCCAAGCCCCACCCTCCCCAATCAAGTTATTTCTGAAAAAAGAACTTTTTAATATAAATATTACACACGTTACCAATTCAAACAGTAAAAAGTTACTTGCCTATTTCTTGCGCACTAGAATCTTAGCTTTCTTTCCAGAGGTAGCCACTATTATTCATTTCCAGAAGCTTTTAGGCTTTCTCTTTAATCTTAGTGATATAACATTTTAGAAATAAAAATTTAGTAACAACTTTTCATGATCAGAATTGCAATTTTTTTGAATTAACGTAAGCAATCAATAAACTAAAAGTGAATATACTTTGTCAATGACAGCTAGGCAGACATGTACTGAGTATATAGTACTATATATATATAGATGTTTGATACAGTTTCATTGAGATATGATTGACATATAACAAAAATGCACATATTTAAAGTTTATAATTTGATGAACTATGACATATATGTATACCCATGGAACCATCACCACAATCAACATAATGAATATAGGCCAGGCATGGTAGCTCATGTCTGTCTGTAATCCCAGCACTTTGAGAGGCTAAGGCAGGAAGATTGCATGAGCTCAGGAATTCAAGACCAGCCTGGGCAATATAGTGAGACCTTGACTCTAGAAAAAAATAAACAAAAAAATAGCTGGGTGCAGTGGCACATGCTTGTAGTCCCAGCTACTTGGGAGGCTGAGGTGAGAGGATCCCTTGAGCCAGGGGGATCAAGACTGCAATGAGCTGTGATCGCACCACTGCACTCCAGCCTGGGTGACAGAGTGAGACCCTGTCTCAAAAAAAAAAAAAAATAAGAATAACAATTAATATATCCATCAACTCCAAAAGTTGCCTCATCATCCTTTGTAAACTGTCTTCCCCAAACCTCCTTTATTTATCTTATCCCCAGGTAACCACTGATCTGCTTTCTGTCACTGCAGATTAATTGCATCTTCTAGAATTTTATATAAAGGGAATAATACATCATGTACTTTTTTGTCTTCTTTATTCAACAAAATTATTTTGAGATTCATCCATGTGGTGTGAATTAACTGTTCATTCCTTTTCAGTACTGCTATAGTAGTCCATTGCATGATTATACTACAATTTTTTCATTTACTTTCTAATGGACATCCATACATAGTTTTTGTCTTTTTTTGAGACATTTATTCAGTGTCATGATCAGACTATTACATTTAGCAAATCAACAGCAACTTTATGTAAACTTTCCTGATGTTTTTATTTTATTTTTGAGACAAGGTTTCACTCTGTCACCCAGGCTGGAGTGCAGTGGCATGATCTCGGCTCTCTGCGGCGTCAATCTTCCAGACTCAAAAGATCCACCTGCCACCCCAAGTAGCTGGGACTACAGGCACGTGCTACCACATCTGGCTATTTTTTTTTTTTTTTTTTTTTTTTTTTTTTTTTTGGTAGAGACAGGGGTTTCACCATGTTGGCCAGGCTGGTCTTGAACTCCTGACCTCAAGTGATCTGCCTGTCTCGGCCTCCCAAAGTGCTGGGATTACAGGTGTTAGCCATTGTGCACTCCCTCAAGCTCTCCTTTTAATTAAGGACTTCTTCTAGCTACTGAGTTCACTGTTGGGTAAGTCTTTGGTTCCTTCAGAATTGCTACATTTGCAGAGCGCCACCTTGCTCAAGGTTAGGTTCCTTCCCAAGTGGCCCACATGCAATTGCTGATCAAAGTGAAGGTATAAGAGGCCAGGCATGGTGGCTCACGCCTATAATCCTAGCACTTCAGGAGGCCAAGGTGGGTGGATGGCTTGAGCTCAGGAGTTTGAGACCAGCCTGGGCAATATAGCAAAACCCCATCTCTAAAAAAATAGAAAAATTAGCCAGGTATGGTGGCATGAGCCTGCAGTCCCAGGGACATGGGAGGCTGAAGTGGGAGGATGGTTTGACCCCAGGAGGTGGAGGTTGCAGTGAGCCAAGATTGTGTCCGGCCTGGACAACAGAGCCAAATGCTGTCCCCCGTCCCACCCCACCACACACACACACACACACAGAAACAAAACAAAACAAACAAACAAGCAAAACCTTAACGTGAAGGTATAAGAGCTTGACCATCTTAGCCCAACTTGGGACAACTCTAAAGGTCAATTGTAACATCCCAGACTCCCTATGTAATCTGCATAATCTCTCTCTGCCCAATCCGTGTCCTTCCCCCTCTGTTCCACAAGTGCTAACCCCAAGGGCACTCCTTAATAAATAACCTGCCTGTTAAATTCTGTTTCATAGTTTGCTTCCCAGGAACCCAACCTATGACAGTTGGTGGCAGGAGTGAGGTATGAGAAAGCAGGCACTAAGATGGGACTTTGGAGCATGATCACTAGCTGCCCACCTGACAATGAGGACCCCTATCACAAGATTACAGTCCAATTGTTAAAACTTTCATGCATGGTCAATTGGGTTGATACACCAGTAAAAGAGTATATATTTACAGATATGATGTATTAAGCATTTGAGAAACATGGGGGAAATAGCAACTATAAGGATGATGGAATTGATTGGTACTATGGACTGAAATATATCCCCCAAAATATCTGTATTGAAACCCTAGTCCCCAATGTGATTATATTTGGAGATAGGACTTTTAAGAGATAATTAAGGTTAAATTAGGTCATATGGGTGGGGTTCTACTCTGATAGTACTAGTGGTCTTTTAAGAAGAGGAAGAGAAATCTCTCTCTTTCTCTGTTTCTGCACGCATGCACCGATGGGGTTCTACTCTGATAGGACTAATGGTCTTTTAAGAAAAGAAAGAGAGATCTCTCTCTCTCTTTCCCTATCTCTGCACACATGCACCAAGGAAAGACCATGTAAGGACAAAGCAAGAAAGCAGCTATCTTTAAGACAGGAAGAGAGCCCTCACTAGGAATCAAGTCAGCTGGCACTTTGAAGTTGGACTTCCTAGCCCCCAAAAACTGTGATAAATAAAGTTCTGTTGTTTAAACCTCCTGATGTGTGGTATTTTGTTATAATAGTCCAAGCTGACTAAAACAGACTAAGACTATTGTTTAACCGATTGATGCACTAGAAAAAAGATAATGAAAAGTTGAAAATGATTAATCACCAATTTCTTCATTGAGAATGATTAATCACCAAGTGAAAATTAGAGAGTCTGCTTAATAGCTCACAAAGTGGCTCTCCTCTCCAGCAGTGGGGGTACAGAATAAGCTAAAGAATAAACTTAGAGTAGCTAAGCTCCAAAGAAGATTCACTTTCCAGTCAACACAGGTAAATCAAGTTAAGGTCAGGGCCCTAGTTGGGAAAGAATGGGGCTTGACACATTAGATGAGGACGTTCCTAAAAGTGGCCCACCCTCTCTGCACCATTGCTCAGAGATGGTGCAGAGACCTCTCTCTATCAAGACAACAAGTGTTGTCTGGGTGCAGTGGCTCATACCTGTAATCTCAGCACTTTGGGAGGCTGAGGTGGGAGGATCACCTGAGACCATGAGTTTGAGACCAGTCTGGGAAACATGGAGACCTTGTCTCTACAAAAAAAAAATTAGCCAGGCATGGTGGCACACATCTGTGGTCCCAGCTGAGGCAGGAGGCTGAGGCAGGAGGGTTGCTTGAGTCCAGGAAGTCAAGGATGCAGTGAGCCATGCCTGCACCACTGCACTCTATCCTGGGCAACAGAGTGAGACCCTGTCTCCAAAAAAATGCATAAATAAGTAGGCCAGGCGTGGTGGCTTATCCCTGTAATCCCAGAACTTTAGGAGGCCGAGACAGGCAGATCACCTGAGGTCAGGAGTTCAAGACCAGCCTGACCAATATGTGAAACCCTGTCTCTACTAAAAAAAAAAAAAATACAAAAATTAGCTGGGTGTGGTGGTGGGCACCTGTAATCCCAGCTACTCGGGAGGCTGAGGCAGGAGAATCCCTTGAACCTGGGAAGTGGAGGTTGCAGTGAGCCGAGATCATGCCACTGCACTTCAGCCTCGGTGACAAAGCAAGACTCCGTCTCAAAAAAAAAAAAAAAAAAAAAAAATTAGCTGGGTTCGGTGGCTCATGCCTGTAATCCCAACACTTTAGGAGGCCAAGGTCGCCAGATCACTTGAGGCCAGGAGTTCGAGACCAGCCTGGCCAACTTGCTGAAACACCGTCCTACTAAAAATACAAAAATCAGCTGGGTGTGGTGGAGCATACCTGTAGTCTCAGCTACTTGGGAGGCTGAGACAGGAGAATCTCTTGAACTGAGGAGGCGGAGGTTGCAGTGAGCCAAGATCGTGCCATTGCACTCCAGCCTGAGTGACAGAGTGACTCCATCTAAAAAATAATAATAGGTTGGGTGCAGTGGCTCATGCCTGTAATCCCAGCACTTTGGGAGGCTGAGGCAGGCAGATCATGAAGTCAGGAAATCGAGACCATCTTGGCTACCACAGTGAAACCCCATCTCTACTAAAAATACAAAAAATTAGCTGGGCGTGGTTGCACATGCCTGTAGTCCCAGCTACTCAGGAGGCTGAGGCAGGAGACTCGCTTGAACCTGGGAGGCAGAGGTTGCAGTTAGCTGAGATCCCGCCACTGCACTCCAGCCTGCGCGACAGAGCAAGACTCCATCTCAAAAAATAATAAATAAATAAATGTCTAATTGGACAGTTATTATAAGATCAGAGAGACAGTCGGGGGAGGTGGCCCTCAGAGGATTATTATGGAGATAATTAATGTGGTGTCCTTAGGGAAAAAAATAGGTGGGCAACCAATAAGGGTATTCAGTTTGTTTTTTAAAAATTTATGACCAGGAGACTGAATCAGTAACCCCAATTGAAATATAATTCCTTGACAAGTTTCCAAACATGAACTCATGCTTTAGACATGAAATCCATTAACTCAAGGAGAGATTAGGTCCCCAGGAAAAAATAACCTGTAACACCATGGTGAAAGTACACAGGAATGATTTTCTCCGTCCTTCCCCAATGGTTGTTCCAGAACTGTTGGACCTATGGCTTTACTCAAATAATCATGCACTGGGAAAATGGTAGTAGTACCAAAACATTTCAAAGACTATTGGTTCCAGACTCTGAATTAACGTTGATACATAGAGACCCAAAGAATCATTTATGGTCCCCCTATTAGGGTAGGTACATGTGGGGGTCAGGTAATAAATGAAGTCCTACCCAAGATGCCATGGTCTGAATGTTTAAGTTCACCCAAAATTAATATGTTGAAACCTAATTCCCAATGTGATAATATTAAGAGCGGGTCCCTTGGGAAATGATAGATCTTGAGGGCAGAGCTGTCATGAATGGGATAAGTACTCTTATAAAGAAGCCTGAGGGCTGGGCATGGTGGCTAGAGCCTGTAATCCCAGCACTTTGGGAGGCCGAGGTGGGCAGATCACATGAGGTCAGGAGTTCCAGACCAGCCTGGCCAACAAGGCAAAACCCCATCTCTACTAAAAATACAAAAATTAGCCAGACATGGTGGCACGTGCCTGTAATCCCAGCTACTCAGGAGGCTGAGGCAGGAGAATCACTTGAACCCAGGAGTTGGAGGTTGCGGTGAGCCGAGACTGCGCCATTGCACTATAGCCTGGACAACAAGAGCAAAACTCTGTCTCAAAAAACAGAAAAAAAAAAAAAAAAAAAAGAAGAAGCCTGAGGAAGCTGCCTTACCCCTTCCTCCATATGAGGACACAGGGAGAAGGTGCTATGTATGAAGAACAGGCCCTTACCAGACACTGAAATCTGCTGGCAACTTGTCTTGAACTTTCCAGCCTCCAGAACTGTAAGATTTAAATGTTCATCACTTATAAGCTACCCGGTTTTGGGTATTTTGTTATAGTAGTCTGAATTCACTAAGAAACAAGGTCCAGATCACATTGGATCTACTCTTCTACAGACCTATATGTTGGTAATTTCCCCATTTCCCAAATACATAATCAGAGTAGATATACTTCATAGTTGGCACAACTCCCTCATTGGGTCCTTGGCCTATGAAATAACAATTATAATGATATAAATCAAAAATAGTACTGTAGGCTGGGCACCATGGCTCACACATATAATCCCAGCACTTTGGGAGGCCGAGCCAGGCGGATCACTTGAGGCCAGGAGTTCGAGACCAGCCTGGCCAACATGGCAAAACCCCGTCTCTACTAAAAATACAAAAATTAGCCAGGCTTTGTGGCAGGTGCCTGTATTCCCAGCTACTTGGGAGGCTGAGGCAGGAGAATCGCTTGAACCCAGGAGGCGGAGGTTGCAGTGAGCCAAGATTACACCACTGCACTCCAGCCTGGGAGACAGAGCAAGACTCTGTCTCAAAAAAACAAAACAAAACAAAACAAAACAAAAAACAGTACTGTTGGAGGAATGGCAGAAATTAGTGCCACTCTGCTATGGTTTGAATGTGTCCCCCAAAAAGTATATGTTGAAAACTTAATCCCCAATGCAATAGTGTTGGGAGGTGAAGCCTAATGGGAAGTGATTAGGCCATGAGGGCAGAGTGAGTGAATTAATGCTGTTATCTTGGTAGTGGGTTTGTTATGAAAGGAAGAATTTGGACCCTTTTTACTCTCTCTCTCGCACTTCCACCTTTCACCATGGAATGAGGAGCAAGAAGGCCTTGCCATATGCCAGCCTCTTGCTCTTGGACTTTCCAACTTCTAGAACTGTAAGAAATAAATTTTCATTTATTAAAAAATCACCCATTCTGGCTAGGCTCAGTGACTCACACCTACAATCGTAATCCCAGCTCTTTGGGAGGCTAATAAGGCAGAAGAATTGTCTCCCAAGTCTGAGCTCTACAAAGTTGGAGGTACAGGTCCCCAGAAGGAGTGCAATTTTACCAGAGAATATAGCAAGACTCCCACTGAGTTCCAAGCTATGGCTATCAACCTGGGCCCTTTGTGTTCTTTGTGTCCAGGGATAGCAGGCAAAAAGAAGAGTCACCATTCTGGCATCAGGGAAAGGTTAGATAGCAGAAGCATGAATGTTTGGCATTTAGGTAATCTAACTGTGTACCTCCTGGTGTATGATTTTTCCCAATTTTGACCATAAATAGACAAATACAGCAACCTCGGCTTGAGAAAGGAATAAAAACTAGGGGAAACCCTTCAAAGATGAGGGTCTGGGTCATGCCACCAGGTAAGCCACTGAGGTAATAGCTGAGGTAAGAGGACTCTAAACTGGATAGAGGACAAGGGAGACAATAAGTATCAGTCGCAGCCCTGAGACTAGTGGCAGTAATAAGAGCTATGGTTTGCTCCATTAATCTTACTTTTCTAAATGTCCCACAGAAAAAGAGAGGCCCATCCTAATGCTGGTATTGCTGCTCCTAGAACATATATGAAGATGTAGATCTGAACAGAACAAGACTATGGTGGACACTGTGATATGCTGCTCAGATCCTCCTTCAATGAAGGATTACCTCAACTTCTGGGAATGCTATTGGCTCCTTCAGGGATTGCCTTAGCTACAGAGAGACAGGTCCCTTCCCAAGATGACTCATATCCAGTGATCAATGCCAGGGTAAAAAGGCCTGACTGACAGGGTGCAGACGGGGTGCAGGGGCTCATGCCTGTAATCCCAGCACTTTTGGAGGCCAAGGCAGGCAGATTACATGAGGCCAGGAGTTTGAGACCAGCCTGGCCAACATGACAAAACCCTGTCTCTACTAAAAACACAAAAATTAGCTGGGTGTGGTGGTGCACATCTGTTATCCCGGCTACTCAGGAGGCTGAGGCACAAGAATTGCTTGAACTGGCGAGGCAGAGGTTGCAGTGAGCCAAGATCACACCACTGCACCCCAACCTCTGTGGCAGAGCAAGACTGTCTCCAAAAAAAAAAAAAAAAAAAAATCCTGACCATCTCCAATTTGGGATAACTCTGAGGGATCATTTCAGTTGCAGAACTTCCTGTGAGGTCAGCTGAGGCTACCATTGGGTTTAAAATCCAATATAACTTCTCTGTCTGTTCAATTCTGTTTCCTTCCCCTCTTTTCCACAGATGTTGATACCAGGAGCACTTCATCTCAGAATCTGCCTTCCCCAGGACCCAACCCAAGATATCCATTTTATATCCTTATAATAGATTACTATGTATCTATTAAAAAGATACAACACTTCCATATTACCTGTTGGCTTAGAAAGAAACCCAAAGTACATTAAATTCAACAAAATCAGGTTAATATAAACTAGGAAAAAGTTTGGATACATAGTTTAGTGTTAACAGTGAGTATCTGCTGGGTGAGGTGGCTCACTCCTGTAATCCCAGCACTTTGGGAGGCCAACGCGGATAGATTGCTTGAGCCCAGGAGTTCAAGACCAGCCTGGGCAACATAGCAAAACCCCGTCTCTACAAAAAATACGAGAAATTAGCTGGGCATGCTAGGGTGCTCCTGTAGCCTGTGATCTCATCTACCTATCTGGAAGGCTGAGTTGGGAGGATTACCTGAGCCCAGAAGGTCTAGGTTTCAGTGAGCCATGATCGTGTTACTGCACTCCAGCCTGGGTGATGAATTCAAACCGTTTCAAAAAACAAAACAAAACAACAATGAGTATCTGTGGATAATGCTTTTTATTTTCCTTTCTTTTTTTTTAGATGGAGTCTTGCTCTGTCTCTCAGGCTGAAGTGCAGTGCTGCCATCTCGGCTCACTGCAAACTTCACCTCCTGGGTTCAAGTGATTCTCCTGCCTCAGCCTCCCAAATAGCTGGGATTACAGGTGCCCGCCACCACACCTGGCTAATTTTTGTATTTTTAGTAGAGGCAAGGTTTCACCATGTTGACCAGGCTGGCCTCAAACTCCTGACCTCAAATGATCTACCCACCTCGGCCTCCCAAAGTGCTTGGATTACAGGTGTGAGCCACCACACCCAGCCTTTTTATTTTCCTTTCTACAAATTTCCTGTTTTGCTTTTCAGACATGGTCTCACTCCGTCACCCAGGTTAGAGTGCAATGGCACCATCTCAGCTCACTGAAGCTTCTGCCTCCCAGGCTCAAGCGATCCTCCCACTGCAGCCTCCCAAGTAGCTGGGACCACAGGTGTGCACCACCATGCCAAGCTAATTCTTCTATTTTTGGTAGAGATGGGGTTTTGCCATGCTACCCAGACTGATGTCAAACTCCTGGGCTCAAGTAATTCACCCACCTCAGCCTCCCAAAAATGCTGGGATTGAGGTGTGAGTCACCTCACCAGACCTAAATTTCCTGTGTTTTCGGAACTTACATATTTAGCTTTTTTTTTTTTTTTTTAACAGAGTCTCTCTCTGTTGCCTAGGCTGGAGTGCAGTGGTGCTATCTCGGCTCACTGCAACCTCCACCTCCCGGGTTCAAGCGATTCTTCTGCTTCAGCCTCCTGAGTAGCTGGGACTACTGGTACGTGCCACCATGCCCAGCTAATTTTTTGTATTTTTAGTAGAGACAGGGTTTCACCGTGTTCACCAGGATGGTCTCGATCTCTTGAACGTGTGATCTGCCTGGCTCGACCTCCCAAAGTGAGCCACTGTGCCCAGCCACATGAGTTATTTTTATATTCAAAAAGTGCAGCAAAGAGATTTTCATTTTGGAAAATAAACCTTATAGTGAGTAGATAATCTCTTTAACAACTGGGATAGTAAATTGGTATAAATATTCTGGAAAATAATTTTACCATATATGAAGATCCTTAATTCCCAGTAATCCTACTTTAAGGAAATTATCCTGAAAAAATAACTAAAATAGAATCAAATAATTTTTTGTAAGATAGAGTCTTGCTCTGTTGCCCAGGATGAAGTGCAGTGGTGCAATCTCTGCTCACTGCAACCTCCACCTCCTAGGTTCAAGCAGTTCTCCTGCCTCAGCCTCCTGAGTAGCTGGGACTACAGGCACACACCACCACGCCCATCCAATTTTTTGTATTTTTAGTAGAGATGGGGGGGGGGGTCTCACCAGGTTGGCCAGCCTGGTCTCGAACTCCTGACCTCAGGTGATCCAACCGCCTCAGTCTCCCGAAGTGCGAGGATTATAGGTGTGAGATACCGTGCCCAGCCTGGAATTAAATAAATTAATAGAATTGAAATTATACAAAAATACATATTACAACTTTATTTCTTTTCTTTTCTTTCTGTTTTTGTTTGTTTGTTTGAGATGGAGTCTCACTCTGTCGCCCAGGCTGGAGTGCAGTGGCACAATCTCGGCTCACTGCAACCTCTGCCTCCAGGATTCAAGCAATTCTCCTGCCTCAGCCTCCCGAGTAGCTGGGACTACAGGCACGTGCCACCATGCCCAGCTAATTTTCTTCTTTTTTGTATTTTTAGTAGAGACAGGGTTTCACTGTGGTAGCCAAGATGGTATCAATTTCCTGACCTTGTGATCCACCAGCCTCGGCCTCCCGGAGTGCTGGGATTACAGGCATGAGCCAGCGCGCCCGGCCTAAAATATTCTTATACCTCCACCTTTTCATGCATATGGGTGTACACATGGAGAATAAATGGAATCTCTGGGTCAAAGAGTTTTTTAATTTGTATCAATTTAAAATTTGTATCAATATTTTCAATTGCCTTTCAAAGAGACAGTACCTATTTATTTATTTATTTATTTATTTAGTTTTGAGACGGAGTCTCACTCTGTTGCCCCTGCTGGAGTGCAGTGGCTCAATCTCGGCTCACTGCAACCTCCACCTCCTGGGTTCAAACAATTCTCCTGCCTCAGCCTCCCGAGTAGCTGGGACTACAGGCACCCGCCACCACACCCAGCTAATTTTGTATTTTTAGTAGAGACTGGGTTTGACCATATTGGCCAGGCTGGTCTCAAACTCCTGACCTTGTGATCCACTCGCCTCGGCCTCCCAAAGTGCTGGGATTACAGGCGTGAGCCACAGTGCCTGGCTGAGATTGTACCAATTTATACCCTCAATCTACAAAAAAACAAAGCAGGATACAAAAATATAAATGTATATGATTTTATTTTTTCTAAAAAATTAAATTATACGGGCCAAGCACAGTGTCTCACACCTGTAATCCCAGCACTTTGGGAGCCTGAGGCGGGTGGATCACTTGAGGTCAGGAGTTCGAGACCAGCCTGGCCAACATGGTGAAACCCCATCTCTACTAAAAATACAAAAAAAAAGTAGCTGGGCATGGTGTACACCCCTAATCCCAGCTACTCAGGAGGCTGAGGCATAAGAATCACTTGAACCCAGGAGGTGGAAGTTGCAGTGAGCTGAGATCATACCACTGCACTCCAGCCTGGGCAACACAGTGAGACTCTGTTTAAGAAAAAAAAATTAAATTATATGATATGGATAACAAAAACACCAGAAGAAACTATACAAAAATGTTAACACTAGGTTTCTGAAGGTATTAGAATTATAGATGATTTTTATTCTCTTCTTTATATTTTTGTGAATGTTCCAACTTTTCTATCATAAACGTATATTATGATAATCAGAAAAAAAAAAAGCTGGGTACTATGACTTCATGCCTGTAATGCTAGCACTGTGGGAGGCCGAGATAGCAGGATGGCTTGAGCCCAGAAGTTCAAGACCAGCCTAGGCAACATGAAAAGTCTCCATCTCTACAATTTTTTTTTTTTAATTAGCCAGGTGTGGTGGCATGTACCTGTAGGACATTTTTCAGGAGTAAGAGGGTGCAGTGAGCTGTGGTCACACCACTGCACTCCAGTCTGGGTGACAGAGCAAGACCCTGTCTCTTAATAATATTAGGCTGGGCGCAATGGCCCATGTCTGTAATCCCAGCACTTTGGAAGCCCGAGGTGAGTGGATCATCCGAGGTCAGGAGTTCAAGACCAGCCTGGCCAACATGGAGAAACCCCGTCTTTACTAAAAATATAAAAAATCAGCTGGGCGTGGTGGCGGGCACCTCTAATCCAAGCTACTTGGGAGGCTGAGGCAGGAGAATCACTTGAACCCAGGAGGCAGAGGTTGCAGTGAGCCAAGATCACACCATTGCACTCCAGCTTAGGCCACAGAGAGAGACTCCCTTTCAAAAATAATAATAATAATAATAATCAGAGAAAAAAATGTTTTTAAAGTTAAACAATAGTATGTTATATATTTTCACATATTTATTTCTAGAAACTGAATAGAATTGCAAATATCATTTTTATATTTTACCTCTGAGGCTATAAAATAATTGCATCTAATTGATTACAACATACCATAAATAGATGACATAAAAACACTAATATTGATATTTAAATAATGAAAGAGGTATAAAAATATTTGCATCAGTCAGGCATGGTGGCTCATGCCTGTAATCCCAGCACTTTGGGAGGCCAAGGCGGGCGGATCACGAGGTCAGGAGTTCGAGACCAGCCTGACCAACATGGTGAAACCCGCCTCTATTAAAAAAAAAAAAAAAAAATTAGCCGGGCATGGTGGTGGGAGCCTGTAATCCCACTTACGAGGCTGAGGCAGGAGAATTGCTTGAACCCAGGAGGCGGAGGTTGCAGTGAGCTGAGATCACGCCACTGCACTCCAGCCTGAGTGACAGAGCGAGACTCTGTCTCAAATAATAATAATAATAATAAATAATTGCATCTAAGTTGTGCACAATGGCTCATGCATGTAATCTCAGCACTTTGGGAGTCTGAGGTGGGCAGATCGCTTGAGCCTAGGAGTTTGAGATCAGCCTGGGCACCATGGCAAGACTCCATCTCCACAAAAAATTAGCTGGGCATGGTGGTATGCACCTGTAGTCCCAGCTACCTGGGAGGTTGAGGTGGGAGGATCACCTGAGCCCAGGAAGTTGAGGCTGCAGTGAGCTGTGATTGAGCCACTGTACTACAGTCTGGGTGACAAAGTGAGACCCTGTCTCAATAATAGTAATAGTAATAATAATTGCATCTAATTTTCACGTCTGAGAAGATTCTTTTAACTTAGGGCTAAAGCAATCAATGATCCTTTTAAACGAGTGGTTCCTAAGCATATATGCCATAATCAGACATCTAGAACTGGAAATGGACCATCAGATCAAAGTCCATGAGGACTCCCACCAGCATCAGTCTCCAAGAATCTGTACGTGGCTCCCAGAGACTGAGACCAAGACACATTGTGAGTCCTAAAAGGAATTTCCCTTCTGATAGAAGTCAGGGAGAACCTGAGAATGGAGGAGTGCCCATAAGTCATGCTTTCATTCATTTAACAAATATATTTAAGTGCCGATTATATGTAAAGTACCAGGTTAGGTGTTAGGAAGACAAAGATTCACAAGACATAGTCCTTGCCCTCTTAGAGATTTACATTCCAGCAGAGGATAAACACACTAAACAGTTAATTATATAACTTCTTATAGATAAATGACTAATTTTATAAATACTAGGTATATAGTAACTATTCTGTTATATTAATAATTGTTATAAGTGCTATGAAAACTACAGGATTCTATGAAGCTACATAATTGGGGCACCTGACTAATGTGAGAATTATCAGAAAGGCAACTTCAAAGACAAAATGCTTTAGCTGACATCTGAAGAAGATGGGTTGTTGAAGCGGGGAACCACTTGTACAAAGGCCCTTATCAGTAAGCATCTGGAGCATTCAAGGAATTAAAAGAAGGCCAGTATGGAGAAAAGGCAGAAAGCCACGGGAGAATGCACAAAGCACTGCGTCCACTCTGGCCCGTCTCCAGCCACTCCCTTGCCATGGGGTGAGGAATTCACACAGTCATTGCCATGGGATGAAGAATTCACACAGTCAAGAGGATATGCCCATCTGAAACCTGCATCACCCTTCTTTCCAGAACACACTCTGGATTCTCTGAAATTCCCAGCCTAAATGTCTCTGAGCCTGCTTCCAGGGCCTGTGTCACCCTCTTTCCTGGTCTGTTCTTTTGAGTGTCGACCTGGTTACTGATATGCACACGCCTGGGCCCAAAAGTTGTCTAAAGGGCAGCTATTCATCAGGGATGTGGAACATGCAGACTGGGGTGACCACACATGTGCAAGTGAAGTCCCTGTGATGCTGAATGGAACCTGGTGTGGTGAGAAACATAAGAGCCAGGGCTTGGGGCTCAGCTCTCCCTGAGCCAGAAACTTCATGTCTGAGAATTCTAAATGTAAACCTGGCCTTATAGGGAGTCATGAAGATATGTTTGTCAAAATAGGAGGATATTACATATTTTTAAAATTTCTTCATCAGCTTGTTTTATAACTTTTAAATATCTAAAAATTTAGTATGTCAGCCTCTATTTGTGTTCTTGTTTCAGCCTGGTAGATGTTAGGGATGAGCCTGACCATGTTTCTAAGTCTCATTTTGATCTTTACTCTAAGAACAATAGGAGACATTAAAGGGTTGTAAACAGAAGAGTGATTTGATCAGATTTACAAAGATCACTAGTTGCTGTGTGGACAATGGATTAGAGATAGACAAGAGAAGATGAAGTCTCTTTAAGTGATGATTTGGCAGTGACAAAATCCAAGAGACAAGATAATTGATAATCACCTCCAAGAGACAAGATAATTGATTGAATATAAATGACTCTGGAATTTCTGACTGGTGCAACTTGATGAAGAGTCGTACCATTTACTGAGATGAACAAGAAGAGGACCAGACCTTTCTTTCCTTTTCTTTTCTTTTTTTAGTTGGGGGTGGATAGGGTCATGTTCTAGCTAGAACCATGGCAATCACTTCTTTCAATAATATTCGATCATGTGTTTTACAATTACAAGTAATGATTTTCTCTAATCAAATGGAGCTCTTCTTTTATCTCTCAATTAAATAACTAATAGAGCAGGAGGCAACTTATTTGAGGAAGCACCAGAGCCAGTGCCCACAGGAAGAATGGTCCACAGGTGCACTGGGGCCAGCACAGATGACTGCAGCTATGGGTCACGAGCAATGGCAGGACAACTCAGCAGTCAAGAACCCAGCTACAGTGGAACAGTAAGTCTATGCTGGGGTGGGAATAGGGTAGGTGGGCACCTCTGCTTTGCCCCTTGACAGGAACTGACAGGTGAGAGAGTTGCCAGATTTACTGATACGTGTTGATGGGCTCATTGTCTGTGGGAAGCCTCCTGTACTGTGGAGAATGACATGGACAAAGCCAGAGGAGGAAGAACAGTCCTCAGCCCAGAAGACGGATGGTTGCTTCTCTGGCCTAGGTGTTAAGGATGCTTAGAGAGGAGACAGCTCCATCTTCATTGGATTTCCAGTCTACACCAGATGCCAAACCAATATGAAGTAGAAACAGGGGGAATTTTTGCCACAATTATCTGCCATAATGATTTCTCTTCTTACTACCCTGTCTTTTTACACTTTAACTATGTGTTGCATTAAATAGTTGAGTTTTGCAGTGAAAAAAGGTTGCTAAGCAGGATTTACACAATAAATTTAAAGATAGAAACTAGAAAAGATTTCCATTCACATTTCTAGAAGCAATTAATTAGAGAGATGTAAGGAAGACAGAGTGGACAGAATGTTTGCTGTTACTCAACTGTCAACAGGCAATTAGAATAAAACTGGTGTGTGAAAAACATGACCCCATCATGAGATGGAGGACATGGCTGCAAGGCCAGCAGCCAATGTAATTGGTGAAACAGCTGTTGCAAGTACAACTTTACAATGTTACTTTAACATAACACACATTGTCTTTCTAAACAAAATTCATAGTTATTCCATAACAAATGAATCGTGGCCAGGCAGGAGCAGTGGCTCACGCCTGTAATCCCAGTACTTTGGGAGGCCGAGGCGGTGGATCAAAAGGTCAGGTGATCAAGACCAGCCTGGCAAACATAGTGAAACCCCGTCTCTACTAAAAATATAAAAAATTAGCCAGGCGTGGTGGTGGGCACCTGTAATCCCAGCTACTCGGGAGGCTGAGGCAGGAGAATCACTTGAACCTGGGAGGCAAAGGTTACAGTGAGCTGAGATCGTGCCACTGCACTCCAGCCCTGGCTACAATGCGAGACTCCGTCTCAAAAAAAAAAAAAAAAAAAAAAGAAATGAATTGCCTGACTGGGCACGATGGCTCAGGCCTGTTATTCCAGCACTTTGGGACGCCAAGGTAGGCAGATCACTTGAGGTCAGGAGTTCAAGACCAGCCTGACCAACATGGTGAAACCCTGTCCCTACAAAAAATACAAAAATTAGCCAGGCATGGTGGCAGGTGCCTGTAATCCCAGCTACTGGGGAGGCTGAGGCAGGAGAACTGCTTGAACCTGGAAGGTGGAGGTTGCAATGAGCCTGGATTGTGTCACTGTATGCCAGTCTGGGCATGAGACTTCATGTCTCAAAAAAAAAAAAAAAAATGGATCGCCTGTGACACTGCTTATCAATCAGTACTTAGGGTTGGTTACTTTGTGCTAGCTAATTACGCGCCTCTTCCAACAGTGAGAGAGACTCTTGCCCCTCTCCACCTACAAGCAGGAACAAAGGAAGAAATGGGGCGGGACCTAGTGATGGCAGGTCAACCCAAACACTGTCTGGGGGAATGTACATTATCTAGCACAGTCGGTGTTTTTGCAAGTTTGGAATGTGGAATGATCTCAGGTGTTACAAAAACAAGCTATGGAATTACACTGCATCAGAGAGAGAAAAATATTCCTCTTTAAAATAACTTTCCATTCTCCTAATTATAGAGAGAAAATTGTAGTTTGCTGGTGGGTTATTGTTGATACTTGTTGACTTCCTTTTTAACCCAAAACTAAGTTTTGACGAGAGGTTCAAGGGACCTTATTTAGCTAGAATTTTTTTTTTTTTTTTTAGACGGAGTCTCCCTCCATGTTGCCCAGGCTGGAGTGCAGTGGTGGGATCTCGGCTCACTGCAGCCTCTGCCTCCTGGGTTCAAGCGATTCTCCTGTCTCAGCTTCTCTCAAGTAGCTGAGATTACAGGTGCACGCCACCACATCCAGCTAATTTTGTATTTTTAGTAGAGACAGGTTTTCACCATGTTGGCCAGACTGATCTCAAACTTCTGACCTCAGGTGATCCGCCTGCCTCGGCCTCCCAAAGTGTTGGGATTACAGGGGGGAGCCACCGTGCCCAGCCAAGACTGTAACTTTGAGAGAGGTTAATCTCTTTAAATGAGAAAAATCCCTAAAGGGGTTGGTGATTGAAGACTATCTCTGCCAATACCACTCCCAGCAGTTGGGGCAATAATCCTTCATTGAAGGGGATTTGAGTGGCATATTGCCACATCTATGACAGTCACAAAGAAGAAACTCACCTGAGCTGGACAGCCTAGCTGTCTAGATGTGAGGAGATAGCCTTTGGCATTGTATTTATGAAAAATGAAAATTCAGTTGGAAATCCTAACTTCAAAAATTTAAAGTTCTATTTTAATTTCTAATGCATCAGTAAATAGTCTCACAAAAATATCACGAATATGCGGAGGATATTTCTCAGAAATAACAGTTTCAAACTTTGTGGTATGGAGAAGGGAGAGAAGGGTCACTCAAAAGTAGCCAGCTGACTGAGAGCTTGAAATTTTATAGTTTCTTCAAATTTGGACTTCGTAATTAAAAAAAAAAAATTGGTTGTTTCTGGACAGGCACAGTGGCTCATGCCTGTAATCCTAGTGCTTTGCGTGGTCAAGGCAGGAGGATTGATTGAGGCCAGGAGTTCAAGACCAGCCTGGGCAACACAGTGAGACCATGTCTCTACAAAAAATTAGAAAATTAGCCAGACATGTTGGTGCAACCCTGTAGTCCCAGCTACTCTGGAGGCTGAAGTGGAAGGATCTCTTGAGCCCCCGAGTTCAAGGCTGCAGTGAGCTATGATGACACCACTACACTCCAGCCTGGGAGACAGAGCAAGACCCTGTGTCAAAAATAAATAAATAAATAATTGATTGTTTCCCTTCTACCTTTGATTCTGGCACTATGCTTGTCCACTTCTTGAAATTCACTGATAGCTGGGTGTGGTGGCTCGCACCTGTAATCCCAGCACTATAGGAGGCTGAGGCAGGTAGATTGCTTGAGCTTAGGAGTTTGAGTGACTAGCCTGGGCAACATGGCGAAACCCCATCTCTAATAAAAATACAAAAAAATTAGCCAGGCATGATGGTGCATGCCTGTAGTCCCAGCTACTCGGGAGGCTGAGGCACGAGAATCGGTTGAACTCAGGAGGCAGAGGTTGCAGTGAGCCGAGATCGCACCACTGCACTCCAGCCTGGGTAACAGAGCAAGACGACTCTGTTTCAAAAAAAAAAAGGAAAGAAAAAGAAATTCACTGATGGTTAATTATTTGGTCTTGATGGCAGCAAAGGAGCAGTGAGGCATATGTTTCACATTTCTTGATGGGATCTTCTCTGGCCCCTAGCCTGCTGGCTTTTTGAAATGAAAGAAATACAAGTGCCAACAAGGGCCCTGAGTGAATGCAGCCTAACCTGCACTCATCACGTGCAGCAGCAGCTGCAGCCTCTGAAAAGGGCTGATCTCAAGTTGCATGTGGCCAGGAGGCAGAGCTGGGAGGTCAGCACAGAAGCTGGCCCTCATCCTGTCCTAATTCTGTTTTGAATGGAACATGTGATCACTCTGGCATCCCAAGGAGAAGTAGCAGAGGGCACAGGACTTAGTGCTTCCAAAGTTGATAGGAGTCTTGAAGGACATCCCAGATGTGAAAATGCTCCATTAACTGCGATGCATTGGACAATCACCAGGCGAGATTTCTGTTTGTGTTTCTTTTATAGTGTGGCTGACCTTATAAAATAAATACTGCTTCCTTGGCAAAAGAATTTAAGTTCCCTCCAAGAGCTAGGGCACCCTGATGCCCTGGAACATGCCTTCGGCTTGACTCACAAGTCAACACGAGGTTTGGATTCTAATCCCGGATCTTCTGTTACCTTAATCTCAATCTCTCCTCCAAAGCAAGAGAATTGGACTCCATGACTACTGAGTTCAGGCCCAGCTGGGTTAAACTGATGGGTTCTTTTTTTTTTTTTTTGAGACGGAGTCTCGCTCTGTTGCCCAGGCTGGAGTGCAGTGGTGCGATCTCGGCTCACTGCAAGCTTCACCTCCTGGGTTCACGCCATTCTCCTGCCTCAGCCTGCTGAGTAGCTGGGACTACAGGCGCCCGCCACCTCGCCCGGCTAATTTTTTGTATTTTTAGTAGAGACGGGGTTTCACCGTGTTAGCCAGGATGGTCTCGATCTCCTGACCTCGTGATCCACCCACCTCGGCCTCCCAAAGTGCTGGGATTACAGGCGTGAGCCGCCGCGCCCGGCCAAACTGATGGATTCTAAAGGGAATTGGACATATTGAGGTGCAGAACAAACTGGTATGCAGAGAAAAGAACACTAATTAGAGTCACCGTCACCGGGACTCTGCCTCTCTATATTACTCTTCTTTTCTTCTCAGTTGGCTGTTCCCAAAACGGGCTCAAGCAGCTGCAGGCAGGCATTGTACTAATTTCACGGTGAGCAAAAGGAAAGATTATTTTCCCTCATGGTTCCAGAAGAAGTTGCAGAATTAAATCTCATTGTCTAAGATTAACTTGGTTGGGACACATGCAGTAGTGGATGTTTTGGCACTCCACTCAGATCCCTTTTATCAGCTGGTGCACCCCTTCCATTCTTTACCCTTTCCCCCACTCCCTGCAGCTATTTTGAGGCTGTGGCCAGCAGTTTAAACCTGTGACCTTGGTTTATGAGAGGTGTTTTAGGTTGTCAAAAGCCTCCTAGCCTAGGGATGCCGGGGAAGTTACACTGTCTCAATATATAGACTAATAACTAATAGATATGGAGTTTCTTAACAGGCTAACCTCCTTGCTTCAAGGCAGAAACAACTCTGTAGTGTAATTTGTGTTCCAGAGGCAAGCTTCCCTCTCCACACACAAAACCAGACCAAGACTAGATTTTACCTGACATCAGGTCGTTACTTGGCTCCTTCTCCTTCTCTATCTTGCTCCCTTACAGGTTTCTCTAAGAGCATTCCCTGCCTTTCTTACATCTGAATCCTTGCCTCAGGCTCTGCTTCTAGGGAACTTCATCCAAGACACATTTCTGAACCAGTCATTGAAGGAGTGGCTAAGTGTTTCTTAGGGACAAACCAGGTAATATGCCCATCTACACCTCATAAACCTGAATTACTGAATGTTTCATGGAGGACTTTGGTTTGTTTAGTACTATAACCCCAATATTCAAAATAATTCATTTACTTGTATTACGAAAATAAATCAAGGAAAGAATGGACTGAGTGTGTGTGTGTTTGAATCCTTGAAATGGAAGAAATATAGTGCCAACAAGGGACCTGAGTGAGTGCAGCCCAGCCTGAATTTACGACGTGCAGCCAAAACGGCTGCTCTCAGCTTGCATGTATGTGGCCAAGAGGCAGAGCTGATAGGTCAGCACAGAAGCTGGCCCTCATCCTGTCATCCTGTCTCAATTTCTTTTTTCTTTTTTTCTTTTTCTTTTTTGAGATGGAGTCTCATTCTGTTACCCAGGCTGAAGTGTAGTGGCATGATCTTGGCTCACTGCAACCTCAACCTCCATCTAAGGCAGTGATTCTCCTGCCTTAGCCTCCCTAGTTAGTAGCTGGGATTACAGGTGCCCGCCACCATGCCAAGCAAATTTTTGTATTTTTAGTGGAGATGGGGTTTCACCATGTTGGCCAGGTTGGTCTCAAACTTCTGACCTCAAGTGATCTGCCTGCCTGTGCTTCCCAATGTGCTGGGATTACAGTCATGATAAACTTATTTTATTTTATTTATTTATTTTTGTGTGTGTGTGTGACAGAGTTTTACTCTGTTGCCCAGGCTGGAGAGCAGTGGCACGATCTTGGCTCACTGCAACCTCTGCCTCCCAGGTTCAAGCAATTCTCTTGTCTCAGCCTCCTGAATAACTGGGACTACAGACGCATGCCACCACACCTGGCTAATTTTTGTAGTTTTTTAGATACAAAAAAAGAGATGGGATTTCACTGTGTTGGCCAGACTGGTCTCGAATGCCTGACCTCAAGTGATCTGCCTGCCTCAGCCTCCCGAAGTGCTGGGAATTACAGGAGTGAGCCACTGCGCCCTGCCCGATTTTGTTTTGAATGGAACATGTGATCACTCTGATATTCAAAGGAGTAGTAGCAGAGAGCACAGGACTTGGTGCCCTCCAAAGCCTATGGGAGTCTTGAAGGATATTCCAAATGTGGAAAAAAAATATTTTTTTCCCAAGAAAATTTGTGCGTGTGAAAGAGTGTGTGTGTGTGTGTGTGTGTGTGTGTGTGTGTGTGTATGACTGTTACCAGAAGAAAGGGGATTGAATGTAGGAATGTGGAATGATAACTATGCACTACAACGATAAACAAGCGGAACTGAACTTAAAAACCAAAGCTTTCACTCTGCCAAAGACCAAATTTTTGTTAATGACCATACATGCCAAGCATTTGTGATTCTAAGCACTGCTTTCACTTTAGGATTAAAAAAATATCCTAGGAAGTGTGTTTGTTGCTTATTTGTTATCTGGTGAGTAATGGAATTACTTCAAGTAGATAATGAAAATCCGCTTTTTATTTAATATAAGAATTGCAGAGAGCAGAAACTAAAATCCTGTAAACAATTTCTTGCTGAGTCATTCACCCTTGCTCAAGACAAGCTTTCACTTTGCACTGAATTTTAATGTGATGTTTCTTCATCTTCCCCCACCTTCTGTACCATAGTCAGCTAGTCAGTAATTTCTCTTTGACCAGAGTGATACTGTCCTCCCAGAATGGTCAGGCAGACAGCTGAGACATTTCTAGGGATCTCCATACTTTTTCACTTCCAAGGATCCATTCATGATCTTTCTCCCAAGGATCCATGGGTGTAAGACCTCATTGCAACACAAACTATGCGTCTGGAAAATAATTAATTTGTGTCCTCAAAATTTATTAATTGTAGTAACCATGCTGGTATAATTCTAGCACAAACTAAAGCAGTTTTTTAGTTACTTTTAAAAGCACTCTCATGAGTTAAAGCGGGATTTCTATCAAGCTTTCTGAAATAATGAAAATGTTGGAAGTCATTAAATAACTTTATTCCAGGGAGATATATGTTTGCAAAGATAATTCTGGTTTGGGTAGGAGAAAAGCCAAGTCAGGGAGATCTGCCAGAAGACTGTTTTGGTAGTCCAAAGAGAGAGAGATTTGTTAATAAAGAGAAGCATGAGAAATGCCCTTTGGAGTAAAATTGACTACCTCAGAGTGTCTAGCTTCACTGTGCTAAATAAGGCAGGACCTGCTGTGCAGAGACCAAAACTAACAAGTCTCTCAGAACCACTGTACTCAGCATCTCCCCTGAACAGTCTGTGTAGCTGTCACCAGGTGGCACGTGGTAGGAATCTGGGTCATGCTGTGTAACCTTCCTGGTTAGGCCACGAAGAAGTGAGAGAAGTGCAGTCCATATGATTTGGTCCATAAATACAAAACTTCTCCTTGATATGAATTAACCAACTACTAACAGGGCCAAATGATAACATTCATGAGCTTTGGGCAGTTTTGAATCTGTGGGCCCTTCCCTCCATAATAAATATTAAAAATTATATTTTATAACTGCATTGGTATAAAGATGAATATAATCCATGCTGGTTTCTTTTTTTTTATTGTGGTAAAATATACATAACATTTCCCATTTTAACCATTTTTAACCATACAGTTCAGTGGCTTTAAGTACACTGGATTCTTTTTATATGTTTATTATTATTTATTTATTTTTATTTATTCTGATTTTAAAAGAAATTAAAATTAAAACATTCTGCAGGCCCTTAAAAGTATCTCGGTCCCTAGATACTGTGCTAGCTGTACCTAATGGATGAGTTGGCCATGACTATTAGATGGCAAAAAAAGGGCAAGAAAGAGCAAATTTGAAATGTACTCAAACTCATTTTACAGTTCACACACACAAAATGACATTCCAACTTGCTTTTCCTTTCTGCAGGGAGACATTAATCCTAGGAAGCAGTGTGTTTACTGGATGGAACACAGGACTATGGCACACTGAGATCAAGCATTATTTTTGTCCCATACTAGGTATGTATCATACTCAGCACAATGTGGAGCTCAGACAGGCCCATGCGAGGAGCCCAAGGGGGTCAGTGCCAGCAGACTCAGAAACAGCACCAGCTCCAGGCTAAGAGGTTGGGGCAGAGACTCCAGATGAAGGCCAGGACAGCTCCCAGGGGTCCAATAGGAATAATCCAAAGTTCAGTAGGGGACATATGTACCAATCATAGCCACAAACTAGAGAATGGAAACAAATAAACAAAGGAGGGAACTGAGGCAAGAAGACCAAATGCCAGTCAGGCCCGCTTGAGCCTCTTTTATTTTAAATGTTTTGAGGAGACAGAGTCTTGCTATATTGCCTAGGCTGGTCTTGAACTCCTGGCCTCAAGTGATCCTCCCACCTCGGTCTCCCAAAGTGTTGGGATTACAGGCATGAGCCACCATGCCTGGCCTGAGTATCCTTATTCTTTTTTTTTCTTTGAGATGAAGTCTCACTTTTGTTGCCCAGGCTAGAGTGCGATGGCGTGATCTCTGCTCACTGCAATCTCAGCCTCCTGGGTTCAAGCGATTCTCCTGCCTCAGCCTTCTGAGTAGCTGGGATTACAGGCACCTGCCACCATGCCCAGTTAATTTTTGTATTTTTAGTAGAGACGGAGTTTCACCATGTTGGCCAGGTTGGTCTCAAACTCCTGACCTCGGCCATCTGCCTGCCTCGGCCTCCCAGAGGGCTGGGATTACAGGCATGAGCCACCGTAAGCTGAGTCTCCTTGTTCTTACTGCAAGTGCTACTGTTGCCTGGAACTGTGTGCCCTTGGGCATTTCTTCTCTCCAAGCCTCCGATTGCCTATCTATGCAATTAGAAATTGGACTAATGACCCCTCAGATCCTATAAACCTTTTTGCCTGTTTCCAGCTTCTTAGTAGCCTCACCCTTTTTCCTGTTCTAGTACTAGATGATTGAAATTCAGAGATTAATGCTCAAGTTTTAGAGTAGAGGTTGCAAATTTATAGCTGCAAGGCCAAATCCAACCACAGGAGAACTTTGTTTGGCTTGCTCAACATCTTAAAATTTTGTCACGCCTGTGATCCCAGCACTTTGGGAGGCCAAGGCGGGCACATCACAAGGTCAGGAGATCGAGACCATCCTGGCTAACACGGTGACACCCCATCTCTAATAAAAATACAAAAAAAAAAAAAATTAGCTGGGTGTGGTGGCATGCGTCTGTAGTCCCAGCTACTCGGGAGCTGAGGCAGGAGAATCGCTTGAACCTGGGAGGCGGAGGTTGCAGTGAGCCGAGATTGCACCACTGCACTCCAGCCTGGGCGACAGAGTGAGATTCTGTCACAAAACAGAACAAAACAAAACAAAACAAAACAAAACAAAACAAACTTTGAATTAATTCCCAACATCCAAAAAATCAGGAGATGACTCATAAAAATCTGAATTTCTGCCTTCTCTTGAAAAGTTGTCAGCTCTCCATTCCTTGGCTTTGTGTTCCCACGTGACCTTTGCTGGAACTGAGTAGAATCTATCCCTTCTAGATGAGGCACAAATTCCCCAGGGTGCCACAATCTCCCCCAGCCTACTTCACTGTTGTCTTGTCCCTGTAGGCAGTTGGATGTGCTCCCTCTGCAGTCAAAGGTCAAAGTTTTTCTTACCTTACTCACCTCTCCAGGGCCCAGGTACTGTCCATTACTGAGGCTGCTTGAAGCTGAACTTCAGGCCTCCCAAGCCATCCCCTTGTGGCTAGGTCTGAACAAAGCCTTTGAGCACTAAGTCTTCCACAGCACATCTCCCGATGGTGACCATGATCCAATGAGTAGTTTTCCCTGTTACTCATCTGCCTCCTGATAGATGTACTACATCTGGAGATGTGGAATTCCTCTGCCAAGATGTGCTTCTGCCCTTTTGGGACATTGACTAGATAGTCCAGAGGTGCCTGCCTCCAAGGATCCAGTCATTTACAGGCTGAAAGGCTGAAGAGGGGAAGCATCAGCTGGAAGTTCTTGCCAAGAAGGAGGAACCAAGAGAGCATGGGAACTGGAAACCATGGAGATAGCACAGACTGTGTGCCCACCTGCCACTGCCACAGGACACCCCCTATAAAATCCACCTTCTATGTCTCTTCATAAATGGGCTCTGTGGCTGGGAGCAGTGGCTCATGCCTATAATCTCAGCACTTTGGGAGGCCAAGGCGGGTGGATCATGAGGTCAGATCCTGGCCAAGATGAAAAAGAAAAAAGAAAAAAAGAAAAAGAAAAAGAAAGAAAAGAAAGAAAAAGAAGAAGATAGCAAAAAGAAAAAGAAAAAAGAAATGGGCTCTGTGTTTCCTCTATAAAACATCTCAAATACAACAGGTATCGAATAGAATGAGCTTTTAAAACAGTTCTACATGGTTTTGCTCACAGTAGGTTGAAACAATTCCACCAAAATGATATATAAATGGAATGAAGAATTAAAGAGTAGTGCCATTTTCTGGTTATTTTCCTGAGTCAGTTCTAATATCACCCACTCTGCAATATCTTTTCCCCTTCCCCTCCCCTATCACTAAATACTGTCATTTGTACCAACGAAATATCCCTGGGACCTCTGCACTTCATTCCCAGGGCCTCTGCTTTGATTAAAGCAGGTTGGCCCGCTCACAGCTCCCCAGTGTCTCTGACCATCTCCTCGCAGCTGTCAGGGGGAAGGTTCTAAACACAAATCAGTGCATCTCACTTTCCAGCTTAAAATCTCTCAGGGGTTCTCACTATCTCCAAAGTAAAAGCTACATTTCCTCACTTGATCCCAGAGTCCTGCTGACACCTGGCCCTGCTCCCTCTCCAGCCTCATCTTGTGCTTATACTCCCATCACATATAATTGCCCATAGAGCCTCAAAAGGTCCCCTATGTTTTCTGCCTCTCAGCTTTGGCTCTTGCTATTTCTCTGTACCTGGAATCCACTTTTCCCCCTTGTGAAACTCCCCTCAGCAAACTACTACTCATCCTTCAAGACCCTATCCAAGTGATTCCAGATCAATGAAGCCTCCTCTGTCTACCCTGCAAGGGAATAGCATGGGGCAAAATGACTACATGCCAGTTCCTTGTAGGCTGAGCACCAAAGAGAGATGGGGCTCTGACCATGGGTAGGGATCAAAGGAATAGATCGGAAGTTGCAAACTCAGAACTTACCCAGTCCTTATTCTGTCTCCAGAAGTGTTTTCTTTGTCAGGCATGGGTTTTAATTTTTTAATTTTGAGCAGCTGTTCTTCAGGTCTCAATTTATGTTACATTGTTGGTCCCGGAAGGCCTCTGGGTAAGTGGGTGAAAGGGTTGTGGGAGGGGAACTGTTAAGAAGGGCTATATAGGGCCATGCCGGTGGCTCACGCCTGTAATCCCAGCACTTTGGGAGGCCGAGGTGGGCGGATTATGAGGTCAGGCGTTTGAGACCGGCAGATTACGAGATCAGGAGTTCGGGACCAGCCTGACTAACATGGTGAAACTCCGTCTCTACTGAAAATACAAAAAATTAGCCAAGCATGGTTGCATGCGCCTATAATCCCAGCTACTTGGGAGGCTGAGGCAGGAGAATTGCTTGAACCCGGGAGGCGGAGGCTGCAGTGAGCTGAGATCATGCCACTGCACTCCAGCCTAGGTGACAGAGTGAGACTCCATCTCAAAAAAAAAAAAAAAAAAGGGCTATGTAAGTATTTGCTGTTTTTGGTTTTTGGACAGTACCATCCCTCCAATATACAAGGAAGAGTGTGGTGCTCTACTACTTGGTATACGTATGGCCCCAACCATAGGACTTCTTTTTTTTTTTTGAAATGGAGTCTCGCTCTGTTGCCCAGGCGCGATCTTGGCTCACTGCAAGCGCCACCTCCCAGGTTCACACCATTCTCCTGCCTCAGCCTCCCAAGTAGCTGGAACTACAGGGGCCCACCACCACGGCTAATGTTTTTGTATTTTTAGTAGAGACGGGGTTTCACCGTGTTAGCCAGGATGGTCTCGATCTCCTGACCTCATGATCTGCCCGCCTCAGCCTCCCAAAGGACTTCTTACAAGTTCAGTTAGAGGCACCCATGAGAGTAACCATGCTCAAAGCTAATGGTACAAACAGAGCCTCCTCAACAAGATCTGCCCCTTGCTGCCTGGGTATGTAGCTGGAAGGGCTAGGGCTGAGTGCTCACAAACTGGCCATCAGTGGCACAAGCCTGGCCACCATCAAGCCCTGTTCTACCTCTCTGTCATCTGTGTATCACAGGCTGAAATTGGTGTGCCATGTTTACTTAATTGAGAAAGAGAGAAGGCAATTTGATTTTTATCCTGCTGGTAGAGTCCTGCATCTTTTTCTGTATCCAAATAAGTCAGAACCAAGGCAGAAGCTTGCACAAAGCTTCCCAGGGAGCTCAAATACTCTCATGCTGCTTCCCCCTCCCCTCATTGCTTGGCCCCTTCTGTTCTTTGTATGTGCTTCTGTCATAGCACGTGGCACACTAGTATACCAAATGTTTTCCAGTCCAAAACGCTATAGATTGTAAGACATCTTTTAATCTATTAATTTAATAATAGATATCTGTGTCGGGGGAATCCATAACATTAAATGAACTCATCTATTCATGCATCTGACTTTGGAAGCTTTAAAATGTTTTTTAAAAGCGTCTTTAAATTGAGGAACTAAGTCAATGATTTTTTACACTGTTTCTCTTCAACAGACTGTGAACTTGGTGAAGTCAGGGACAGTATATTTTTGTCCCTCTCCTCCCCAACTCCCCACCCCCAGGCCATGCCTGTTGGTGTCCTGAATGAATGTTTCATTTGGAAATTTTTCTAGAAGCTCTCTTGGTTACTATGGTAACCCAAAATTGGCTTCAAAGCCCTGTGTACCAAGGGAAGCCCTGCTGAGGATGGCTGCCTGCTGACCTGGACTCTGAACCAGGCTGCATATGCTGACCTCCCTTCCTGGGCAAACAGAAAAATGATGGAAATGAAACACTTTTGATAAAAACTGCAGAGATGACAGCTTTGCTAATATAAAAAAATTTATTTTACATAATTCTGTTGACAATTTTCAAACTTTTTTACCAATGCAAAAAAAAAAAAAATCTGACCTCTCAAAGTCTTTTCTCGGTGAGCCCCTAGACAATTTGAACAAAGGACCCTTAGTGGAGAGTTAGAAAATCTATTCTCATGGTTCAGTAATTTGCTGAACTTCTGTTGAATCCATTTATTCTCTGAAAATATAAAGATTCCAGCTAAGAAATAATGCATATAAATACAATAATAGTGTCATTTCCCAGGTGCCTATTCATGCTCCAGGTACTTCACATAGACTTACTTGACAAACACTGATATATCATTTACTGTGTACTAAGCCCCTTTCTATGTTCTTTACACACATTAATTCATTTGATTCTTATAACAAGCCTATGAAGCAGCTTATATTGTTATTCACATTCAATTGAGGCATAGAATTGAGGCATAGAGGTTAAGTAACTTGCTCAAGTTCACATAGCTAGTAAGCTCTAGAGACCAAATTCAAACCCAGGGTGCTTGGCTCCAGAATCTGTGTTCCTCACCAAGTTGCTACACTGCCTTTTTTAATCTTTTCAATAATCCAGTAAAATAGTGACATCTATTTTATTGAATTGTACCAATTGAACAGATTGGATACTCAAGTTTAGTCAGGTAACATGTCTCCATAGCTTCTCTGCTTCTGACCACATTCTGCCCTGGGAAAATTCTGGAAACACTCCTAAGGGTTATTAGAATCAACTTTCCAGCTGGGCGTGATGGCTCACGCCTGTAATCCCAGCACTTTGGGAGGCTGAGGCGGGCAGATCACAAGGTCAAGAGATCGAGATCATCCTGGCCAACATGGTAAAACCCTGTCTCTACTAAAAATACAAAAATTAGCTGGGTGTTGTGGCGCCTGCCTGTAGTCCCAGCTACTCAGGAGGCTGAGGCAGGAGAATTGCTAGAACCCGGAAGGTGGAGGTTGCAGTGAGCTGAAATGATGCCACTGGACTCCAGCCTGGCAACAGAGCGAGACTCTGTCTCAAAAAAAAAAAAAAAAAAAAAAAAAAAAATTCAACCTTCCATCTCCCACTTCCCCAAATACATATACATACATTCACAGGAAATGTACACTGTTTCTCTCAAAGTTATTTTTAGGAGTCTAGGAGCCCCACATGCACAGAGACAAATTATTTTTAAGTGATGCTGTAAGGCATGCACTGGCAGGAATTGAATATGCAAACATGAGTTCAATTAATTAGAAGAGAGTGTTTCTTTTAAGAACACAAAATAACTGCTGTTTGAAGTGTGAGCTCGTAATCAGGAATACTGTAACTTAAATGCCTAAAGCATTTGAACTATATTAGCCTAAGAAAGTGCTCTTGGGATATGGAAGAGTATTGTCTTCCACAGACCTGTCAGTTGGGAGAAGATATAATACCCTAAAGCTGGTTCCACTCCCCTAGGTGTAACTTTGAGTAGGTTGAACATACAATAGTAGGGTAACCAACCATCCTGATCGACCTGGGACTATCCAGGTTTTAGCACAGAAAGTCCCCCATACTAATGAAACCTCTTAGTCCTAGAAAAACTGGGATGGTTAGTCACCCTCAATTGAGAACCAGTTATGTTCCAGCAAGGTGGTTTATGCCTGTAATCCCAGCACTTTGGGAGGCTGAAATGGGTGGATCACCTGAAGTCAGGAGTTCGAGACCAGGCTGGCCAACCTGGTGAGACCCTGTCTCTACTAAAAATACAAAAAATCAGTCGGGTGTGGTGGTGCACGCCTGTAATCCCAGCTACTTGGGAGGCTGAGGCAGGAGAATTGCTTGAACCCGGGAGGCAGAGGCTGCAGTGAGCTGAGATCGTGCCACTGCACTCCAGCCTGGGCAACAGAGTGAGACTCGGTCTCAAAACAAACAAACAAACAAACAAAACAGTTATGAGTGACAATTTCTGGGAGAAATTCCCTTTTGCCTGGAGAAGAGGAAATGAGGGTAGTGAGAGGTAAAGTTCATGCCAGGCAGAGAGAGAGCAGCTTGAGCAAAGGCCGAGAGGTGTGAAATGTTAGGGGGCTTTTGGGAAGTTGCAAGACTCCCTCATGGCTCTAGTTTAGAGTTGAGGAGTGATGTAGAGTAGAAAGTGAGGGGAAAGGGAGGTGACTGGCCAGATGTTAAACTAATGGAATTTGAAATTCCTGGATAGAGCTTTATGAGCCTGGTTCAATATTAAGGAGCTGTCACCAGGACCAAGAGCTCTTTTCTGGTGATGATGGTCTTTTTGAGTCTTGGTTAAATTAAAAACAAAAGAAAACAAAATGAAAATGGGCTTGGGGCTGTGGGCAGTGGCTCATACTTATAATCTCAGCACTTTGGGAGGCCAAGGCAGGCAGATCGCTTGAGCTCAGGAGTTTGAGACCAGCCTGAGTAACATAGGAAACCCTCTCTCTACAAAAAATACAAAAATTAGCCAGGTCTGGTGGTGCATTCCTGTAGTCCCAGCTACTCGGGAGGCTGAGGCAGGAGAATCACTTTAACCTGGGAGGTGGAGGTTGCAGTGAGCTGAAATCACACTGCTGCACTCCAGCATGGATGACAGAGTGAGACCCTGTCTCAAAAAAAGAAAACAAAAAAAGTAAAACAATAATAAAAGGGCTTGGCTTATAGAATCTTAAATCAGTGGTCATCAAACATTTTGACTCACATATTCTCTAAAATAATTTGAAAACTACGTATCTCCTTGCATTTTTTAAGTTGACATTTAACATTTTTATCATAAGTTTAATCATTGCAAACTATATAGTTTCTGGCACTTTAAAAATACAGACATTTGGCCGGGCGCGGTGGCTCACGCCTGTAATCCCAGCACTTTGGGAGGCCGAGGCGGGCGGATCACAAGGTCAGGAGATCAAGACCATCCTGGCTAACACGGTGAAACCCCGTCTCTACTAAAAATACAAAACATTAGCCGGGCGAGGTGGCGGGCGCCTGTAGTCCCAGCTACTCGGGAGTCTGAGGCAGGAGAATGGCATGAACCCCAGGGCGGGGAGCCTGCAGTGAGCCGAGATCGCGCCACTGCACTCCAGCCTGGGCGACAGCGAGACTCCGTCTCAAAAAAAAAAAAAAAATAGACATTTTAAAATTAAGTCATTATATAACTTTTAAATAAATCCAGTGGAATCTAAATAACAAAGCAATTCAATATTTGATATCCTCCCCATCAACATTATTATCATTATTATTATTTTTTGGAGATAGAGTCTTGCTCTGTGGCCCAGGCTGGAGTGCAATGGTGTGCAACGGTGTGATCTCGGGTCACTGCAACCTCCGCCTCCTGGGTTCAAGTGATTCTCCTGCCTCAGCCTCCTGAGTAGCTGAGATTACAGGTGCCCACCACCATGTCGGCTTTTTTTTGTATTTTTAGTAGAGATGGGGTTTCACCATGTTGGCCAGGCTGGTCTTGAACTCCTGACCTCAGGTGATCAGTCCACCTGGGCCTCCCAAAGCACTGGGATTACAGGCGTGAGCCATCACACCTAGCCCCAAACCAACATCCATTTAAAAAATACATGAACAGTCCATCTCAGTGGCTCACGCCTATAATCCTAGCACTTTGGGAGGCTGAGGCAGGCAGATCATGAGGTCAAGAGATTGAGACCATCCTGGCCAACATGGTGAAACCTCGTCTCTAATAAAAGTACAAAAATTATCTGGGTGTGGTGGTGCGCACCTGTAGTCCCAGCTATTCAGGAGGCTGAGGCAGGAAAATCTCTTGAACCTGGGAGGCGGAGGTTGCAGTGAGCCGAGATGGCACCACTGCACTCCAGCCTGGCAACAGAGTGAGACTCTGTCTCAAAAACAAAACAAAACAAAACAAAACACGAACAACCTCTTTTTCAGCAGAAAATTTTACATTGGCCTTTTTTCTCCTTGAACTTATATTTCCATTCCACTTTCTCCACAGATTTTTTTTTTTTTTGAGACAGAATTTCACACCCGTTGCCCAGGCGGAAGTGCAATGGCACAATCTTGGCTCACTGCAACCTCCGCCTCCCGGGTTCAAGCGATTCTCCTGCCTCAGCCTCCCAAGTGGCTGGGATTACAGGCACACACCACCACGCCCGGCTAATTTTTGTATTTTTAGTAGAGATGGGGTTTCACCACATTGGCCAGGCTGGTCTTGAACTCCTGACCTCGTGATCTGCCCGCCTCAGCCTCCCCAAGTGCTAGGTTTACAGGCATGAGCCACTGCACCCAGCCCACAGAATTTTTTTATACTTGAAAGTCTTTTATTGATCACACCATCATACTTCTTGGCAACAAAAATTATGTATGTAAATTAAAATGGAATTAATTAGAAAGAAGTTTATTAATGAGATGGAAGGCTATTTTTATTCTATTTTATTTTATTTATTTATTATTTTTGAGACGGAGTCTCACTCTGTCACCCAGGCTGGAGTGCAGTGGCGCGATCTCGGCTCACTGAAAGCTCCACCTCCTGGGTTCATGCCATTCTCCTGCCTCAGCCTCCCGAGTAGCTGGGACTACAGGTGCCCGCCACCACACCTGGCTAATTTTTTGCAGTTTTTGTAGAGATGAGGTTTCACCGTGTTAGCCAGGATGGTCTCGATCTCCTGACCTCATGATCCGCCCACCTCAGCCTCCCAAAGTGCTGGGATTACAGGCGTGAGCCACTGCGTCCGGCCGATGGAAGGCTATTTTTAAAAATTGTTTCATGAATGCATGAGTGAAATTTTTTTATTGCTGAAATGAGATAGCATTTAGAATCATTCACATTTCTTTTTTGTTTATGTGTGTATACATATACACATAACATATATATGGCTCTGACAAATCTTTATATAAATAAGATGATGGGAATAGAAGAATGGAAGACATTTTGTTATAACCAAATGTCACTCAAGCTTCAAACTCCTCCTAAGTTATATGCCAAAAAAAGATATATTATAAAAAATTATTTTTGTTGAACGATCAGCTGACAACTTGATTAGATCCTCCTCTGATTTTGTTGACATTAAAGAATAGGAAACACCAGGCTTATAAACAATCTTGTTATCCAATGATTCACTTTCTCAGCACTAAGACCAAAATATCATACCTCCTCCAACACACACACACACGCACACGCACGCACACACACACACACCAAACACACCACAGACACACACCACCCACACATCCTTTCACTCTTTCTTGGTGCACTAGAGTGAGATTCAGGATGGGTGGGAAGTGTGTGCTCTCTTTAGTGCAGAGGGGGAAGGATAACTGTAAAAATGGTAGATAGGAAATGAGAACCTGAGAGATAAAAATCAGTACCAAACATTTAGCAAAAAAGAAACAAGAAAGTTGAGGATCTGAAATTTGATTTTCTTTTCTTCAATTCTTTCCTTTTTTTGAGATGGGGTCTTGTTCTGTCACCAGGGTGGAGTGCAGTGGCATGATCTCGGCTCACTGCAGCCTCCGCCTCCCAGGTTCAAGCGATTCTCCTGCCCCAGCCCCCCTAATAGCTGGGACTACAGGCGTACACCACCATGCTGGGCTGATTTTTGTATTTTTAGTAGAGATGGGGTTTCACCATGTTGGCCTAGAACTTCTGACCTCGAATGATCTGTCTGCCTCGGCCTCCCAAAGTCCTGGGATTACAGGCGTGAGCAGCTGCACCTGGCCTGAAATTTGGTTTTCTTAGAACCATCTTGCACTTGAATCCTTTGGAAAGTCTTCACATGCTTCTAAGGCTACACACATTCCTCAGGTGGAGGACCATTGTCTTAGGACATATTATTGCTGTCCTGTGTGGGAGCAAGAATGGGAACGTCTACCTCTCAGGTCCGGAATAAACTTTCTAAACAAGAATTTTCTAAGAAAAGGAAATCCCTTCTTGTATCTTGCCATGTTGGCCTTGCCTTAACCTTGAAATGCTTGTCTTGGGGGTATTCCTTCTGCACCTTGAGTTTTTCTCTCTGTATATGATCCTTATTGAGCTCCATTTCTTAGCCTTGGGTCCTTCCTTGGTGGCTGTCCTCTTAGATGAAAAATACTAAGGGATTTCTTTTCTATCTCTATCCTGATTCACAGGGATTGACCCCAGGAAAAGATTCCAAGATAGTCATTATCTTTGGTGGAGGAGGGACAGATTCTTGTTTTGGACCTACAGAAAAGGATATGAGAGATCCCTAAGTCTGATCAAGTAAGTCTTCAAGCTGGGTGCACAACACAAATTTCCCCAATTCTGACTATCCGCACACCTCTAAATGCTCCCTTCACACCAACTCTCCCAGAGACCTGGAAATGTTTTAAATAGCAGAGAATCTATTTGGCAGAAGGGTGGAAAAATGTATTGAAAGAGTCAAGGCTAAAAGCAGTGAGACTATTTAGGAGAACTTTGTGACCACTTAAAAGACCTTTATGGCCTGTGCAAGAGATAATGATAGCCTAAACTCAGGCAGGAGCAGAGGGGATGGAAGGAATGTGTTAACTTGGGAGATGTTAAAGAAGTGGAAACGATTTACTCAACTTATGACTGATTGGATGAAGGTGATGACAGAGGGTATGGTTTAGGATGAGTTCCATTTTTCTGATATGGGCAACTAGATAAATTGTAGTACTGATATGGTTTGGATCTGTGTCCCCATCCAAACCTCATGTTGAATTGTAATCCCCAATGTTGAAGATGGGAGGTAATTGGATCATGGGGGCAGTTTCTTATGGTTTAACATCATCCCCCTTGGTGCTGTCATGGCAATAGTGAGTTGTCGTGAGATCTGGTTGTTTAAAAGTGTGTGACACCCCTCCCGTCCTGCTCCTACTCCAGCCACGTAAGAGAAGCCTGCATCCCCTTCGCCTTCTGCCATGATTGTTAAGTTTTCTGAGGCCTTCCCAGAAGCCAAGGAGGTGGCCAGCATCATGTCTCCTGTACAGCCTGCAGAACTGTGAGCCAATTAAACCTCTTTTCTTTATAAATTACCCAGCCTTAGGTATTCCTTTATAGCAGTGTGAGAATGGACTAATACAAGTCCCATTCACCCATTAGGCACAAAGTAAAAATGAATTTGAGGAGAAGATGGCAAGTTCAATTTTTGCATGATTAATTGGAGGGAGCTGCTGGATAGACAGGAATACTTATAAAGTAGGTGGTTCAATACATGGGTCTGGAGCCCAGGAAAGGGCTCTGAATTAAAGATACAAATTTAGGAATCAGTAGTGTATAGGTGTAAATTCAAGCCATGAGAGAGGATTAAATTACCCAGAGAGAGGGTATAGAAAGGGATGAGAAGAGTGCTAAGTGCAGAATGCTTAGAAAAACAAACACAAGTCTGGGTAAGGTAGAGACACCAGCCAAAGAGATGTTGAAAACAGAAGAGAGGGAGGAGAGCTTCCAGGAACACGTACATTGTCCTAGAGTCATATGTCTCAAAATATGAGTGGATCTTTCTTTTTCTCTCTCTCTCTTTTTTTTTTTTTTTTTGAGATGGAGTGTCATTCTGTCCCCCAGGCTGGAGTGCAGTGGCGTGATCTTGGCTCACTGCAACCTCTGCCTCCCTGGTTCGAGTGATTCTCCTGCCTCAGCCTCCCAAGTAGCTGTGGCATTACAGGGGCCTACCACCATGGCCAGCTAATTTTTGTATTTTTAGTAGAGACAGGGTTTCATCATGTTGGCCAGGTTGGTCTGGAACTCCTGACCTCAGGTGATCCACTCTCCTCGGCCTCCCAAAGTGTTGGGATTACAGGTGTGAACCACCATGCCCGGCCTCTTTTTTTTTTTTTTTTTTTTTTTTTGAGACGGAGCTTTGCTCTGTCGCCCAGGCTGGAGTACAATGGCGCGATCTCAGCTCACTGCAACCTCCGCCTCCTGGGTTCAAGTGGTTCTCCTGCCTCAGCCTCCTGCGTAGCTGGTATTACAGGTGCGTGCCACCATGCCTGGCTAAGTTTTGTATTTTTAGTAGAGACGGTGATTCACCATGTTGGTCAGGCTGATTTTGAACTCCTGACCTCGTGATCTGCCCACCTCAGCCTTCCAAAGTGCTGGGATTACAAGCGTGAGTCACCACGCCCAGCGGAGTGTATCTTTCCTAAATAAATGCAAAAAAAATTAAAACTTTTTTCAATCCTATTGCCCCATTAGTGACTCCCCCATTTCTTTCTTTTGTCTACATGCTAAACTTCTTGAAAGAGTTGTTTTCCATTTCTGTCTCCAATTCCTCATCTCCAACTCTTCTCTTAGAATCCAGCCATGTAGTTTCTGCCTTTTCCATTCTACTGACCTTGACCTCTCAAGGATCTTCAGAATATATTACCAATGGCTTTTTCTCATCCCAGGCTTTTGGAGATGATGCAAAGAAGCACCAGTAGGGGTGTAGGGAAATGAGAAAGAAAAGAGAAGGGAGATAATAAATGGTGTATTTTCAAGTCAGTTACCACTGTGGGCAACTGGAGCTTAATTCTGCTGGGGAACTCTCAGAGTCTGTGTACAGCATAGGCTCAGAGTTATTCTAAGGGGTAAGGAATCTGGCATATATACATACCAACTCTAGTCAGTCCTTGATTGAGGGTTGCTGCATTTGGGTGAGGATGAGGAAGCATTAATTCCCCTGTACTTCTGGCTTGACGGTGCTGAGGCAGAATAGAATCCAGTGACTAAAGGTCCTAAGACATTAGGAGTCAGGAGTCCTGCCCTGTGCGATAAGACCTGAGAAGTTATGGACAGGACACTAAATGGGTCTGCCACATCCCTTCTGGGTCTCCCCAACATATTTTACTCTGCCATACACTCTTTCTTGAAGTATTCTCTTTCTTTGATTCCTGTCCTGGTACCCTAACCTGGTTCCTATTCCCATCTTTGCCCTCTCTTCACCTTGAATAGTTACTTTTTTCTTTCTTCTACGTCTTAAACAGGAGCAAACTGGAAGGTGGAACTCCAGTTGTCAGTCCTCTGTTCTTTGTTTCTTTACAGACTCACTTGATTATTTTTCTAACTTCACTCCCTCAACTCTCGCTTTTATGCAGATTACTCCCAGTGTGTTGTGTATAATTAAGCTCAATGACTTAGCTGTTAAGATCAAGATTTATTTGAAGGTCTTCAGAAAAAAAAAAGACTTTGGCTATCTTTTATAACTCAACAGACTGAAAAATCTATAAATGTCTGCTGGGAGTCATTCAAGAATTACACTTCCAGCTGACAGTGTGAGAAGCAGGCTCAATATATGACTCAGCTTGCAATCAATAGAGCATTATGCTTCAAGGAAATAGGAAAGTCTCACACCAATTTAGAATTTGTCGCTAAATTTAGTCTGACTCTTTGTCCAGAAAGAAGTGCAGCTCCCTACTGTCAAAAGCTGAGCTCTTGGGATTTTTTTGCCTATTTCCTGGGCAGAGCTATAATTAACAATGTTTGCTCTCAAGAAAAGCAGCATGACGTGTGTCCTTAAATCAAGCCTGTGTAAGTGAGTGAGTGTGTGTGTGTGTCTGTGTGTGTGTGAGAGAGAGAGACAGAAAGAGAGAGAGAGAGAGAGACAAGGAGGAGATGATCACGTGGTGATTAGGGAACGGTAGAGTGAAGGAATTGGAGCCTAAGGGAAGAATAAAAGGCTTCATCCATCCCACTGGCTTCTAGGAACTAGCGTGGAAGTGAGAGAATTTTAGATTTTTAGACTGTGCTCAATCTTTTTTCATCATCATTTACAAATTTCTTTGGGCCTGTGTCTGATACCTAAGAGGGGAACACTGAAAATTTTACTGGAAGCTCTGGGCACGTGGGAGGGGCTTGGTAAGAAACCCAAGAATTCTGATTCCTGATTTTTTAATGTGGCCAATTTTAAACACTTTTGGGGTTTTGTTTGTTTTCTTTCTAGATCTTGGAGATCTGTTTGTCCCCAGGGTTCTGAAATTTCATGAAGCTATGCCCTGGTGTGGGCAGACTTTAGAGTGCTATGCTGGCACTCCATAGGCCCTTTCAATCTGGAGACTCTAGGATATTGTCCTGAATTGTTTTGAGGATGATTTCCTTCCCTCTGTTTTCTCTCTTCTCTTTTTCTAGACCCTGTATTTGGATGTTGGACTTCCTGACAGGTCTTCTAATTTTCTTACCTTTTCTGTCCTTTATTCCATCATTTTGTCCTTTTGTCCTATGTTATGGGAGACTCTCTTTCAACCCATTTACTGTGTATTTGTTTTTTTAATTTTTACTGTCTAACTTTAAATTTTCAAGGCTTTCTTCATGTTCTCTGGGTATTCCTTTTCATAAACACACCATTTTCCTCTTTCATTGATGTAATATTCATCTCTCTGAAGATTTTTGGTGATTTATTTTCTTTCTTTCTGTTTTTTTTTTTTTTTTTGAGATGGGGTCTTGAACTACTGGGCTCAAGTAATCTCCTCAGCCTCTGTAGTACCTAGGATTATAGGTGTGCACTACCACACCTGGCTAATTAAAAAACAAACAAACAAAAAAAAACTTTTTGTAGAGATGGAGTCTTGCTATGTTGCCTACGCTGGTCTCAAACTTTTTACCCCATTCAACACTCCTGCCTTGGCCTTCCAAAGTGGTGAGATCACAGACATGAGCCACTGTGCCTGGACTAATTCATGCTTTCTATTTGTCATCTTAGTTTAGGTTTCATCCTGAGACAAAACCTTGGATGACCCACCCTAGTTAGGACCCTCTTCTAGGAAACACAGGTGGTGAGGGAAAGGTCTGGGTCCCTGGAGGTACCTCTGAAGAAGGGAATTCTGTGAACCTAGAAAATTTAATCTTTCCCCTAGACCAAAGAGAGTGGGGATTCCTGCAGTTCTGTCCACGTTGTCTCCTGGGGCTGTGTATCTGCTGAGGTTCGCTGGAGATTCTGTAGGGGAGGGTCAGGATTGACAAAGATTATTTGCTGGCCAAACTTTAGCCAAGCTCCTAACACTTCTCTTAGGCCCATTTGTACACTCCTTTGAAAAATCCAGTTTTAGCAAAGAACCCTGCTAAGTTGGTTTAGCAAGACCCGCCCACACTTGATGTGTGATCACCCTCAAGATCTGACCAGGTTCCACATCCTCCACCATCCCCTAGGTGACGTCTGATCACCCTGGCCTATCTTCAGCAAGAATCCTGTTAGGTTGGTTTAGCCAGAATATCCCTGTTTCCCCTGATGTTTACTCTTTTTATTTATTTATTTATTTTGATTTTCTTTTTTTTTTAGACAGAGTCTCGCTCTGCTGCCCAGGCTGGAGCGCAGTGGCGTGATCTCAGCTCACTGCAACCTCCACCTCCTGGATTCAGGTGATTCTCCTGCCTAAGTCTCCTGAGCATCTGGGATTACAGCACACCACCACACCCGGCTAATTTTTGTATTTTTAGTAGAGACAGGGTTTCTCCATGTTGGTCAGGCTGGTCTCAAACTCCCAACCTCAGATGATCCATCTGCCTTGGCCTCCCAAAGTGCTGGGATTACAGGCGTGAGCCACAGAGCCCGGCCTCATTCATGAACTTTTAAAAACAAAATCAATTTATTAGAGTATCTTAGAAGGTTGGAGATGAAAAAAGCTTAGAAAACATCAAGTTTAACTCTGCCATTTTAGAGCTGAGGAACTTGTAGGTCCAGAGGGGTTAATGGGTTTGCTCAAGGTCACACAGCTACTGAGCAGCAGAGCTAATAGAACTCAAGCCTTCTATCCCCCCTTAGGAGCCTGTGCCTAACACCACCTGCTGTGTGGGCAGGCTGCCAGTCTGCATGTCCACATCTCCTTAAAGATCATTAATGTGGTTCATAAACCACCTTACAGCTGAAGCAGATTTCACTCTAATTTTATCACATTTGTTATTATTACATATAACATTAAATACCCACAGTGAGCAGTCACATCTTGAGTTTTAAAATGAAAGAGTCTTTCCAGATTAATGGAGAGAGAAGTTACTCTGCATTTAGGAAATTTGGTGGCAGGCTGATTGTTCTTTGCCATTAGGCCCCCAATACTTCCACTGGGGCCTAGCTCTGGTGATTCCTCACAGCAGATTCCCTCCCCACTGCCTTGCCTTTTGTTTGTATTTTCATAGTTAAATCTGAGCAGAGGACTCTTAGGTAGTGGATTTTAGTGTATCAAGTACAACTACTGGATATTATTTAAACATTTTTTTTCTAGAGCACAGATCAGGAGTCAGAAAGGATCTTGATGGGGAAGTACCAACCACAGGAAAGAGTTGCTAAGATTAAGTTATTTCTGTTTTGCATTAATTTTTTATTTTTTAAGTTTTTTTATTTTAATTTTTTTAGTATTCTGTTCAATAAATGCTTGTTGAGCAGTAAGTCAAATCAGATTTGGTAGATATCAGAGATGATGAATGTTTGGTGTTTTGGGCCACTCAACACAAATTTCCCCTTTTCTGGGAACTGGTATCTAATATTTATTCCCAGGGTCCGAGTACCTCGGGGAAATCTGGTGCTACCCCTCTACTGCTTTAGAAATGGGATGTTGATATGGGATATGATGTTATTTTAAGCTAGTAAACACCACCCTTATAACCACAGTGATTGGAAGAGAAAGTCCAACCAGACTCAGCTCTGGACTTTGGTTCATCACTGGGAGTGGAGAAGTGCTCGTCTTCCTTTCATGTGAACAAAGAAGCCTGTGGGTCCAGAAACCTTTGATAGTCATCTTGGAACGACAGGGAGAGAAGCCTGCCAAGAATGAAACCAACAATGAAGAAGTAGAATTGAGAAACAGAGAGAAACTTGGTCTTGATCTCGTCATTTTAGGAGCTAAATGAAGACTGGCCTGCAGCTCTGGACTGTTCAATTACATGAACACTTATATTCCCTTATTGCTTGAAACAGCCTGTTTTACTTAATTTAAAAGAATATATCAAGGTCAGGCTCATGCCTGTAATCCCTTTGGGAGGCCGAGGTGGGCAGATCACTTGAAGCCAGGAGTTCAAGACCACCCTGGCCAACATGGTGAAACATACAAAATATAAAAAATACAAAAAATTACCCGGGTGTGGTGGCAGGTGCTGTAATCCCAGTTACTCAGGAGGCAGCATCAGGAGAATCACTTGAGCCTGGGAGATGGAGGTTGCAGTGACCCAAGATAATGCCACTGCACTCCGGCCTGTGTGACAGAACATGATTGTCTCAAAAAAAAAATGTACATGTTCTTCTCTTTTCCATTTCGGTGTATATGACCTTCTCTATAGTCAGCCGCAAGTATCTACCAACCACTGGGGATGGGAGTGGAGATTAGTACTCCTAAAAAAATGGAATTAATTTAGGAAAAAGAAGAGTCAAAGTTCAGCTTTTTACTTGGGTGCAGAAAGGGTAAAAAGGGGAGATAGTGGAGTAAGCAGCCTTGAATCATGATTTTAACCTTTAGGCAGAAATTCCATTAAGGCTATTAAATTGACTGTGAAGAAAGCTGAAAGTAGAGGGTCTTGGATTCCACTCCCTGTTTGGAAATAAGACAGGAGAAAGTCTCACAGGGTGGCTCTGCACCAATACAGGATGGCTAAAGCAGAGTGAAAGAGCAACATGGCACAGATAGAGTGAGACCTGAGTTGACAGTCCTGATCTTATTCAGGCTTTAGCATGGTATGGAAGGGATCCAGAGGTTGCTGCATGCACTGTTATGTACTTAGAAAGTAGCTGATGGTGCTAGCTAGTCTGGCAGAAGGTTATCATGGTGGCAACAAAGTGACCTTGTAGCCAAACCTGCAGGCAAATTACCTGGGTTGCGAATTCTCTGGGAGTCACAGCCAGACATCAGGGGGATCAACAGTGCCAGTGTCAACCAAGTAGGGACAGAGATAATCTGCCCTGTTGCGTTGGCTTGAGTTTCCCCATCAATGATTCCTCATGTGATTTAAAATGTTTTAATTGTACTCATATTTTTTTCTGAGAGTACTGTGTACTATGGGTGGTGACACACTTGACATTTGTATTTGCATTTTTTAGCCCCCAATTTTTTTTTTTAAAGACAAGGTCTTGGTCTGTGGTCCAGTCTGGAATGCACTGGCATGATCCTAGCTCATTGCATCCTTGAACTCCTGTGCTCAAGTGATCCTCCCACCTCAACCTCCTGAGTAGCTAGGACTACAGGTGTGTACCATCACACCTGACTGTTTTTAATTGCTTTATTTTTTGTAGTGATCAGGTCTTGCTATGTTGCCCAGGCCAGTCTTGAAATTCTGGTCTCAAGTGATCCTCCTGCCTCAGCCTCCCAAAGTGCTGGGATTACAGGTGTGAACCACCACACCTGGCCCAAGTTAACATTTTTTTATTGTGGCAAAATATGCATAACATAAAATTTACCATTTTCACCATTTAAAAATTTGTAAACTTCATTTTATTATTTAATGTGTAAGACTAATAAAAATACCATGAAAAGCAATTAGAATCATAAATATAGTATTGTGGTGTTTTTTGTTTTTTTTGAGATGGTGTCTCGCTCTGTTGCCCAGGCTGGAGTGCAATGGCATGGTCTCGACTCATTGCAACCTCTGCCTGCTGGTTCAAGTGATTCTCCTGCATCAGCCTCCCAAGTAGATGGGACTATAGGTGCGTGCCACCACATCTGGCTAGTTTTTGTATTTCTAGTAGAGACAGGGTTTTACTATGTTGGCGAGGGAGATTCAAACTCCTGACCTCGTGATCCACCTGCCTCGGCCTCCCAAAGTGCTGGGATTATAGGCGTGAGCCACAGCACCCGGCCTGTAATGGTTTTTTCTATGTAGACTTTGAAATTCTTTGATTATTGCATTATAAACCATTAATCTAAGTAATTAAGGAAACATCCAGAGAATTTTCTTTCACTAAATGTTTAAAGGAGTTTCTTTTCTTTTAATTTAGATCGTAGTTGAAGGAGATGGAGAAAGAGTAGGTCCTTTTTTTTTTTTTTTTTTTTTTTTGAGACAGTTTCGCTCTTGTCACCCAGGCTGGAGTGCAATGGCGTGATCTCAGCTCACTGCAACCTCTGCCTCCTGGGTTCAAGCAATTATCCTGCCTCAGCCTTCTGAGTAGCTGAGATTACAGGCGCCCACTACCATGGCTGGCTAATTTTTGTATTTTTAGTAGAGATGGGGTTTCATGATGTTGGCCAGGCCGGCCTCAAACTCCTGACCACAGGTGATTCTCCCGCCTTGGCCTCCCAAACTGCTAGGATTGCAGGCATGAGCCACCGCACCTAGTGAGCAGGTCCTTCTTAGATTACTGATTGAAATTGCAGTGTAGACCCTTTCATTTTCTTTTCATAATCTTCAAATTTCTCATACTGAGTGACAAAGAATTTATTCCTCCAGTCTTCAGAAATATCCTTTCTTATGAAGGGAGACAGAATGGTCCATCTGATCATTTTCCATAGTGGTATAATTTCCACTAGGATTCTGCTTTATCACATCAGAAGAGCTATACCAGAGGGTTTTTCCCACAGTTTCTTCTGGCACGTCTTTCTCTATTTAACAGCTTCTGAATTCCACACTTTGAATTCTCTTTCATGTCTTCATAAAAATAGGTAAAAGATACAAAAGTCTTTTCCTTTTCTCCCAGCAGTTTCTGGTATAGTCATACTAGAAACCAAAACACAGCTTTACAGCCATGAATTTATCCAGGAACTCCTCCTAGGTTCCAGGCTCTGGGTGCATTTTTGCCAACTGGTAGAAATAATAAGACACAGCCACATCTTTGGCATTCCATGCCATGAAGGTTATCCTGCAGTCATTCTTCTGAAATAAAGAAGGGAGAAGTTGAATGTGTAGGTATGTTTTCACCAATCAAGGAGATTGCATGTTTTTATTTTATTTATTTTATTTTTATTTTTATTTATTTTTTTTTTTTTGAGACGGAGTCTTGCTCTGTCGCCCAGGCTGGAGTGCAGTGGCGCAATCTCGGCTTACTGTTAGCTCTGCCTCCCAGGTTCATGCCATTCTCCTGCCTCAGCCTCCCAAGTAGGTGGGACTACAGGCGCCTGCCACCATGCCCAGCTAATTTTTTTGTATTTTTTTTAGTAGAGACGGGGTTTCACCATGTTAGCCAGGATGGTCTCGATCTCCTGACCTCGTGATCAGCCCGCCTCAGCCTCCCAAAGTGCTGGGATTACAGGCGTGAAACACCACGCCCAACCGGAGATTGCATGTTTTTCAACTGCTCAACACCACTTGTGAGTTTGGGAATTATAAATTCCATGAAAGGCACTTAGTTTGTATATTGCAACCCATTTAAATTTCTCTGCATCCCCATTGTTACGGATCAAATCCAGTGTTTCACAGATCCAGTTTTGGGACAGGTGGAGGTCAGAAGGTCATTTGGTTGTGCCTCAAGCAACCCCACCTGGGACCACTCCTTAGCAATGCTCCAGAGGAGGAGAATATGCTGAACATCCACTCATTCCCTCCTGAAGCTATCCTGCTTCTTGTCAATTTGAGGAGATTTTTCTGAAGTGCAATTTTTTATCTTCCTTTGTTTTCAACCTTTTTCAACTCCACCCCTGCCTTACCTCATTCAAATTGATTGATTGATTGATTGACTGAGACGGAGTCTCAGTCTGTCGTCCAGGCTGGAGTGCAATGGCGTGATCTTGGCTCACCACAACCTCTGCCTCCCAGGCTCAAGTGATTCTCCTACGCCCGGCCTCATTCAAATATTTTTTATTTAAAAAGATTACAGGGTGGGCTCAGTGGCTCATGCCTGTAATCTCAGGACTTTGGGAGGCCAAGGCAGGTGGATCACTTGAGGCCAGAAGTTCAAGACCAGCCTGGCCAATATGGTGAAACCCCATCTCCACTAAAAATACAAAAAATTAACTGGGCATGGTGGCACAGGCCTGTACTCCCAGCTACTCAAAGAACCTCTTGAACCTGGAGGTGGAGGCTGCAGTGAGCTGAGATCAAGCCACTGCACTCTAGCCTGGGTTACAGAGTGACTCTGTCTCAAAAAAAAAAAAAAAAAAAGAAAAGAAAAGAAAAGAAAAGGAAAGGAAAAAGATTATGGTTATGGTTATGGTTCAAACTATTTGGCAAAAGACAATCAATGACAAAATTATAGGCTGTGCACGGTGGCTCATGCCTGTAATCCCAGCATTTTTGGAGGTCGAGGCAGGCAGATCACCTGAGGTCAGGAGTTCGAGACCAGCCTGACCAACATGGTGAAACCCTGTCTCTACAAAAAATACAAAAATTAGCCAGGCGTAGTGGCAGGTGCTTGTAACCCCAGCTACTTGGGAGGCTGAGGCACAAGAATCACTTGAACCCAGGAGGTAGAGCCTGCAGTGAGCCAAGATTGCACCACTGCACTCCAGCCTGGGCAATAGAGTGAGACTCTTTCTCAAAAAAAAAAAAGTTATAATAAATTTAGCTTAAAGACTTCAACTGGCTTTATTTGTGATTCTAGAATCAAGGCAACACTTTATTCTTTAAAATAAACTAAGTGTTCCCCCATTTTAGTCATTTTTAAGTGAACAGTTCTATGGCATTAAACATATGCACATTGTTGTTCAACCATCACCACCACCCATCTGCAGAACTCTTCTGTCTTTCCCAACGGAAACTTTGTACCATTAAACACTAAGTCCCCATTCTCCACCCCAGCCTCAGTACCACCATTCTACTTTCTGTCTGTATGAATTTGACTACTCTAGGTACCTCATATAAGTGGAATAATAAAGTATTTGTATTTGTCCTTTTGGCCTATTTCACTTAGCATAATATTATTAAGGTTCATGCATGTAATAGCATGTGTCAGAATGTCCTTCCTTTTCAAGGCTGAATTATATTTCACTGTCTGTGTATACCATACTTTTTAAATTCATTCATCCATTGACAAACACTTGAGTTACTTCCACATTTTAGCTATTGTGATTAATGCTGCTATGAACATGGGTGTACAAATATCTGTTCAAGTCTCTCATTTCACTTCTTTTGTTTATGTATCATAAGTAAAATGACTGGATCAGGCTAGGCACAGTGGCTCATGCCTGAAATCCCAGCACTTTGGGAGGCCGAGGTGGGCAGATCATCTGAGGTCAGGCGTTCGATACCAGACTGGCCAACATGGTGAAACTGCGTCTCTACAAAAATTAGCTGGCATGGTGGCACAGACCTGTAGTCCTAACTACTCTGGAGGCTGAGGTGGGAAGATCACTTGAACCTGGGAGGTGGAGGTTGTAGTGAGCTAAGATCATGCCATTGCACTCCAGCCTGGATGACAGAGTGAGACACTGTCTCAAATTTAAAAAAAAGGAAAAAAGAAAAAAAGAAAAAGAAGTAAAAGTACTGGATCATATGGCAAATCTGTCTTTAATTTTTTGAGGAATCGTTATACCAGTTTCCCCAGTGGTTATGATGCAGGATTTTCTGCTCCTTAGTTCAGCTAAAATCCAGCGTATTGTCTCATGACCAGGAAAAATTAGGCATGCAGATGCATTGAAGGGTGAGGAGGGCAGATTTATTGGGTGAAAAGAAAACTCTCGGCAAAGAAAGAGGGGGTCTTGTGAACAGGCTTTCACCTCACAGATTAAATACCAGGCCACCACACATGAGCTGAAGAGGCCAGGCTCTTCCCCCTGCATAAGGTGTGAATTCCCGGTGGCTCCACCCCATTCTCTCAGTGCACAGGCATTGCAGGCATGCCCAGGGAAGACTCTGGGCAGGTTCCCTCATCTGCACAAAAGCATATGATGTTTGGGACGGTGAGAGATTATCTGGGAACCCTCCCTTATCTGCCTCCTGTATCTGTCAGCTATAGCATTTTACAATTCCCACCAGCAATGCAACAATGCCAATTTTTCCACATATCCTTGCCAACACTTGTTATTTTTTGGTGTTTTGATAGTACTTTTCCTCATGAATATGAAGGGGTATCTCATTGTGGTTTTTAATTTGCATTTCCCTAATAATTAGTGATGTTGAGCATCTTTTCATCTTTTCACGTGCTTCTAGGCCATTTGTATATCTTCTTCTTTTTTTTTTTTTTGAGACAGAGCCTCACTCTGTCACCCAGGCTGAAGTGCAGTGGTGCGATCTCGGCTCACTGCAACTTCTGCCTCCTAGGTTCAAGGGATTCTCCTGCTTCAGTCTCCTGAGTAGCTGGGACTACAGGCGCGTGCCACCACGCCCGGCTAATTTTTTGTATTTTTACTAGAGATGGGTTTCACTGTGTTAGTCAGGTTGGTCTTGATCTCCTGACCTCGTGATCCGCCCGCCTCGGCCTCCCAAAGTGCTGGGATTACAGGCATGAGCCACCTCGCCTGGCCAAATTTTTTTTTTTTTTTTTTTGAGACAGTGTCTTGCTCTGTCACCCAGGCTGGAGTGCAGTAGCATGATCTCGGCTCACTGTAACCTCCGCCTCCTGGGTTCAAGTGACTCTCCTGCCTCAGCCTCCCAAGTAGCTGGGATTACAGGCACCTGCCACCGTGGCTGGCTAATTTTTGTATTTTTAGTAGAGACGGTGTTTCACCACGTTGGCCAGGCTGATCTCAAACTCTTGACCTCAAGTGATCCACCCACCTCGGCCTCCCAAAGTGCTGGGATTACAGGCATGAGCCACCACACACAGCCCATTTGTATATCTTCTTTAGGGAAATGTCTATGCAAATCCTTTGCCTGCCCTTCCTCCCCGGCTTTTTTTTTTTTTTTTTTGAGACAGGGTCTCACTCTGTTGCCCAGGCTGGAGTGTACTGGCTCTATCTTGTCTCACTGCAACCTCCTACTCCTGGATTCAACTGATCCTCCCACCTCAGCCTCCCAAGTAGCTGGGAACTACAGGGACATCCAGCTAATTTTTGTATTTTGCGGGGGTAGAGATGAGGTCTCACTATATTGCCTAGGCTGGTCTCAAATTCCTGGGCTCAAACGATCTGCCTACCTCAGCCTCCCAAAGTGCTGGGATTATAGGCATGAGCCATCGTGCCTGGCCCTTTGCCTATTTTTAAAAGGGGTTGGATTTTGTTGTTGCTGCTGTTGAGTTGTAGGAGTTGAGTTATTTATGTATGCTGGATATCAATCTTTTATTAGATATATGATTTGCAAATATTTTCTTCCATTTCATGGGTTGCCTTCTAATCTGTTGGTAGTGTTTTTGATGCACAAAAGACATTTAATTTTGATAAAGTCCAACTGATCTATTTTTTATCTTATTGCCTGTGCTTTTTTTGTGTTACATCTAAGAAATCATTGCCAAATCCAATGTATTGAAGGTTTTCTTCTATGTTTTCATTTTTTTTTATTTTGAGATGGAGTTTCACTCTTGTTGCCCAGGCTAGAGTGCAATGGCGTGATCTCGGCTCACTGCAACCTCTGCCTCCCAGATTCCAGTGATTCTCCTGCCTCAGCCTCCCAAGTAGCTGGGATTACAGGCATGTGCCACCATGCCCAGCTAATTTTATATTTTTAGTAGAGATGGGGTTTCACCATGTTGGTCAGGCTGGTCTAGAACTCCTGACCTCAGGTGATCCGCCTGCTTAGGCCTCCCAAAGTGCTGGGATTATAGGTGTGAGCCACTGCGCCCAGCCTATCCTATGTTTTCTTCTGAGAGTTTTATAGTTTATACTCTTATATTCAGGTCTTTGATCCACTTTGAAACTCCACACAGTCAATAATCCACATACAACTTTTGACTCCCCCCAAACTTCACTATTAATAGCCTACTGTTGACTCAAAGTCTTACTGATAACAGAAAGAGTTGATTATCACACATTTTGTATGTTATATGTATTTGGTATGTATTCTTACAATAGAGTCAGCTAGAGAAAAGAAAATGTTAGTAAGAAAGGTCCACCTGCCTCGGCCTCCCCAAGTACTGGGATTACAGGCGTGAACCACCGCACCTGACCGCAGTTATGATTTAATACTGCATCTTCGTGTTTGTTTACATTTCTCTTGACTGCAAATGGTGCCATATACAGTCTGTGTTTGTGTAAGTTTTGATAAGTTTTTTTTTTTTTTTTTTGAGATGGAGTTTTGTTGTTTCACCCAGGCTGCAGTGCAGTGGTGCAATCTCGGCTTACTGCAACCTCCGCCTTTCAGTTTCAAGAGATTCTCCTGCCACAGCCTCCCAAGTAGCTGGGATTACAGCCACCATGCCTGGCTAATTTTTATATTTTTAGTAGAGACGGAGTTTCACCATGTTGGCCAGGCTGGTCTCGAATTCCTGACCTTGTGATCTGCCCACCTTGGTCTCCCAAAGTGCTGGATTACAGGTGTGAGCCACTGCGCCCGGCCCAGTTTTGATAAATTTTAACTTTTTTTTTTTTGAGACAGAGTCTCACTCTGTCACACAGGCTGGAGTGCAGTGGCGCAATCTGGGCTCACTGCACCCTCCACCTCCTGGGTTCAAGTGATTCTCCTGCCTCAGCCTCCTGAGTAGCTGGGATTACAGATGTGCACCATCAAGCCCGGCTAATTTTTGTATTTTTAGTAGAGATAGGGTTTCACCATGTTGGCCAAGCTGGTCTCGAGTGATCCACCCGCCTCAGCCTCCCAAAGTGCTGGGATTACAGGTGTGAGCCACTGCACCTGGCCTGATAAATTTTAATGTTTTATAATAGATTTGTGTATATTTTACGACAGTAAATGATAGAATGGACAAGTATCTACATATATTTTATGCATTCATGATGTACCTAACTTTTTCTTAATTTTTTTTCTATATTTCTAGGCTATATGGTTTGTAAATTTTTTCAAATGGTCACAAATCTCCAAAAACTTTTCTAATATATTTACTGAAAAAAAAAGGGCCACATATAAGTGGATCTGTCTACTTCAAACTGATGTTGTTCAAGAGTCAACTGTACTGAGCTTTGTATCTGATTGTGAGAGTGAAGTCGATGATGTTGATAAGAGGAAATAAGTATCTCCAGAATGGTAATGAGGAACTCTGGTAACTTATTCAGGGCTTTGAGGATTCTAGTTCTTTGCTGGGATCAGAAAAGGGGCCACTTAAATAAAAATTATGAGTATATGAAAACTCAGACTAAAATACATTCTAAGAATATTTTCTGGTATCTCTTTGTATAGGAACAGCAAGACATTTCACTTTATTTTTTGTTTTGTTTTTTATTTATTTGATTTTTTTTTTTGAGACAGAGACTTGCTGCAATGCCCAGGTTGGAATGCAATGGTGTGATCTCAGCTCACTGCAACCTCTGCTTCCTGGGTTCAAGTGACTCTCCTGCCTCAGCCTCCCGAATAGCTGGGATTACAGGCATGCACCACCATGCCCGGCTAATTTTTGTATTTTTACTACAGACGTGGTTTCACCATATTGGCTAGGCTGGTCTCGAACTCCTGACCTCAAGTGATCTGCCCACCTTGGTCTCCCAAAGTGCTGGGATTACAGACGTGAACCACTGTGCCGGCTGACATTTCACCTTATTTTTTAAGTTAAAGAAACAGTTCAGCTGCCTCGCTGTCATTTTCAAAAGAAACACTAGTTTGGTATCCACAAAAAATACTGGAAAGCAATATACATCTTAACCAAAGTTGTTTTGAGATGTACCTGTAGTGGATATTTTCTTTTTTCACCTGCCCATCACTATATGGTTTGTTCTGGTAAAAAGAATCTTGATTTTCTTTTGGAGGATGAACTCTCCCCTATTCTCTGTCTCTAGATTTTTTTTTTTTTTTTTTAGATGGAGTTTTGCTTTTGTTGCCCAGGCTGGAGTGCAATGGCATGATCTGGGCTCACTGCAACCTCCGCCTCCTGGGTTCAAGCGATTCTCATGCCTCTGCCTCCTGAGTAGCTGGGATTACAGGTATGTGGCACCACATCTGGCTAAATTTTTTTTTTTTTTGAGACGGAGTCTCGCTCTGTCATCCAGGCTGGAGTGCAGTGGTGTGATCTCGGCTCACTGCAAGCTCCACCTTCTGGGTTCACGCCGGTCTCCTGCCTCAGCCTCCTGAGTAGCTGGGACTACAGGCGCCCGCCACCATGCCTGGCTAATTTTTTTGGATTTTTTAGTAGAGATGGGGTTTCACCATGTTAGCCAGGATGGTCTCGATCTCTTGACCTCATGATCCGCCCGCCTTGGCCTCCCAAAGTGCTAGGATTACAGGCGTGAGGCACTGCACCCAGCCATAATTTTGTATTTTTAATAGAGACGGGTTTCTCCATGTTGGTCAGGCTGGTCTCGAACTCCTGACCTCAGGTGATCCGCCTGCCTTGGCCTCCCAAAGTGCTAGGATTACAGGCATGAGCTACTGCGCCTGGCCCTGTCTCTAGATTAAGGTATATGAGTTTGCTAATGAAACATAAGCTCAATATTTTATTGGAACTACTGGGAAATAAGTGCTCTGCTTCTTTTGGAATGGTTAGCTATAAAGATGATATAAGTTGAACACTGGGGAAAGGTGGGGAGGTGGCAAGAAATCACTATGTGAAAACAAACTCTTTGATGTCAACAAAGAGGAAAGGAGAGATCATGTCCTGATGTCAATGTTTGCATTCGTGAATCTAGTCATATCTGAAGTTACCTATCTATGGATTTTTCAGTTATTAAGCCAAATATACTCCTTTTCTTAAATCAGTCTGAGTTTAAGTTTTTGACACTTGTAAGGAAAAGCCCTATGTATCATAGCACAAAATAATTCCATTTATTAAACATCACAAAATGTCTAAAAATCCTCTTTCATATCTTTCTATACCTTGGTGTCACTCAGAATGTCAGCTGTGCTAAATCCCTAGTCTCACTCTCTCAAAACTCCCAGAAACCATCTCTCCTAGTCAGCTCATTCCAGGTCTTTTTTTCTTACTCCCTTACTCAAACTTTGCTGGTCGCCTTCCTTATCCCCACCCCATCCCACCTTCTCCAAAACAAAAAATCTGAGCCTTGCAGATCAGCCGAGCCTTCTGAGGCTCCTTTTGCTTCTTTACCTCTATTCCTTATTGAGATCAGCACAATTAATGCATGTCTGAACAACAAATGATCCTTTCTCTTTGGAAGGGTGAAAGTTTGGAAATATTTACATGTTAAATGTTCTGTTCTGGTCTCATTTGTATTCAGTACAAATAGTGTGTTTGCTTGGACATTAATTTTATTTGCAAATAGCTACAGCTGGGGGTCCCTTTGGGTAAGTCTTGCTAAGATACTGCATTGGTGGGTTTTTTGTTTATTTTGTTTTTGTTTTGTTTTTCAAGGGGATGGGGAAGGAATCAAAGTAGTCAAATCAGTTTGGTTGTTTTTACAAGCCCGAGAAATGGTCAAATTTTGGATTCAGACCAAGCACACCATAGTGTGCTAGAGGCAATTTAATGACTTCCTACCCTCTTGCCTTTTTCCCCCTCTTTGGGAACATTCTTGGATTTTCTACAGAAACAGCCAGAGGCTCTCAATTGACAATTGCCTCACTCAGCAGTTTCTTGTTAAGCACACTTGTCAGACACTGTTTCCAGGACTCTCTTAAGTGTCCTAAGAATATTGACTCATTCAAAAGCAGCCCAGCTGTAGTTGGGAGAGCACCAGCACTTGCTCTATAAAGATCTAGATTGTCTCTCTACCTCAAGAGGAATCCAAAATCCTGTTATGCTGGACTCTGAAATGATCCCCAGCCCTTTGGTGATCACACTGTTTATGAGCAGTCTGAATTCCATTCTTGGGTCTACCTAAACTAGCACCCTCGGGCTATGGGGCCCAGTGGGGAGACCACCTAGCATGCTGGCTGCCTGGAGCCCAGGGAACTGTCAAGATGGCTCTGGAAGACTTCTCGCCTTTTAAAAGCCCCGTATTTCTTTTACATATATTTTTGTCCTCATGAATTTTGCCAACCGCAATGGACTAAAATCTATTATAGCGTCCTGGAAAGGTGGGGAAAAGATGGGATAGTTGAGGAGAGTTTAATGAAGGGACTATTTAAAAAGGTGTGGATGGGGTTAAAGGAAACCTCTGGGCGTCATTACCCACTCCAGGCCTGAAGGGGCAAGGGTAGTTAGTGGTAACCAGAACCTGGAGAAAACTGCAGGAGAGGGCCACAGGATGGGAGTAATGGCTTTCAGATGAAGAACATAGCCACTGCTAACAGGGTGGCCCGCTGGGGATGCAGGGGAGGTCCTGAATCACATCCTGCCTTCTGATCTGCAGGTGCCTCCCACTTGCCAAAACCAATTGAAAGCCAGATTATAGTTGACGTAGCCCATAAAGGTCAGTCCTGAGTCACAGAGCAGAGTGGAGAGTGGGTCTGAAGGGACAGAGGAAAAACCAGCAAGCACCTCCTGTTTTTTCCCACAGCCAGCACCTTGGTTCAGCCCTTACCCTTTCTTGCCTGTCCCCTGGACCCATCAAATCCACTGCTTTTAATGACCAGTCTGTTTCCAAGAGGCTATATTCATTCCACTTGGGACTGGGGCATATGCACTTGGGTAGAAGAACCAGCTGTGCAGTGTCAAGACCCTTCCCTCAGAGACCTTATCAGTAAAATGGCGGGTGGACTCGGGGATGCCCGAAGACTTTTCCGGACCACGATTTTCCGATGCTGGACACATATTTAAACATGAAGGAATAGACTTGCGACTTTTAAGCGCAAACAATGGGTGGAAATGGACAGAAACTGCCTCCGTGCCCACTTGCAGCGGACTACGTAGCCCTGGCAGACAGGCAATTGCTTCAAACAAGCGCCCTCCAAGGGCGTAAGCTAGAGGGGCCCGGGCGGGCGCTTTCCCGTGGACCCTCCCACCTCGCGGGTAGAGGAAGTCCTTCAGTTCAGGCACAACCCTGAGCGTCCCCCGCAGTCTCCAACTCCGGCGCCAGTCAGGTTGTGGGGTGGGGGCGGCGGAGGGCGGAGAGCGCAGGCGCAGAGTCCGCGCGGCGGCGCCCCTCTCCCTCCGCAGTACTCCGGGCAGCGCCCGCCTCGATTTTCCCAGGCGAGGGCACGCCCGCGTCAGTCGCCTCCGGGGCACCTTCCTCGCCACGACACGCAGGTAACCGGGCCCCGGGAGCCGGTCGGCGGCGGCGGACTGGGACCTTGATCCTGCCTGCCCGGCCGCCCGACAAGGGAATGAGAGCGGACCCCGAACTCCACACACCCGCGTTTAGCCGCCACACCTAAGGGGCACAACAGTCTTTTTGGGTAAGGGCCGGGCTGGGGGCGACGCGCCCCGCCCGCTTTGCAGACTTCGGGGTGCTCTGCACGACGCCTGAAAGGCCGCGGGGCCCGCATTTCTCTGTGCTGCCCTCCTGGAGAACCGGGACACGGGGACGGGAGGGCCAGCATCGGCTACGGCCCGGTTTCCCGTTTCTTTCCGCTGTCGCGTGTCTGGGCCCTCCTGCAGCGTCCATGATGAAGGCCAGGGGCTGTTGCTTTCCTCTCGCCCAGTAGCCAACCCAAGCAAGGGGTGAGTCACTGTGGCGTCATATGGGATCAATTTCAAATACAAGTTTTAAAAAAGGCTGGATGATTTTAGAAATATGGCCAAGAATTTGTATTTTCCATTACTCTCTTGTCTCATGTCCATGACTCTTGAACGCCAGTCTGTGGGCGCTGAGATTTTCGTGGTACATCGACGGTTTGTAGACATCTTTTCCCAAGGGAAGACGAGGGCAAGGGTTAGTGGAGGAAGGGCCTCGTCACGGCCGAGAGTGGCGGAGAAGGCTCAGGGCAAGTCCGCACAGCCTCCAGCAGCCACGGGGAGGAAAAGGCGAATCTTTCCTCACAGTGCTCTGGGCGCTGTAGAATTTCTACGCCACGTGCACCCATTTGGCCTCATTTGAGAGGAGGAGAGGGAAGAAGGGTCGCGCGGGCCGGCAGGAAAGAGACTCGTGTTGCGGCGGATGAAGGCTCAGCGCGGACCTGCATCTCGGGCCAGGTTTTCTTTCACCCGGCTCCGCGAGGAGCGAGGCGGAAAGCTCGGGTCCGAGTGTTGATCGAGGACCTGGAGATAGTAACCCCCCACGTCCAGAGTGCTGGGGGTGGGTCCAGAGGGCTGGGGGTAGGTCCAGAGGGCTGGGGGTAGCTCCGGAGGAGCGATCTTCCTCCGCGGGAAAGGACTTGGCTCAGGCTTGCCTATGTCCGTGGTGCTGAAGTGCCTCGCGCGCCCTCGTCGACTGACTTCCTGGGCCGCGGCCTGCGTTGCCCTTCTACTCTGCACCTTTGCCAAAAATAGCCCATCTCCATGGCTGGTGGCCAGAGTGGAGCAGGCCCAACACTGAAACTCTTTTCAGACAAGTTGAGGCTGGTTTCCTGAACATAACCCGAAAGCAAATGTGGCTTGCCTTGGAGGTACAGATAAGCATATGCATAACAGATTTTATTACCTATGAGAAAGTACACACCATGAGCGTAAACAGGAATTCTCACATATACTTATGAAAGATACAGGTATGTGCATTTACGCACAAACCTAACACACATGCAAATACACTCATCCCTTTTGAAAACCATTACACACTACAAGCCACACATTTTTTAGAGCTTTTGTAATCCATCTTTATTTTTTGACACTTCTAGTAAATGTGAACTCTGCAGAGCCATTTATTTTCATAATCATCTGTTCCAAAGGCACAGAGCCTGTGGATTGAAGTGTTTGGTATTTGGCTGAGCAATTAAGTATTTATACTCATTTACATTCCAGAACAAAAGTCTAGGAAGATGTAAAATTGATATTGATACCAAAAAAATTCCTTAAAGAAAGCTTAAGGAAAATGAATTAATGTAAATTTTAATAAGAACAACATATAAATAATCATAGAAATTTATAATCTTAACATATGACTAAAATGTATCATAATGCAGACAATTTTAAATATATTGGTGGTATGTGGTTTGTGTGAAGTTCTTAAAGTTTACATTTGTATTTTTCAAAAACATTGGTATTGTTTTTTCCTTAAAAAATATATGCTCATTATAAGAATTTTAGGTAATAGAGAAATGCATAAACATAGAAAACCATTGTAAACAGATTTTCATTTAGATGAACATGCATACATTTTAAATGGACCAATCCTCTATTGGTTGCGTTTTTGCTATATAATTTATAATTAATGTCTTTCATCATAAAACTAGGTCATCATTATTAAGGGTTGCATAATATTGATCTGTGTGGATAGAATGTAAGTTTTTTAAACAATCCCATAATGAACATTTATGTCCAATTTTTTAGACTTAAAAAAATTATTGTGGAAAGAATATGTAACATGAGATCTATCCTCTGAACAAAAAAAAAATTTTTTTTTGAGACATTGTCTTGCTTGTTGCCCAGACTGGAGTGCAGTGACGTGCTCTCCGCTCACTGCAACCTCTGCCTCCCGGGTTCAAGGGATTCTCCTGCCTCAGCCTCTTGAGTAGCTGGCCACCGCACCCAGCTAGTTTTTATATTTTTAGTAGAGACAGGGTTTTACCATGTTGGCCAGGCTGGTCTTGAACTCCTGTCCTCAGGTTATCTGCCTGCCTTGGCTTCCCAAAGTGCCAGGATTACAGGCGTATGCCACTGCACCCGGGCCTGCCTTCTTAACAAAATTTTACGTGTATAATACATTATTGTTGATATGTATTGTTGATAGGTGCAATGCTGTATAGCAGATCTTTAGAGCTTATGCATCTTGCTTGACTGAGACTTTATGCCTGTTGATTAATAACTCCTGATTTTCCCCTGCCCTCCAGTCCCTGGAAACCACCATTCTACTCCTCGATTCTATGACTTTGACTACTTCATTTTTATTTCTATTTATATTAATTTTTAATTTTTGTTGGTACATAGGTATATATATATTTACGGGGTACATGAGATGTTTTGATATAGGGATGCAACATGTTTAATAATCATATCATGGTAAATGGGGTATCCATCCCCTTGAGCATTTATCCTTTGTTTTTATAAACAATCCAGCTGTACTCTTCTAATGATTTTAAAATGTACCATTAAATTATTATTGACTATAGTCATCCTTTTGTGCTATCAAATACTAGGTGTTATTCATTCTTTCTACTTTTTGTATCCATTAACCATCCCCAGTTTTCCCCACACCCCCAACTCTCTCTCACTACCCTTCCCAGCTCTGGTAACCACCATCCTTCTACTCTTTTTCTTTTTTTGAGATTGAGTCTTGCTCTTGTTGCCCAGGCTGGAAGCTGGAGTGCAGTGGCATGATCACAGCTCACTGCAACCTCTGCCTTCTGGGTTCAAGTGACTCTCCTGCCTTAGCCTCCCAAGTAGCTAGGATTACAGGTGCCCGCCACCACACCCAGCTAATTTTTGTATTTTTAGTAGAGATGGGGTTTCACCACGTTTGCCAAGCTGGTCTCGAACTCCTGACCTCAGGTGATCTGGCTGCCTCAGCCTCCCAAAGTGCTGGGATTACAGGCGTGAGCCACTGCGCCCAGCGTACTCTCTATCTCCATGAGTTCAATTTTTTTGATTTTTAGATCCCACAGATAAGTGAAAACACGTGAAGTTTGTCTTTCTGTGCCTGGCTTATTTCACTTAACATGATGACTTTCAGTTCCATCTGTGTTGTTGCACATAACAGGATCTCATTCTTTTTTATGCCTAAATAGTACTCCATTGTATGTAAATATCTGTTGATGGACACTTACGTTGCTTCCAGATCTTGGCTATTGTGAACAGTGCGGCAACAAACATGGGAATGCAGATAACTCTTCCATATACTGATTTCCTTTCTTTTGGTTATGTACCCAGCAGTGGGATTGCTGGATTGTATGGTAGCTCTATTTTTATTTTTTTGAGGCACCTCCAAACTGTTCTTCATAGAAGTTGAACTAATTAATAATCTCACCAACAATGTGTGAGAGTTCCCTTTCTCCACATCCTTGCCAGCTTTTGTTATTGCCTGGCTTTTGGATAAAAGCCATTTTAACTGGAGTGAGATGATATCTCATTGTAGTTTTGATTTGCATTTTTCTGATGATCAATGATGTTGAGCAGCTTTTCATATACCTGTTTGCTATTTGTATGTCTTCTTTTGAGAAATGTCTATTCAGATCTTTTGCCCATTTAAAAATTGGATCATTAGATTTATTCTGATAGTTATTTGCCATTCCTTATGTATTCTGATTATTAATCCCTTGTCAGATGGGTAGTTTGCAAATATTTTCTCCCATTCTGTGGGTTGTCTTTTCACTTTGCTGACTGTTTCCTTTGCTGTGCAGAAGCTTTTAAACTTGATGTGACACCATTTATTCATTTTTGCTTTGGTTGCCTATGCTGGTGTGGCATTACTCAAGAAATTTTAGCCCAGAACAATGTCCTGGAGAGTCTCCCCAAGTTTTCTTGAAGTAGTTTTATAGTTCGAAGACTTATATTTAAGTCTTTATTCCATTTTGATTTGATTTTTCTTTTTCTTTTTTTTCTTTTTGAGATGGAGTCTCCCTCTGTCACTCAGGCTGGAGTGCAGTGAGTGCAGTGGCTTGATCTCTGCTCACTGCAACCGCCGCCTCCCAGGTTCAAACGATTCTCCTGCCTCAGCCTCCTGAGTAGCTGGGATTACAGGCGCGCGCCACCACACCTGGCTAATTTTTTTTTTTTTTTGTATTTTTAGTAGAGATGGGGTTTCAGCATGTTGGTTAGGCTGGTCTCGAACTCCTGACCTTGTGATCCACCCACCTCAGCCTCCCAAAGTGCTGGGATTACAGGCTGATTTGATTTTTCTATGTGGTGAGTGATAGGGGTCTAGTTTCATTATTCTGCATATGGATGTTGTTTTCCCGGTATCATTTATTGAAGAGACTGTCCTTTCTCCAGTGTATGTTCCTGGCACCTTTGTGGAAAATGAGTTTACTGTAGCTGTATGGATTTATTTCTGGGTTCTCTATTCTGTGTCATGGGTCTATGTATCTGTTTTTATGCCAGTACCATGCTGTTTTGGTTACTATAGCTCTGTAGTATAATTTGAAGTCACGTAATGTGATTCTTCCAGTTTTGTTCTTTTTGTTCAGGATAACTTTGGCTATTCTGGGTCTTTTGTGGTTCCATATAAATTTTAGGATTTTTTTTTCTATTTCTGTGAAGAATGTCATTGCTATTTAAACAGGAATTTCATTAAATCTATAGATTGCTTTGGGTAGTATAGACAGTTTAACAATATTGATTCTTCCAATCCATGAACATGAAATATTTTTCCATTTTTTGGTGTCCTCTTAAATTTCTTTCACAAATGTTTTATAGTTTTCTTTGTAGAGATCTTTCACGTCTTTGGTTAAGTTAATGCTTAGGTATTTAATTTGATTTGTGGCTATTGTAAATGGGTTACTTTTTTGATTTCCCTTTCAGATCGTTCACTGTTGGCATATAGAAATGCTGCTGACTTTTGTATGTTGATTTTGTGTCCTGCAACTTTACTGAATTTGTTTATCTGTAAACAGTAGTTTACTAATGAATTCTAAAGTTCTAGCAGTTTTTTGCCAGAGTCTCTAGGTTTTTCCAAATATAAGATCATATCATTTGCAAACAAGGATAATTTGTCATCTGCTTTTCCAGTTTGGATGTCCTTTATTTCTTGCTTTTTTAAAAAAATTATACTTTTTAAGTTCTAGGGTACATATGCACAACGTCCAGGTTTGTTACATAGGTATACATGTGCCATGTTTCTTTGCTGCACCCATCAACTCGTCATTTACATTAGATATTTCTCCTAATGTTATCCCTACCCCAGCCCCTGACTCCCCACCTACCAGCCCTGGTATGTGATGTTCCTCACCCTGTGTCCATGTGTTCTCATTGTTCAGCTCCCACCTATGAGTGAAAACATGCGGTGTTTGGTTTTCTGACCTTGTGATAGTTTGCTTAGAATGATGGTTTCCATCTTCATCTATGTCCCTGCAAACGTGGATGTCCTTTATTTCTTTATATTATCTGATTGCTGTAGCTAGGACTTCCAGTACTGTCTTGAATAACAGTGGTGAAAGTGGCCATCCTTTTTCTAGATCTTGAAGGAAAGGCTTTCAGTTTTTCCCCATTCAATATGATACTAGCTGTGGGTCTATCGTATATAACTTTTTTTTTTTTTTTTTGAGACAGAGCCTTGCTCTGTTGTTCTGGCTGGCGTGCAGTGGTGCCATCTTGGCTCACTGTAACCTCTCCCTCCCAGGTTCAAGCAATTCTCATGCTTCAGCCTCCCAAGCAGCTGGGACTACAGGCATGCACCACCATACCAAGGCTAATTTTTTGTATTTTTAGTAGAGGCAAGGTTTTGCCGTGTTGGCCAGGCTGGTCTCAAACTCCTGGACTCAAGTGACCCGCCCCCTCAGCCTCCCAAAGTGCTGGGATTACAGGCATGAGCCACCTTGCCCAGCCATATATGGCTTTTATTATGCTGGGATATGTTCCTTCTGTGCCCAGTTTTTTGAGGATTTTTATCATGAAGGGATGTTGAATTTTATCAAGTGCTTTCTCAGCATTAATTGAAATGATTATATGATTTTTGTTCTTTATTCTGTTGATATAATTTATCACATTGATTGATTCACACATGTTGAACCATCCTTGCATCCCTGGGATAAATCCCACTTGGTCATGATGAATGACTGTTTTAATGTATTGTTGAATTTGCTTTACTAGTATTTTGTTGAGGATTTTTGCATCAGTATTCATTAGAGATATTGGCCTGTAGTTTTCTTTCTTTGATGCGTCTTTGTTAGTTTTGGTATCAGAGTAATACTGGCCTCATAGAGTGAGTTCGGAAGTATTCTCTCCTCTATTTTTGGGAACAGTTTGAATAGGATTAGAATGCTTCCTTAAATGTTTGGTAGAATTCAGCCATCAGGTCCTGGGCTTTTCTTTTCTTTATTTTATTTTATTTTATTTTTTAAGACACAGTCTCACACTGTCGCCCAGCCTGGAGTACAGTGGCGCGATCTTGGCTCACTGCAAGCTCCACCTTCTGAGTTCACGCCATTCTCCTTCCTCAGCCTCCCAAGTAGCTGGGACTACAGGTGCCCGCCACAATGCCCGGCTAATTTTTTGCATTTTTAGTAGAGACAGGGGTTTCACTGTGTTAGTCAGGATGGTCTTGATCTCCTGACCTCGTGATCCGCCTGTCTCGGCCTCCCAAAGTGCTGGGATTACAGGCATGAGCCACCACGAGGTCCTGGGCTTTTCTTTATGGGGAGGAAAAGAACTTTAGAATTCAGTAAAGTTGCAGGATACAAAATCAACATACAAAAATCAGTAGTATTTTATTATGACTTTGATCTTGTTACTTGTTATTGGTCTGTCTAGGTTTCAAATTTCTTCATGGATCAATCTTGGTGTTTTATATGTGTCTAGGAATTTATCCATTTCCTTTGGATTTTCCAATTTATTGGCATATAGTTGCTCATAGTAGCCGCAAATGATCCTTTGAATTTCTGTGGTATCAGTTGTAATGTCTCCTTTTTCATCTCTAATTTTATTTTATTATTTATTTATTTTTTTGAGATGTGGTCTGTCACCTAGGCTGGAGTGCAGTGGTGCAGTCGTGATGCACTGCAACCTCTGTCTCCCCTGGCTCAAGCAATCCTCCCACCTCAGCCTCCCAGGTAGCTGGGACCACAGGCATGCACCACCACACCTGGCTAATTTTTTATATTTTTGGTAGAGATGAGGTTTCACCATGTTGCCCAGGCTGGTCTCAAACTCCTGAGCTCAAGTGCCTGCCTCACCCTCCCAAAGTGCTAGGATTATAGGCATGAGCTACCTTGTCCAGCTGCCTCTGATTTTATTTATTTGGATCTTCTCTCTTTTTTCTTTTTTTTTTTTTTAGTATTTATTGATCATTCTTGGGTGTTTCTCGGAGAGGGGGATTTGGCAGGGTCATAGGACAATAGTGGAGGGAAGGTCCTCTCTTTTTCTTAGTCTGACTAAAGGTTTGTCAACTTTGTGTATCTTTTAAAAAAACCCAACTTTTTGTTTGAGTGACCTTATGTATTTTCATTTCAATTTCATTTATTTCTGCTCTAATCTTTATTATTTATTTTCTTCTACTAAGTTTTTTTTTTTTCCTTTTAAACAGAGTCTTGCTCTGTCATGCAGGCCGGAGCACAGGGACATGATTATAGTTCACTACAGCCTCAACCTCCTGGTGCCCAAGTGATCTTTCTACCTCAGACTCCTGAGTAGCTGGGACTACAGGTGTGCACCACCACGCCTGGCTAAGTTTTGTATTTTTTATAGCGATGAGGTTTTGCCATGTTGCCAAGGCTGGTCTCAAATTACTGGGCTCAAGCAATCTGCCGGCCTCAGCCTCTCAAATTGCTGGCCTCTTCTACTAATTTTGGGTTTGGTTTGCTCTTGCTTTTCTAATTCTTTAAGATGTGTTATTAGGTTACGTATTTGAAGTTTTTCCTCTTTTTTTGATGTAGGCATTTATAGCCGTAAGTTTCTGTCTTAGTACTGCTTTCACTGTATCTCATAGCTTTTGGTGTGTTGTGTTTCCATTATCATTTGTTTCATGAAATTTCTCAATTTCCTTAATTTCTTCATTGACCTATTGGTCATTCAGGAGCATATTGCTTAATTTCCATGTGTTTGTATAGTTTCCAAAATTCTTCTTGTTATTGATTTCTAGTTTACTTGTGGTCAGAGAAGATACTTGGTATCATTTCAGGGTTTTTGTTTTTTTTTTTTTGAGACAGGGTCTTGCTCTGTCTGAAGTGCAGTGGCATGATCTCGGCTCACTGCAACTTCCACCTCCTGGGTTCAAGCGATTTTCCTGCCTCAGCCTCCCAAGTAGCTGGGACTACAGGTGCACGCCACCATGCCCAGCTAATTTTTGCATTTTCAGTAGAGATGGGGTTTCGCCATGTTTGCCAGGCTGATCTCAAACTCCTGACCTCAGGTGATCTGCCCACCTCAGCCTCCCAAAGGGTTGGGATTACAGGCGTGAGCCACCGCACCCAACCTTTTTAATGTTTTAAGACTTGTTTTGTGACTTAACATGTGTTCTATCCTTGAGAATCATCCATGTGATGAGAAGAATATGTATTCTGCAGCAGTTGGATGAAATGTTCTGTAAATATCTATTAGGTCCATTTGTTCTATATTGCAGATTAACTCCAATGTTTCTTTGTTGATTTTCTGTCTGCACGATCTGTCCAATGCTGAAAGTGGGGTGTTGAAGTCTCCAGCTATTATTGTATTGAGGTCTCTCTCTTTCCCTGTAATGTTTAATTTATATATCTGGGTGCACCAGCACTGGGTACATATTTATTTATAGTTGTTATAGCCTCTTGAAGAATTGACCCTTTTATTATTATATAATGACCTTTTTTGTCTCTTCTTACAGTTTTTGTCTTGAAATCTATTTTGTCTGATATTAGTATAACTACTTTTGTCCTTGTTTGGTTTTCATTGGCGTGGAATATCTTTGTCCATCCCTTTATTATTTTTGGTCTATGTGTCTCTTTATAGGTGAAGTGTGTTTCTTGTAGGAAACAGATTCACTGGGTCTTGCTTTTTAATCCATTCAGCCAGTCTGTGTCTTTGGATTGGAGAATTTAGTCTGTTTACATTCAATGTTATCAATAAGTAAGGACTTCTGCCATTTTGTTACTTGTTTTCTGGTTGTTTTGTGGTCTTCTCTTCCTTTTTACCTTCCTTCTTGTCTTTTGGTAAAGATGATTTTCTCTTGTGGCATATTTAATTTCTTGCTTTGTGTGTGTGTGTATCTGTTGTATGTTTTTTGACTTGAGGTTACCATGAGGCTTGCAAATACTGTCTTATAACCCACTATTTTAAACTGATGACAACAAAGATTGCATAAACATGCAAAAAAGAAAACTAATAAAAACTCTACACTTTAACTTTATCTCTCTGCTTTTTAACTTTTTGTTGTTTCTCTTTACATCTATTGTACTGTCTACGTCTTGAAAATTTATTTTTGATTGGCTTATCATTTAGTCTTTCTACATAAGAGCAGTTTACACACCACAATTATAGTGTTATAATATTCTATGTTTTTCTATGTGCTTACTATCACCAGTGAGTTTTGTACCTTTAGATGACTTTTTTTTTTTTTAGATGGAGTCTTGCTCTGGCACCAGGCTGGAGTGCAGTGGCGCCATCTTGGCTCACTGCAACCTCCGCCTCCCGGGTTCAAGCGATTCTCCTGCCTCAGCCTCCCAAGTAGCTGGGACTTCAGGCGGCCGCCACTATGCCCGGCTAATTTTTGTAGTTTTTGTAGAGACGGGGTTTCACTATATTGGCCAGGCTGGTTTTGAACTCCTGACCTTGTGATCTGCCCGCCTCAGCCTCCCAAAGTGCTGGGATTACAGGTGTGAGCCACCGCACCTGGACTCCTTTAGATTATTTTTCATTGCTGATTAATGTTCTTTTCTTTCAGATTGAAGAACTCCCTCTAGCATTTCTTGTAGAAAAGGTCTGGTGTTGATGAAATCCCTCAACTTTTATTTGTCTGGGAAACTATTTCTCCTTCATGCTTGAAGGATATTTGCACCAGCTATACTACTCTAGGGTAAATTTTTTTTTTCCCCCTTGGCACTTTAAATATGTCTTGCCACTATCTCCTGGCTTGTAAGGTTTCCACTGAAAAGTCTACTGGCAGACATATGGGAGCTCCATTATATGTTATTTGTTTCTTTTCTCTTGCTGCTTTTAGGATCCTTTCTTTATCCTTGATCTTTGGGAGTTTGATTATTAAATGCCTTGAAGTAGTCTTCTTTGGGTTAAACCTGCTTGGTGTTCTATAGCCTTCTTGTACTTGAACGTTGATCTCTTTCTCTAGGTTTGGGAAGTTCTCATATTATTTCTTTGAATAAACTTTCTACCTCTATCTCTTTCACTATCTCCTCTTTAAGGCCAATAACTCTGAGATTTGCCCTTTTGAGGCTGTTTCTAGATTTTTTAGACATACATTATTTCTTTTTTTTTTTTTTTTTTTTTTTGAGACGGAGTCTCCCTCTGTCACCAGGCTGGGGTGCAGTGGCGCGATCTCAGCTCACTGCAATCTCCGCCTCCCAGGTTCAAGCGATTCTCCTGCCTCAGCCTCCTGAGTAGCTGGGATTACAGGCACACACCACCATGCCCAGCTACTTTTTGTATTATTATTATTTTTTTTGAGACAGAGTCTTGCTCTATCGCCCGAGCTGGAGTGCAGTGGCGCCATCTCGGCTCACTGCAAGCTCCGCCTCCCAGGTTCACACCATTCTCCTGCCTCAGCCTCCCGAATAGCTGGGACTACAGGCGCCCGCCACCACGCCCAGCTAATGTTTTTGTATTTTTAATAGAGACAGGGTTTCACCGCGTTAGCCAGGATGGTCTCAATCTCCTGACCTCATGATCTGCCTGCCTTGGCCTCCCAAAGTGCTGGGATTACAGGCATGAGCCACCGCGCCTGGCCTACTTTTTGTATTTTTAGTAGAGATGGAGTTTCACCATGTTGGCCAGGATGGTCTCGATCTGACCTGGTGATCCGCCCACCTCAGCCTCCCAAAGTGCTGGGATTACAAGCATGAATCACTGTACACAGCCCACATCATTTCTTTTTATTCTTTTTTCTTTTTGCTCTTCTGACAGTGTATTTTCAAATGGCCTGTCTTTAATCTCAGTAATTTTTTTTCTTCTGCCTTATCAATTCTGCTATTAAGAGACTCTAATGCATTCTTCAGTATGTCAATTGCATTTTTCAACTTAACACTATTTCATAGTTATAATTATATGTGAACTCAATCCACATACCTGCCATCTTTACTAAATTTTGTTTAATCATTTTCTGACTGCATAAAAATCACTTGCTTTGTATCTCTCTTTTATTTAAGACCCCAAAGTATCAGCAACTTTACTGAACTCTTTTACTTTAGGAACTCAATGGAGGAAAGGAGAAATATTAGGTGATTTAATTTCCCATTTATTTTGCCTCTGGTTTCTGTGTAACTCTGGCTGGCCACTGTTGTAAATGGGAGTGAAGACCCTGAAAAATGAATGAGGCTGCTGAGGAGGGTGGTGGACAACAGCTAGATACTCACATTGCTTTTTGGATTCCCTTACTTTACAGTTAGGAGATACAAGATAGAGTTAGGTTGCAGAATTGTGACAACCAAAGCTCTGCACTACAACTAATTAGATCCAGAATTAGAGGTGCTTGGTTAAGAAGGTGACTTTCTCCAAAGCATATCAGCTAAGCCAGAGGACTCATTCATTTTTCCAGCATTTGTTGAGTCTTACACTGAGCTAGGGGTTGGAGATGTTTAGAAGAAAGATAAAGACATAATGCCTTTTCTTGGAGTGGTAACACTTTATCAGGGGATACTGGTACATAGGCACCTCACAATGATACAGTATGTCAAGGATGATGACAGAGCCCTGTAGAAAGTGTTCTAGAATCCAGAGAATGAACCAGATTGTTCAGTGAGAGGTTTTTCAAGTAGGTCACCAGGAAAGTTGAAGGCATGTGGGTGGGAATTTGCCAGAAATTGCTTTGTTGGGCATTAAGTAGCTGATAATCTCAAGTTGTAAACAAATGGTTTGGAATGTGACAGCCTGGGTTTGAAGCCTGACTGCACTATTTAGGACCTTGGTAAGCTTGGGCAAGTCACCAAACCTTGCTGAGCTTCGTTTAAGTTTTTTGAAAAAAGGAGTAATAGTACCTACCTTGTTGGACTTGTGGGTTTAAGTGAGATAATACATGTAAAGTGCTTGAGTCTAGTCTTTTTTTTTTTTGCCTATTTAAAAAATTGCATGTAAATCACTCTGCACAAATAATTATTCCTGTTAGAGCTCTCAGGGGTTAACAAACTGTAAACTCTTTGTGTCTTCTGCATTTGTGTGATCATTCTTCATTTTTTTTTTTGAGATGGAGTCTAGCTCTGTCGCCCAGGCTGGAGTGCAGTGGCACGATCTCGGCTCACTGCAAGCTCTGCCTCCCGGGTTCATGCCATTCTCCTGCCTCAGCCTCCCGAGTAGCTGGGACTACAAGTGCCCGCCACCAGGCCTGGCTAATTTTTTTGTATTTTTAGTAGAGATGGGGTTTCACAGTGTTAGCCAGGATGGTCTTGATCTTCTGACCTCGTGATCCACCTGCCTTGGCCTCCCAAAATGCTGGGATTACAGGTGTGAGCCACCATGCCCAGCTCATTCTTCTAATCTAGAAGTTTCTCTTTTAGTGTAGTTTAAATCTCAAACTGCTCCTTTTTACCAATTCTTATGCTATCCCAAAACAAATTAGTTCTAGGCTGAAATTGTCATTACTTTTGCTTTGTTCACCCATATTCTGATGTTAAAGCAAATCTATAGTTAATTGTATAATTTCCTTCCTTTAATGTGCATAGTACTTGTTGTGTCTGATATCTTTTCTCACCCATTAACATTTAAGTTCCTTAAGAGAAAGCTTATGCCTTCTTGGTCTTGTCTCTCATAATGTCTTAGCATGGTGCCTTCCACATCATAGGCACTCATAAATACTGACTGAATAAAGGAATAATCATGAATGCATGAGATTGCCAGATAGCTGATGTGATGTCAGACTGCCTTCATAGAAACAAAATCCCCCTGAACAGGACAAAGTATAGAAACTGAGGAGAGTGGTTAAGATGGTGGAAGGACTGAGGCCGGGTGTGGTGGCTCACGCCTGTAATCCCAGCACTTTGGGAGGCCGAGGCAGGTGGATCACGAGGTCAGGAGATCGACACCATCCTGGCTAACATGGGGAAACCCCGTCTCTACTAAAAATACAAAAAAATTAGCCAGGCATGGTGGCGGGCGCCTGTAGTCCCAGCTACTTGGGAGGCTGAGGCAGGAGAATGGCATGAACCTGGGAGGCGGAGCTTGCAGTGAGCTGAGATCGCGCCACTGCACTCCAGCCTGGGTGACAACAGCGAGACTCTGTCTCAAAAAAAAAAAAAAAAAAAAGAATAAAACATAAGATGGTGAAAGGACTGAAAACCATGATTATACATGGAATAATTGAAAACCCAGGGGCTATTCAGTTTGGAGAAGAGGAAACTTACAGTGGGAGAATTTAGATGAGGAGGGTAGGGAATAGTAGTTCACGTTATTGAAATGTTGTTAAGTGGAAGAGGGAATCAATTTGTGACCTCAGAAGACATATAGTAGCAGCCTCTGGAAATTACATGGAGAAAGATTTTGACTCATTGTTAAAAAGTAACTTTCTAACAATCAGGAATGACTTCCAACTGGCTGTTTTGAGAAGGAGTGTTTCTAGTCATTGTAGGTGGTCAATCAGAAACTGTACTATTTGATGGGGATGCTGTAGAGCAGTCATCCCCAACCTTTTTGGCACCAGGGACTGGTTTCATGGAAGACAGTTTTTCCATGGAAGGAGTCGGCGGGTGGGGGGTGTGTTCACGAATGGTTTCAGAATGAAGCGGTTCCACTTCAGATCATCAGGCATTAGAGTCTCATAAGGAACATGCAACCTAGATCCCTCACATGCACAGTTCACAATAGGGTTTGTGCTCCTGTGAGATATAATGTTGCCGTTGATCTGACAGGAGGTAGAACTCAGGCAGTAATGCTCGCTTGCTCTCCACTCACCTCCTGTTGTGTGGCCTAGTTCCTAACAGGCCACAGACTAGTACTAGTTCATGCACTGAGGGTTGGGCACCCCTGCTGTAGAGAGAAGATATACTTACTCTCAAAGGAATTGGAGTAGATGATCCCCAAAATCTTTTAAACTCTCATGGTCTTTAATTCTATGTATTGTAATATATATTAATGTATATATTTAATAAAGGTTAATCATATACAATGCTACTGTATATGGTATTGTATAGTAACCGTAAACAATAGCATTGTACATGATTTACCTTTATTAAATATATGTTAATATATGTATATATTTATGTATTGCATATTCTCATTATCACCAGATTGCCTAAATTAATGAAAGGTGAAAATGGCTTTTTAAAAATTTGATCTTGGATTATTTAAAAAAATATTACTAACATGTCTTTTGCTTGGGGACACTAGTGTATAAAACATTATATGAACAGTGTTTAAATTGCAATAAACAAATTTACATTGTTGTTAGCATGTCAGATGCAAGTAAATACTATTTTAATTTCTTTGTTAAATCTAAAAGGAGAAAAGTGAGCCAGAGTCAACTCATCCCAATTCAGATGAATTGTGTGTTTATTATTTATTTATTTTTGAGACGGAGTTTCACTCTTGTGGCTGAGGCTGCAGTGCAGTGGCGTGATTTTGGCTTACTGCAACCTCTGCCTCCCGGGTTCAAGCGATTCTCATGCCTCAGAAGAGTAGCTGGGATTATAGGCACCTGCCACCACACCCAGCTAAGTTTTGTATTTTTAGTAGAGGAGGAATTTCACCATGTTGGCCAGGCTGGTCTTGAACTCCTGACCTCAGGTGATCAGCCCGCCTTGGCCTCTGAAAGTTCTGGGATTACAGGTATGAGCCACTGCACCTGTGTGTTTAAAATTCAGGACTTCATCATCACCACCACCACTGTCTCACTATCACCATCATTGCTAACATATATATATAGCATTTATTATGTGTCTAGCTCTGTTGTAAACATACCACACATATTAACTCATGTACTTTTCCCCAAAATCCAACGAATTAAATACTGGTATTGCCATTTTTGTAACTTATTTTGTAGTAATTTCAAACTTACATAAAAGTTGCAAATATAATACAACAAACTCCTGGGTAAAAGATAACTCTCTTATTATTCTTCACCCAAGTTCTCCAATTGTAAACATTTTACATTTGTTTTGCCATTCATTTTCTTTTTCTGAACCAATCGAAGGTAAGTTGCAGAGGTGATATCCAATTATCCCTAACTACTTAAGTGTTTTCCTTTAAGACAAGGACCCTCTCCTGCATAACCACAGTGTTATCACCAAAATCAGAAATTTCACATTGATATAATTCCACTATCTAATCCACACACCACATTCAAAATTTGTCATTTGTCCTAACAATTTCCTTTTTGAAAAAGTATTTCTTACTTTTGGTCTAGAATCAAAGTCAGGATTATGAATTACATTTAGTTGTTATGTCTCTTTAATCTTTAATTTGTGACATTTCCTCAATCCTTCCTTATCTTTAGTGACCTTGACATTTTTGAGTTCAGGCCTTTTTCTTTTTTTTTTTTTTTTGTAGAGTTCCTCATTTTAGGTTTGTCTGATGTTTCTTCTTGATTAGATTCAGGTGATACATTTTTTTTTGGCAGGAATGTGATAGAAGTGAAATTGTATTCTTCCAAATGTATCATATTAAAAGGCACATAATATTGTTTTTTTGTTGGTGATGTTAACTTTGATGGCTTAAGGTGATAATTTCTCCACTGTTAAGTTATTCTCTTTCCCTTTGAATTAATAAGTATTTTGTAGGAAGACACTTTGAGGCTATGTAAACATCTGGTTTCTTAACAAAGTTTCACTTGCTTATTTTATGATTCTTGCATAAACTGTTACTAGGATGATTGCCAAATTGTAGTTTTTCTAATTACAATATTTGTTTTCCATTTACTAGTTGGGATTCTATTGTACAGAAGTTTTTTCCTCTCCCTTCTTATTGGCTTATTTCCATCAGCGTGGACTTGTGGATTTCTATTTTATCCAATAGATTATAAGCCATTACTATCACTATTGGTTTTGATGCTGAAAATGCTCCAGTTCCAGCCATTGGGATACCCTTCAAGCCAGCTCCTGTGTCCTTTTGGCATCTCTGTATCATTCTGAGAGTACTTTTTTGGGGTGCAAGACATTTCAGGCTCTTCTGGTATTTTTTCTGCCACAATCATTGCAGTTATTTCATCAGCTGTTTCTCCACTGAGCTCTGGTTCCTTTTACTTGAGAATGGATTTTTAGAACCAAGATCTGGATGCTAGGTGTGGTCATTGCTACTGGAGTGTTACTGTTTTTAGGCCATTTTAGCAGACAGAGCTAGGAAATTCACACACACACACCCACACACACACCCCTATATCTATTTATATATCTTTCTGTCCATTTATATTAAAACTCATGAATTTACTCCAATATCTCTAGCTCTACTCCAACACTACAGGGTTCATTCTAGTCTTCACCCTTATTCTATTTGTAACTTCCTTCTCTCTTGGTAAAAAAATCTGGCTTCCATTATCCTCGATATATTTAACTATTTACTCATTCTTCTTTTATGTAACCAATCTCCTGACCTCACAGGCCACCTCCTTGGCCCCAATTCTTCCTCAGATTCAGGCCTGCTTATCGACCAGTCTCTTCCCGACATAAATTAAACAACTAGAAGGTTGTGGAGCAGAAATTCAAACCTCAGTGCTGTAATTACTTGATAGAGAGCCCTTTATTAGGTCTTCAACACCAATGGAGTTGATTTGTGAAACAGCTTCTGTGAAAATGCTCATGGAAAAAAGGCCCTTGGACTAATGAGATGAAGATTTATCCACACAGAGTGTCAGCCCCAGAGATGTGCCTTCCATAAGAAACTTGGGAGCATCAAGCCAAATGCTCTACCTGCCAAGAACCACAGCAAGGGGATTCTCCAAAATTGGTGAGGTTCAGGGACCAGACAGCCAGCACCACCAGTGCTATAAATATCACACTGTGTTTTATCATATCAAGAGTACATTTCATTAAGATGTAAACATATTACTTTGCTATATTTCTGTAGAGGGAAATACTGCTTTTATTACAGATTCTTAGATTGAAATTCTAGGAGCTGGATGATGGTGTCTTCTCTTTTAGTGCTGACTTCATTTCCTGGTCCAGAAGATCAGAAATCTGTTCATGTTTTAGAGAACAGCATGAGGTCCATCTGTTCAGGTCAGATTTTTCCAAATTAACATAAAGATTTATGGGGTGGTAACTTATGTAAGAAAAGCCAAAGGTAATTATATTCTTTGCTGCCATTTGGAACTTACATTATGTTTTTGGTTAGTAATGAAAATATACTAGTATGTATCTACACACACACAACACACACACACACACACACAGAATTCTTTCAAACACTATGATAAAGTCATCCTCTTCAGTTTGTATAATATTTCACCTCTGTTTTGGTTTAGGCACCAGACACCATCCATTCAAATTTTCTCTGTAATGTGGTCTGTTTATGTACAGTTTTCCTTCCAACAGAAGGCACAGAAATAAAAGAGCTACAATTGGCTTCTTGGGTGACTATTTTAGTGTGACTGAAATACAGAGTAATGATTTTTTTCCTCTGATGAAAATAGCTTGATTTTTTTCTGATTTCAAAGGAAATATATACATATATGAAAAACAAACAGAAAAGAGAGAAAATACCATATAATTGAATTTCCACCATTTGCAAGGATAAATAGAATCACATCATGAATACTCATTGACATCTTTCTTTTTACTCAGCAATATGACATGAGGGTTTTCTTATGTAAATATATATACATATAAATTACCCTTTTAGATGGCTGCATATTACAGTAATGATTTTCTTTAACCAGCATCCCATTAATGAGAAGTTTATTTCCAATTTTTCATTGTATAAAGAAAGCCATGATGAATATTTTTGCATGCACATCCTTATATACTTTGCTGGTGATGATCTTAGGATATATCCCTGAAAATAGCATTGCTGGGTCAAAGAGTTCACATATTTTAAATTTTGACACCACATGTTCCTGGTACAATTAACTCTTTTTTTTTTTTTTGAAACAAGGTCTTGCTCTGTCACCCAGGGCGGAGTGCACTGGTACAATCTTGGCTCACTGCAACCTCTGCTACCTGGCTCAAGCAATCCTCCAGCCTCAGCCTCCCATGTATACAGCTGGGACTACAGGCGGGAGTCACCACGCCCAGCTCATTTTTGTATTTTTCTGTAGAGATGGGTTTTTGCCACGTTGCCCAGGCTGGTCTCAAATCTCCTGAGCTCAAAGTGATCTGCCTCCCGAAGTGTTAGGATTACAGGTGTGAGCCACTGTGCCCGGCCATAAAATTAACTCTTGATGAGGTGAATTACAGTATGTATATTCTTTATATATAATGTCCCTGTCAATGACAGAACTTGGTAAAGTCTCTTCAATTTTGCAGTAGCATATACATATATATATATATATATATATATATATATATATATAAATGCACACACAACGTGTGTGTGCTTGTGCATGCATGTTCTCCTACAGACATTAAAGGAGTGTAGTGATTTTAATAAATCTAGGTATGCTACTTAACCAATCAGATGTTGTTAGGTTTATTCAAAATTTGACATATGGTTTGGTCTGAAACGATGGCATCTGGTAACCATTTCTTATCTTACATTGATTTTAATGAAATATGGTATATGGGAAGAGGTGACTGAGTTGTAATTTTAGTGAGTGGTATCTATAGTGTGAAGAATCAACGGTGTCAATAGTATGAAGAATCAGTTATGATTAAGCCAAACCAAATTTGTAAAATTTTGAACTGATTCATTTGGTATATTTTTAAGTTTTGGCCTCAAGAAGGAGTTCAGGCTTGGCTTTTTTGTGGATAAATAGTAGCAAAAATAGGACAAATGTGAGCATGTGGTGCATGTAGTGTTTGAAGGATTTGATAGTAGCTTCTGTTGATCCTGGGGTGTTCTTTTTTTGTTCAGGAACTGATGCATATCCTGGGCAGTTGGAAGCCTTCTTTAAACTCAGCTGGGCTGCTCTGATGATCTCTCAAGAGTTAGGTAAATTACAAACAACCAAGAAGTACAACTTTAACATGCATATTGGAACAGCCCAGTAATTTTACATTTAATTAGCATCTAACCTAATTGGGTATTTAACCATTTAAACAGAAACATAAAAAATCATGGAAATAGAAAAGATCATTTTATTCCTGCTTCTCCCCCTTCTAGTGATGGCTCCTTCCTACCCTTAACAGCTTCACCCAGCACAGCTGAATTTAAAGCTGCTGACTCACAGGAAGGTGATTCTGCTTTTTTTTTTTTTTTAACAGAAGGAAAGTTAAGTGGTAGATGATAAATGTGTTCATTGAGGATGGCATATTTTATGCAAATTGATAAATCCACTGATTCAAAGATTAGAAAGGCTCTTTCCTGGAAAGGAAGTGTCGATTATAAATGGTGAAGACTTGCATACTTGCATTCTAGCAAGTTCTTAGCTGCCAGCCAACACATTCATCACCAAGTGCCAGAATGGATTTTAAAATGTCACAACACAAATTGCTCTGCTCAAAATCAGGCACCATCATAGTCACACAAGCCAAACCAACCTGCTTGTTTAAAAGTGCCACATAAAGTTTTTTTTTCAACCTCAGTTAACCTTTTCCTTTCCTGGTATGCCTGGTTCATTGCAGTCTCCTAAAGTCATGAACCTTGACTGAGTAGAGAGAGGCCAGGCTTCTCCCTTTGACTTTGCCTGTACAGCAACTAACTGGTCCAGGTGCTTTTAAACTGATGGTAAGACTAAATGTTTAGCCCAGCTCTAACCAGACTGATAACTCTCACCCCTACCTTTTCCCCTATACCTTCTGCTCTTATTTATTTCTTTTGTTTTTCTCAATCTTTTCCCTCCCAGAGCCAGCTGTTGACTTCTAGAAGCTACTGCATAGCTGATAAGCCCCTGACTATTCCTTCCCTAATTTTCTGCTTTAGAACTGTCAGTGGAGTGTCCAGCTCAAACCTGGGCTAGCCCTCCTGTTTGATGCTTCTCTTAGCAGCCCCTACCTCAATACCATCAGATCTGTCTTCTTACCTCCCCTCATCTCCAAGTCCCTTAGTTGTAATTTCCACCCACTTCTATAACCCAGACTGACACAGCCCAGCAAAATCCTCAGGTCTGTCTACCATTCTCCTATAGCCTAGCTCAGCCCAAAATTTCTTAGTCCCTTTAAATCACATTCTACCTTGCTCCTCCCAACATTGCCCACTCTGGAATCCAGTATCCATTACTTTTCCTAGTCCAACTAAGCAGCCTTCATCCCCAGTCTAATTGGTTGGGGGGACTGCCACACCTTCAGCTTCAGTGTATCTTCCCTCTTGGGAAGCTTCTGCTTTTCAACCCAAAATAAGGGTTCTCTTGTACCCAGGTAGCCCTCTTTTAAGCTGATTTTGGCTAGCATGCCAAGGAGCTTATCATTCACCCTAGTGTGCCCAGATTTTTTTCTAGCCTGAAATAAGTGAGCTGTCATCCAGTTCTGGCACTTTTGTGCTTCCGTTAGTACTGCAGGGAGTCATCCTCAAAGAGCATTATCACCACTGACCTGTCACCAGAAAGGCACAGTGATGATGATAAATTTGGACTGATTCATCCATATTCTTCCCCTGGTTGTTGCCCTTCTTTTCTTTCTTCCTCCTCCTCTTCCTCCCCTCCCTCCCTTCCTCTCTCTCTCCCTCCCTCCCTCTCTCCCTTCCTTCTCTTTTTCTCTCTTTTCCTTCCTTCTTTCCTCCCTCCCTCCGTCTCTTTCTCTTCTTTCTCTCCCTCTCTTTTTTCTTTTCTTTTCTTTTGACAGAGTCTCACTCTGTCATCCAGGCTGAAGTGCAGTGGCGTGATCTTGGCTCACTGCAACCTCTGCCTCCCTGGTTCAAGTGATTCTCCTGCCTCAGCCTCCCTGGTAGCTGGGACTATAGGCGCATTCCACCATGCCTGGCTAATTTTTTATTTTTAGTAGAAATGGGGTTTCACCATGTTGGTCAGGCTGGTCTCGAACTCCTGACCTCAGGTGATCTGCCCGTCTGAGCCTCCCAAAGTGCTGGGATTACAGACGTGAGCCACTGTGCCTGGCCCTTTTTTTTTTTTTTTTTTTTCTTTTGAGATAGGGTCTCACTCTGTTTCCCAGGCTGGAGTATAGTGATGCGATTTTGTTTTTTTTTTTAAGGGACGGTTTCGCCATTTTGCCCAGGCTGGTCTTGAACTCCTGAGCTCAAAGTGATCTGCCCGCTTCAGCCTCCCAAAGTGCTGGGATTGCAGGCATGAACCACCATGCCCCACCCCTCCCCTGGTTCTTCTAAGCAAGAGGATGTATTTGCAAGATGGTTGGCAGGGTCAGGAGTGCAGTCAGTGGCTATGGAAATAAAAGTTAGTTGTTGCTATGGTAAAACAGAGCTGCACCCTATCTAAAGGATGGACACAACACCAAAACTAGATTCCGGAATGTAACAAACTTATCATTCCTCAGACTCTCAAAGTAAATTTTTTTCTCAAGAATAACAAGCTCATGGATAGAATGAAGGATTTCATATCCTACTAATTTTTGAGTCAGATATCAGTTCCCTACTGGCCAATAATGTGAATATAAATATCAGAGTCCAGCCGGACATGGTGGCTCATGCCTGTAATCCCAGCACTTTGGGAGGCCGAGGTGGGTGAATCACCTGAGGTCGGGAGTTCGAGACCAGCCTGACTAACATGGAGAAACCCCGTCTCTACTAAAAATATAAAAAAATTAGCCGGGCGTGGTGGCGCATGCCTGTAATCTCAGCTACTCAGGAGGCTGAGGCAGGAGAATTGCTTGAACCCAGGAGGCGGAGGTTGCGGTGAGCCGGCAAGGTGCCATTGCACTCCAGCCTGGGCAACAAGAGTGAAACTCCGCCTCAAAATAAATAAATAAATAAATAAATAAATAAATAAATAAATAAATATCAGAGTCCATTCCCAAGGATCCCCAAAATAACATTTTTAGCATAAATACCTAAGAGTCACCATCAGACAGCCATGTCCACAAATCGTGTGGAAAAACCCCAGTTTATATTCAATTGAAAGTCTAAAATTATATCCTTTTTACTCTGAAAAATCTAAAATGTGGAAGAGAATCACTTCTGACTAGTATAAACAAAAAGTAATAAGCAATCATTTTAATACAGGATTTAATAAGTTGTCTTAATATTTCTGATAAATATTCAGATGATTACTTTGAAGTATTTTGAAATAAAGATACTTTCCATATTTCATAAAGCTACTTTTAATATATTAACATTTATTGCTCTTGAGTTCAAAGTATATCTTATTCTAGCCACCAAAACATTTAGAAAATAGAAAAAAAGGTAAAAACTAATTTTTTTATCTCTTATATTTCAGACACTTAATACCCTTACCCCATTCACTGAATCCAATTTCATTGCTATTTCCTTGTTTTGTCCTTTTGAGTGGTTCGGGATCTGCTTCAAATGACAAAGAGATGTGAGTAATAGGGTTCAACGTCTTTCTTATTTTCAGATTTAAAGCTCTTCAATGATGTAGCTCAAAATGAAAGTTCTTTCAATCCAACAACTTTGCAGAGATGCTGATCCCTCTCCCAGGTGAATCCTGGCCAGGCCTTTCTGACAATCCTGGGATACCCTGGGGCCAGTATAGAGTTCAAGGGCAGACCAGACTGGGGGAGGGGTTCCTGAGGGACCTGGAACCAGCATCACCAGCACAGTCAGAATTGCAACCTAGTGGCAAAGATAACTGTGAGAACAATCTCAAAGGTGGGGCCAGGACAGAAATGGTAGAATAAATAGCAGAGCTTGTGATGGTTATTATAGGATGGGACAAAACTCAAGGAGCAGTTGTAGAATGCAGTTCAGGACCAAGTCATTATTTTTGTTTAATCAACTTTTATTAAATGTGCTCTGGGTGCCAGGAACGCAAATATGAATGAGAGCTCTCTTGCCATTATGGAATTCACAAAGGAGACTGTGACTTGGCATGTTCCCTTTAGATGGTGCCTGGATTTGTTGGAGGAGTGGACATGGCAGCTTAAATGAGCCCTCTTGGGCTGTGCACAACCCAGAAATTTCGAGGTGTGCCAGTGTGTCTGTCTAGTATCATTGTGGGAGGATGTAGAGTCATTCTATGATTGTTTCTGACATCTCTGTAGCTCTGAGTCTTCTTAGAAGGAGCACTTTAAAAATCAGAGTTCTGGGCCAGGCATGGTGGCTCATGCCTGTAATCCCAGCACTTTGGGAGGCCAAGGTGGGCGGATCATGAGGTCAGGAGATCAAGACCATCCTGGCTAACACGGTGAAACCCCGTCTCTACTAAAAATACAAAAAATTAGCCAGGTGTGGTGGTGGCCGCCTGTAGTCCCAGCTACTCGGGAGGCTGAGGCAGGAGAATGGCGTGAACCCGGGAGGCGGAGCTTGCAGTGAGCCGAGATCGCGCCACTGCACTCCAGGCTGGGTGACAGTGCGAGACTCTGTCTCAAAAAAAAAAAAAAAAAAAAAAAAAAAAATCAGGGTTCTGGCAGGGTGTGGTAGCTCAGGTGTGTAATCCCAGCACTTAGGGAGGCTGAGGTGGGCAGTTCACTTGAGGCCAGGAGTTCGAGACCAGCTTGGCCAATGTGGCAAAACCCTGTCTCTACTAAAAAAATACAAAAATTAGCCGGGTGTGGTGGCACACACCTATAATCCCAGCTACGTGGGAGGTTGAGGCAGGAGAATCCCTTGAGCCCAGGAGGTGGAGGTTGCAGTGAGCTGAGATTGCTCCATTGCACTCCAGCCTGGGCGACAGAGTGAGACCCTGTTTCAAAAAGGCTGGGCGCAGTGGCTCAAGGCTGTAATCCCAGCACTTTGGGAGGCCAAGGCGGGAGGATCACCTGAGGTCACAAGTTCGAGACCAGCCTGGCCAACATGGCAAAACCCTATCTCTACTTAAAAATAAAAAAATTAGCTGGGCATGGTGACGCACCCCTGTAGTCCCAGCTACTGAGGAAGCTGAGGCAGGAGAATCCCTTGAACCCAGGAGGTGGAGGTTGTGGTGAGCTGAGATTGCCCCACTGCACTCTAACCTGGGTGGCAGAGTGGGACTCTGTCTCAAAACAAAACAAAAAAATCAGAGTTCTGAGTGAATTTTACTACTTACCCTTTGCCCTTAGCCTAGCTGAGCCTAGATGAAGGTTTGAGTAGAAGTGATTGGGAGGTGGACAGGCTGTGCAAGTTATAAGAAAACAAATTTGCTGGCCGGGCACGGAGAGAATCAAGGAGAATTGCTTGAACCCGGGAAGCGGAGGTTGCAGTGAGCCGAGATTTCGCCACTGCACTCCAGCCTGGCGACAGAGTGAGACTCCGTCTCAAAAAGAAGAAAAAAACAGCCAGGCGCGGTGGCTCACACCGGTAATCCCAGCACTTTGGGAGGCCGAGGCGGGCGGATCATGAGGTAAGGAGATCGAGACCATCCTGGCTAACACAGTGAAACCCTGTCTCTACTAAAAATATAAAAAATTAGCTGGGTGTGGTGGCACGCGCCTGTAGTTCCAGCTACTCGGGAGGCTGAGGCAGGAGAATTGCTTGAACCTGGGAGGCAGAGGTTGCAGTGAGCTGAGATTGCGCCACTGTACTCCAGCCTGGGAGACAGAGCGAGACTCCGTCTCAAAAAAAAAAAAAAACAACAAATTTGTTGACTGGGCGTGGTGGCTCACACATGTAATCCCAGCACTTTGGGAGGCCCAGGCTGACTGATTGCATGAGGCCGTGAGTTTGAGACCAGCCTGGCCAACATGGCAAAAATCCTGTCTCTACAGAAAATACAAAAATTAGCTGGGCATGGTGGCTAACACCTGTAGTCCCAGCTACTCGTGAGGCTGAGGCACGAATTGCTTGAACCTGGGAGGTGGAAGTTGTAGTGAGCAGAGATTGGGCCACTGCACTCCAGCCTGGGCGACAGCAAGACTCTCTGTCTCAAAAAAAAAAAAAAAAAAAAAAAAAGAAAACAAGACAAAACATTCTTTCATGTACATTCAATGGAAAAACTTCAAAATTGTTATCTGTTTATTTTCACATATGTGGCATTTCCTGTGATTGTTATGAACCTAATCCTGTATAAGGGTAGTTTGTCATCCCATTTGCCTTTCAGCTTTCAGAGAGCTGAAGTTAATGTGTTCAAAGCCCTTGTTGGTTCCATATTAACTAGCCATTAAAAGTGATATTATGTAATTTTTAATGACATGGAAATGTTTACAATGTATTGTAAAATGGGGAAGTTATAAAATAGGATATAATGTTTGATATCATTTTTGTAAGAAAAATCTTACTGGAAGGGTCTGTAGTTGTCTCTGAATGGTAGGATTATGAGTGATTTTTATTTTCTTTGTTTTCCCACATTTCTAAATGTTCTATAATGAACATATATTGCTTTTGTAATAGGAATAAACAAAATGTTATTTATTTAGAGATCTGATGGTGGTAAATAAGCTCTTGGGTGAGAAGTTTATTCTGAGCAAGCTCAGATATGGAACCACTGGGAATTTCCTGATGTGGAATCACTGTGGATTTGCTGGTGATGGGACTTACTTGACTGGGCCAAAATGTGAGGCATGCACTGGGAAACTAGCAGGAAACTAGCACTTGAAACTCAGCCTGAAGATGCTGAAAGACATGTATTTCCAGCACCCTTTAGAATTGATTGAGAATAGTTTAATTCTCTAGTGGTTTAAAGCAGATACAAATTACTTAAGGAACAGCTGCAGTTATGCCCTAAAAATTTAATTTTTTTTTTTTTGAGACAGAGTCTCGCTCTGTCGCCAGGCTGGAGTCAGTGGCGCGATCTCGGCTCACTGCAATATCCGCCTCCCAGGTTCAGGCAATTCTCCTGCCTCAGCCTTCCAATTAGGTGGGACTATAGGTGCGCGCCATCACGTCTAGCTAATTTTTGTATTTTTAGTAGAGACGGGGTTTCACCATGTTGGCCAGGATGGTCTTGATCTCTTGACCTTGTGATCTGCCCGCCTCGGCCTCCCAAAGTGCTGGGATGACGGGCGTGAGCCACCGCACCCGGCCGTAAAAAAAAAAAAAAAAATTATGGTTACTTTTATGTGTCCACTTGGCTGGTCAAACATTATTCTGGATGTTTCTGTGAGAGTGTTTTTGGATGAGATTTACATTTGAAAGGGTGGACTTTGGAGAAAGCAAATTGCCTTCCATAATGTGGGTGGGCATCGTCCAATCAGTTGAAAGCCTGAATAGCACAAAAGACTGACCTCCTCCAAGCAAGAGGGAATTCTTTAGCCAACAGACTTTGGACTTAAACCGCAATATTGGCACTTCTCTGGACTAGCCTGCTACCCACTCTGCAAATTTTGGACATGCCGACGTGCCAGCCTCCATAATTCTGTATTACTTTTCTCAGCCATAGGAATGAGGTGGTCTCAGGCCTCATATTCTGGGATCTAGCTTGGGAAATAGTTCCTCTTTTGGATAAAAATAGTCATTTTAAGCTCTCCACACTGGATGTGCCCATTGTTCAAGCAGACACCAAACTGTGCATACTTTTAATTCATTTGTATCCACTATTTTTGGTGGAAACATTTGTAGCTAAGCAGGCTAGACTTCTGGTTCTATTTCATATTCCCTCTACTTAGCTGAGTTGCTCTGCACTGCTGAAGTAGACACCTCTGCCTTAGTGGGCACTTACCCCATGTGAATCCTTGTCAGAGGAACTGGAGCCATGATACTGGTTTAGAGCACTCGTCTCTGAGGAAGGAGGAAAAGTTGAGTTGGCACTTTGATCAGAATGACTTAGAGCAGATTGTAGAAAGTTACAGTGGCTAAACTACATAGTGGTCTTGCATTGGGAGAGATATCAAAACACTGTAAGTATGAAATCATTAAAAAGACAAACCGATTGTGAAGACGGTTATGTCAAAAGATCCCCAAAATTATCATCCAAAACACTTTCTCTTAAGACAGACAATAATTATTACTCTAGTTGGTGGCCAAGCCAGAACTCAAAATTTCTGAGTCTTAAATTTCTTATCTCTAAAATAAAATTTCCGGCTGGGCATGGTGGCTCACACCTGTAATCCCAGTACTTTGCGCTAAGGCGAGTGAATCACCTGAGGTCAGGAGTTTGAGACAAACCTAGCCAACATGGTGAAACCCCATTTCTACTAAAAATACAAAAATTAGCTGGGCGTGGTGGTGCATGCCTGTAATCCCAGCTACTCTGGAGGCTGAGGGAGGCTGAGGCAGGAGAATCACTTGAACCTGGGAGGTGGAGGTTGCAGTGAGCCAAGATCATGCCACTACATTCTAGCCTGGGCGACAGAGTGAGACTGTCTAAAAATAAATAAATAAATAATAAATAAATAAATAAATAAAATTTCCTAGTTTCCTGGGGCCACGTGAATACTGTTAGTTCCTGCCAAGGAGAGCTGCCTACTAGGCAAGAAGACCAAACAGCAAAAATCTGTGGACTCTAAGTCCCAAAATGTAAGGCTCTCCCACATAAGGGATTTGTGTACTGAGGAGGCCCTCCAGAATTTACCTGAGATAACTTACATTTGGATGCTTGCAACCAAGAGAATTTTGGTGGCCTATTAGAGTTAGCAGAAGACAACAAGCAAGGAGAGAATTCTAACGTATATCAGAATTAGGAGTTAATTTGAAACACAGAACCAGTAGGGGATTTATTATAAAGAACTGGCTTCATTGCACTCCAGCCTGGGCAACAAGAGTGAAACTCCATCTCAAAAAGAAAAAAAAAATTGGCTTATGTTCTTGTGGGGGCTGGATAAGCAAGTCTGAAGTCTGCAGGCAGTCATTCAGGAAGGGGAGATTTAAGGGCCAGCTGGGGCCGGGAGCAGTGGTTCATGCCTGTAATCCCAGCACTTTGGAAGGCTGAGGCAGATGGATCACTTGAGGTCAGGAGTTCGAGACCAGCCTGGCCAACATGGCGAAACCCCACCTCTACTAAAATACAAAAATTAGCTGGATTTGGTGGTGGCTGTGGTGGGTGCCTGTAATCCCAAGTACTCAGGAGGCTGAGGCAGGAGAATTGCTTGAACCTGGGAGGCAGAGGTTGCAGTGAGCCGGGATTGCATCACTACACTCCAGCCTGGGCGACAGAGCAAGACTCTGTCTCAAAACAAACAAAAACAAAACAAAAGAGAAAGAACTGGTTAGAACCCCATGAGCACAGGATAATGCTTGTTGTCCACAGGCAGTAAAGAAAAAATCATGAACAGGCTAGAATCCCAAGGGCATAAGCTGTTTGGAGTCTCTGAATTTAAGAAAGGCCTAAGCCCTCACCTTTAAAGGGCTCCCCTTATTAAGTCAGGCCTACCCAGGATAAAGTCAACAGATTAGGGGCTATTTATTTATCAACACATTTACAGCAAACAAAAGGGACTTTTATCACATCTGCAAAATCTCTTCACAACAGCAACTTAGATAGATTAGTGTTTGATTAAGTAAATTGGAAAATGTAGTTCAGCATATCATAGGCTGGGTGTGGTGGCTTATGCTTATAATCCCAGCACTTTGGGAGGCTGAGGTTGGTGGATCACTTGAGCCCAGGAGTTTGAGATCAGCCTGGGCAACATGGCGAAAACCCATCTCTACAAAAAATACAAAAATTAGGTAGGCGTGATGGCAGGCATCTGAAGCCCCAGCTACTTAGGAGGCTGAGGTGGGAGGATCACTTGAGCCAGCCATATTCACTGGGTGACAAAGTGAATCTGGGGTGACAAAAAGCCATCATAGTCATAAAAAAGAATGAAATTATGTCCTTTGCAGCAACATGGATAGAGCTAGAGGCTATTATCCTAAGTAAAATAACTCAGAAACATAAAATCAAATACTGCATGTTCTGTCTTACAAGCTCTTATTAGTGGGAGCTAAACAATTACACATAAAGATGGAAATAATAGACCCTGGAGACTCTGAAACGGGTTAGAGTAGGTGGGAAGAGAGGGTTAAAAAATTACCTATTGGGTGCAATGCTCACTATTTGGGTGATGGATACACCAGAATCCTAAACCTTACCATTACATAATATATACATGTAACGAACCGGGCACGGTGGCCTGTAATCTCAGCACTTTGGGAGGCTGAGGCAGGCGGATCACCTGAGGTAGGGAGTTCAAGACCAGCCTGACCAGCATGGAGAAACCCTGTCTCTACTAAAAATACAAAATTAGCCGGGCGTGGTGGCACATGCCTGTAATCCCAGCTATTTGGGAGGCTGAGGCAGGAGAGTCGCTTGAATCCGGAGGTGGAGGTTGTAGTGAGCCAAGATCATGTCATTACACTCCAGCCTGGGCAACAAGAACGAAACTCCGTCTCAAAAAAAAAAAAAGATTATATATACACACACACACACGTAACGAATCTGCACATGTACTCCCTGAACCTAAAAAAAAATTATGCAATTATAATAGTACCTAATTTTTATTGCGTGCTAAATATACAAGTTATGCCATTTAATTTATATATATTTTATCATTATACTTTGTAATAATCATAGGTAATAAGTATAATTATCTTTTATACATGTAGAAACTAAAGTTTATGAAAACGAAATCATGTACCCAAAGTCATGATTAATAAGTAAAGTTGAACCCAACTTTTTTTTTTTACTTTAAATCCTGTGCTTTTATTTATTTTTATTTTTTATTTTTGAGACAAGTTCTCTGTCTCCCAGGCTGAAGTGCAGTGGTGCGATCTTGGCTCACTGCAACCTCCGCCTCCTGGGTTCAAGTGATTCTGGTGTCTTAGCCTCCCAAGTAGCTGGGACTACAGGCATGTGCCACCACTCCCAACTAATTTTCTGTATTTTTAGTAGAGACGAGGTTTTACCATGTTGGCCAGGCTGGTCTCAAACCCCTGACCTCAAGTGATCCGCCTGCCTCAGCCTCCCAAAGTGCTGGAATTACAGGCATGAGCCACTGCACCTGGCCCATTGTTAGTTTTTAAAAATACAGGATTTAGGCTGGGCGTGGTGGCTCATGCCTGTGATCCCAGCACTTCGGGAAGCCGCGGCGGGCGGATCACTTGAGGTCAGGGGTTTGAGACCAGCCTGACCAACATGGTGAAACCCCGTCTCTACCAAAAAAATACAAAAATTAGCCAGGCGTAGTGGCACATGCCTATGATCCCAGCTACTGTGGAGGCTGAGGCAGGAGAATCTCTTGAAGCCGGGAGGTGGAGGTTGCAGTGAGCTGAGATCATGCCACTGCACTCCAGCCTGGGGGACAGAGCGAGACTCCGTCTCAAAAATAAATAAATAACTAAAAACAAACAAAAGCTAACCATGGAAAATGATATTGATGGATCCAAGTGATACAGTTTGTTTCAACATATTGAGATATTGGATCCTTTTAAATTCTTTGTACTGCTCATGACCAGTTGCCATACACCGCAGAATGTCAATTGCCTACAAGGTAAATTTCACATCGGTCGACTTACCCTCCTGTCACTCCTGATAATGCACTCATGGTTTATGGGTTGTTTTAGTAGTATGTGGTGAACTATAAACTGTTACAATGGGAGGAGTTTTTTTTTTAAACCTCTTAAAAGTTGATGTATATATATCCTTACCACTAAGCATATCTTTTCAATTAGGCATGTGGCAATTCCTTTCTTGATGTTTTTAGGGAAAATGAGCCAAATAATATTTTAAAAAATGTATAAGCCAAGCTGGTTTCTATCCTTTCTTCTATTAAACTCAGGATCACACAAGTAGGCATGAGTGTGCACAATATTTATGCCTTGCATTGTTCTGAGAATTAGTAAAAGAATATCTTGAAAGCATGATATAACTTTGTATTTGTATCCAAAAATATACAAAGTTGTTGAATTAAAAAAAAAAAATAATGCAGCTGGGCGTGGTGGCTCACGCCTGTAATCCCAGCATTTTGAGAGGCTGAGGCATGCTTATTGCTTGAACCCAGGAGTTTGAGACCATCGTGGGCAACATGGCAAAACCCTGTCTCTACAGAAAGTGTAAAAAACAGCCAGGAGGGGTGGTGTACAAGTGTCTTAGCTGAGGCTGAGGTGGGAGGATTGCTTGAGCCCTGGAGGTCGAGGCTGCAGTGAGCAGTGATCACGCCACTGCACTCCAGCCTGCGCAACGGAGTGAGACCCTGTCTCAAAATAATTATTATTTGACATACCAAATTTGGGCACAGTGACTAGAAACAAAATTCCACTGAGTTGAGACAGCTAGGTTACAAAATTATTAGATTACAAAATATTAGGTTAGAAGTACTACTGCAGATGTTTAAACAAGGAAGAAAAATACACAAGTGGCTAGAGGTGAGGAAAGGCCTGTCTCTAAAAGACAGAATTTGTACTGGGCCTTTAAAGATGAACAATGTTGGCCGGGCGCGGTGGCTCACGCCTGTAATCCCAGCACTTTGGGAGGCCGAGGTGGGCAGATCACAAGGTCAGGAGATCGAGACCGTCCTGGCTAATACGGTGAAACCCTGTCTCCACTAAAAAAAATACAAAAAATTAGCCGGGCGTGGTGGCGGGAGCCTGTAGTTCCCAGCTACTCGGGAGGCTGAGGCAGGAGAATGGTGTGAACCCGGGAGGTGGAGCTTGCAGTGAGCCGAGATTGTGCCACTGCGCTCCAGCCTGGGCGAAGAGTGAGACTCCGTCTCAAAAAAAAAAAAAAAAAAAAAAAAAGATGAACAGTGTTTACAAAGTTGGAGCAGAAGGGAAACTGGTGAGAATAAAAGCTTAGGGTATATATGGAGAATGAGGACAGGGAAGACACTGGACTGACTGCTCAGAGCAAGGTAGGCGTGTTGAAGACCTAAGTACTGATAGGAGCTAGATTAGCCAGGGTATTGAGAGCCTGGCAGAGGAGTTGAAATTTGATAAGGTAGAGATAGGAAATCACTGTAGGTTCTTGAATGGGGAAAGCTTGAGAAGTTTTTGTTTTTGTTTTGAGTCTTTTAAAGGAAGAGCAATGTGACAGTGGGATAATATAAATTTTAGAGAGGGACTGGGATTCAAGGGAGGCTAGTTAGGATGCTGTTGCAATATTCTAGATGGGAATTCACAATAACCCAAACCACAATTATAAAAGTTACATAGAATTGGAGGAGAAAGGGAAAAACAGGAATATTTCAAAGACAAAAACAGTAAGATTAGTGACCAAATGCAAGTAAGATGGCAGAAAAGATAATTCACAGTATTCCCTGATTTCTAGCTTGGGGAACTGGAAAAATTGTGGTATCACAGACATAAATGAGGACATTAGGGAAAAAAATCTATTTGGGAGAACAAGACTATTCAGTTTGGGATTGTTGAAGCTATGATTTGACATGTCCTGGCAAAAGTTGGAAATAAAGAACAGTCAGATTAGCCTGATAGTGGTGTGCAGGAAGAAGGACTGCAAATGGGACATCCAGGCTAGGAAATAGAAGGGTTTGGAGGCACAGGTGATATTTTTTTCATGACTTCTTCCAGCTGAAGGTGGTGCCTTTTAGAAAAGAAAGGAGTAAATAGGAATAGAACAGTTAGCTCCCCAGATGGTGTCGAAGAACAAAATGAGATTTTATTTCTGGGCCATTGTTTAAGATCCTGGAACCGATGAGTTTTTGGCAAGAAATCAGGGAGTCACGAGGAAGAAAAAAAAAGATTTTTTTTCTTTTTCTTTTTTTTTTTTTGAGATGGAGTCTTGCTCTGTTGCTGATGCTGGAGTGCAGTGGCACAATCTTGGCTCACTGCAACCTCCGTCTCCTGGGTTCAAGCAGTTCTCCTACCTCAGCCTCCTGAGTAGCTGGGATTACAGGCACCTGCCACCATTCCCAGCTAATTTTTGCATTTTTAGTAGAGACAGGATTTTACCATGTTGGCCAGGCAGGTCTCGAACTCCTGACCTCAGGTGATCTGCCTACCTCGGCCTCCCAAAGTGCTGGGATTACAGGCATGAGCCAGCGTGCCTGGTCTCTTTTTTGTTTTTTAAGCGGGAGGAGAGGATCATTGGGAGGGAAATAGGAAATTGTTGAAAGGAAGGAAAGAAAGAACCAAGTGAAAAAATAAAGGTCTAAAAGAAATAATAATATTGTAGAAGATACCCAGTGTTTCATAAAGTTGTTATAGGTGAAAGGAAGCCAAATTTATTGCTAACATTTATTGAGAGTTTACTATATGCCAGCACTGTGGCAAATTGTTTATATGCATTATTTTATTTAATTCTTACAGTAAGTTCAACTTTTTTTCCCACTTGACATTATATAGTGGACATCGTTTTTGTTTTGTTTTGTTTTGAGACAGAGTCTCGCTCTGTCACCCAGGCTGGAGTGCAGTAGCACAATCTTGGCTCACTGCAACCTCTGCTTCCTGAATTCAAGTGATTCTCATGCCTCAGCCTCCCGAGTAGCTGGAATTACAGACACATACCACCAGGCCCGGCTAAATTTAGTATTTTTAGTAGAAATGGCATTTCACCATGTTGGCCAGGCTGGCCAACTCCTCTCAAACTTCTGGCCTCAAGTGATCCGCCCGCCTCAGCCTCCCAAAATGCTGGGATTACAGGTGTGAGCCACCGTGCCTACACTGTCATTTTTAATAGATAGCATAGTATTCCATTGTATGAACATTCATTGTAGTAAGCTACAATGAACTCTCCTGTATGTACATTTTCCCCACATTTTTTGGTATATTCTTTTTCTTAAGTAACAGATAAACATTTTAATTCTATTTTTGGATAATATCACAATTCAAAAATAAAAATGTAAAAAAATAAATAACAAAAAGGTTTTCTTCCATTCTTGTTCCTCCTGTCACCTGAACCACCATTAGTTTTCTTGGCATCTTTATATAATTTCTTTGTTATGTAAACAAATATAAATACGTATTCTTATTCCCCCCCTTTTTTATTCAGAATGTAAAAAGCATCTTGTGATCATCTCTTTAGCATAAAATCTTAAAAGTGGTATTGCTGAGTAGAGGATAGTTAAAATCTTAATACATATGGTCCAACTGTTCACGAGAGAGGTTGTACAATTTAACCTTTCTACCAACAATGCATGAGTGTTACTAAATTCATGTTATTTATGTTCTAATTTCAGTGTATTTTTATATCTCAAAACTTATGGGGAGTCCAGAATAAATGTTTAAAAATCACTATAATTTATAAGGTGAATTCTGGTATTATACAGAATTGATTATACAAAATACTTTGGACTTAACTAATAATTTATAACAGGCAAATGGACCCAATGAGAAGGAAAGGTTTGACCTAAGTTATTATTTATCTTTCTGTGTTTTGCTTGTTGGATAGGTGGAGAAACAGGTAGGAATGAAAAGATGGAAAAATCCGTTTGTGGTATAAAGATAGAAGATAGAGCTGAATTAAACAAGTAAGCAAAGAGAAATGGAGACAGACTTCAGATGAGAGTGAAAAAAGGGTAAACAATTCCAGTAGGTACCATACATCTGATAAGGCATATTGCCAGATCATCTCTAATTTCTTTTTTTTCTGGACTACTGTTACAGCCTCTACTTTCTATCATTGAATTGATGCATATGATTATAATAGAAATTAAATTTTCAATGAAATGAATGTCTTTTTGTCAATTTTTTTCTTTAAATAGAATTGATTATCTGAAGAAATGGATACTTCTCCCTCCAGAAAATATCCAGTTAAAAAACGGGTGAAAATACATCCCAACACAGTGATGGTGAAATATACTTCTCATTATCCCCAGCCTGGCGATGATGGATATGAAGAAATCAATGAAGGCTATGGAAATTTTATGGAGGAAAATCCAAAGAAAGGTCTGCTGAGTGAAATGAAAAAAAAAGGGAGAGCTTTCTTTGGAACCATGGATACCCTACCTCCACCAACAGAAGACCCAATGATCAATGAGATTGGACAATTCCAGAGCTTTGCAGAAAAAAACATTTTTCAATCCCGAAAAATGTGGATAGTGCTGTTTGGATCTGCTTTGGCTCATGGATGTGTAGCTCTTATCACTAGGCTTGTTTCTGATCGGTCTAAAGTTCCATCTCTAGAACTGATTTTTATCCGTTCTGTTTTTCAGGTCTTATCTGTGTTAGTTGTGTGTTACTATCAGGAGGCCCCCTTTGGACCCAGTGGATACAGATTACGACTCTTCTTTTATGGTGTATGCAATGTCATTTCTATCACTTGTGCTTATACATCATTTTCAATAGTTCCTCCCAGCAATGGGACCACTATGTGGAGAGCCACAACTACAGTCTTCAGTGCCATTTTGGCTTTTTTACTCGTAGATGAGAAAATGGCTTATGTTGACATGGCTACAGTTGTTTGCAGCATCTTAGGTGTTTGTCTTGTCATGATCCCAAACATTGTTGATGAAGACAATTCTTTGTTAAATGCCTGGAAAGAAGCCTTTGGGTACACCATGACTGTGATGGCTGGACTGACCACTGCTCTCTCAATGATAGTATACAGATCCATCAAGGAGAAGATCAGCATGTGGACTGCACTGTTTACTTTTGGTTGGACTGGGACAATTTGGGGAATATCTACTATGTTTATTCTTCAAGAACCCATCATCCCATTAGATGGAGAAACCTGGAGTTATCTCATTGCTATATGTGTCTGTTCTACTGCAGCATTCTTAGGAGTTTATTATGCCTTGGACAAATTCCATCCAGCTTTGGTTAGCACAGTACAACATTTGGAGATTGTGGTAGCTATGGTCTTGCAGCTTCTCGTGCTGCACATATTTCCTAGCATCTATGATGTTTTTGGAGGGGTAATCATTATGATTAGTGTTTTTGTCCTTGCTGGCTATAAACTTTACTGGAGGAATTTAAGAAAGCAGGACTACCAGGAAATACTAGACTCTCCCATTAAATGAATACCTGATTATTATTGTCTCATTAATGTTCAGTTATTATGTATACTGCCATTTTAATGTTTACCTATGAATGTCTTTTGTGTTATATAACTGACAGAGTGCTATAAAATATATAATATATACAAATGCAGAAAATTTATTCTAGTCTAATATATTCAAATACAAATATTAAATATATGAAATACGTTATGAATCTGGTATCTTTATTGGTATTTATGGGTGTCTTTCCAGGTAAATTGTAGTAGAAGGAGAATGTTAACTGCTATTACTAAATAATAGAAGACTCAAAGAAATGACCCCTTTCAGATGGAACTGAAGTTCAAAAATTAGAAATGTTCTACAAATGTTCAACAAAACTCCTTCATTTGTGAAAAATACACTATAAGGTGAAATGTTGAACACCAAACCCTGTTTTGTCATCTACTTGCATTAGAAAACTAGAAGTCATAGGGCTGGGTAAAGGAGCCTGGGTTGAGGCAAGAAAAGAGGAAAGAAGGGAAAATAAGTGGTTTTTTAATGACAATGGGTGGCTGTCCAAAGTTAGAACAGGAAATTGGTTTTCTCCTTATTATGAGCACATTAGGCGATACATAGGAAATAGAAATAGGGAGAAGTGTGGATTCTTGCCAGTCCTACCTAGCCCATGCCATTTTGTCCCTGATGTTTGGAGACCTAACGTTGGGGTAGGGTCTGCTTATCCTCAGTTATGTAGATCTCTTCCAAGGCTGCCCTTGTTTATGATTTTGTGGCTAGTGTATGTGTGAGCTGCAGTAAAAGTACTCCTTACTCCTGAAAAAGGCACCAACAGTAATCATAATGTAGCAGAAAATTGACATGGTATCCTGAGATTCTTTTCAAAAAGGTCTAAAAGTCTGTAAAAGCACATATGATGGCATTAAGTCTAATTTTGGCCATTCTTACCAATTTAGCACAAATAAATGATATGGTACTGTTTATTAAACTATTGTCTCAGGTCCACATTCCCCCTTCTATACATTTCTCTGTAATGCTGTGGCTCAAACCCTGCAAACTACATTTTTTTCTATGTCAGCTGGTGTCTCACTAGGTTCCATCAATAAAGGGCATTAGAGGGAGACTGGAAGGCAGAAGGGAAGAAGGGACTTCCTCCTTTCCATTTGTTTGCAGTTTCTGTCACTGTTATCCCAGCAACAAGCAAGAGCCCTTTGCTCCAGCAGCAGCAATTGATTTCAGCCTTGAGCTTCTTTTGACATCCTCCCCATCCACAACTAGCCTCATCATATCCTTCCCTGAAGTAGTAGGATCAGCCAGACAGCATCCTCTCAGGGGTCTGAGCAATACTCAGCCAGGTCATTTGTCTGAGTTTCTGAGACCTGATAATCCACCTTGAGTCCCCATTTTCACTAGATCTATCATTGACAGCTGCTCCCTGCAGTTATCACCTCTGGGTAACCTCAGTGTTCCGTTTTTGCTTTTTCAGTCAATGAAAACTCAATACTAAATCCTCTCTGTAGTAATATCATCTAATTTCTGATTTCCTGACTAACATATCTCTAAACCTTCCCCAAAGGAAACTACAGCCATCAGCAGGGTACTGTGCTTTGGGAAAATGTCAACATTTAGATTTTTTCAGGGATTACTAGACAGTGGCTCTCAATAGAAATTATACAAACTGAAAAAAGAATGAACAGAGCCTGAATGACCTGTACTAAGTACTGAGAAGTCTAGCATGAGTGTAATTGTAGTCCCAGAAGAAGAGGAGAAACAGAATGGGACAGAAAAAAAAATTTGAAGAAATACTGGACAAAAGTCTTCCAAATTTGATAAAAAAAAAAAAAGAAAAGAAAAGAAAATGAGAAACCAGCAATCCACAGACCCAGGGAATGAAATGAACCCCAAGCAGGATAAATACAAAACCAAAACCAAAACAAACATCACAGTGTAATGAAACATCACAGTGTAATGAAACATCACAGTGTAACTTTTGATAAATATAATGAAAATCTTATAAGCATTCATAGAAAAAGACACCTAGAAACATCAGTGTTAACTTTTGATAAATATAAACAAAATCTTAAAAGCATTCATAGAAAAAGGCATAAGACATACAAGAAAACAATGATAAGAATTACAACTAGTTTCTCACAGATATAATGGAGGCTGGAAAACGAGAATGACATCTTTAAAGTGCTGAAAACAAAAACAAAAACCCTTTGAATGGCTTCTCATTGCCTATAGGATAAACTCTAAGGTGCCTGACTTCCATAACCTGGTTATTGATTATATTTCTAGCTATCTTCTGCTCTAGCAATATTCTACTATCGTTTAATACCTTTTTATTATGCAGGCTCCTCTATGTGGACAGATTTTTTCTAGTTAATTGCCTGACTAACCTGGCCACACAACTCCTTTCCCCTGTGGCTTAATGTCCTCCTTGCACTGGACTGTCTATAACAATTTCTAACTATAAGCTATCAGGTTTCTGGGAAAGGTCTTGACATGGAGGCTCATTTTTCCCTTTCTTGTGTTCCCAAATTCTTTTATTTTGGATTAATAAAGTAAGCCACCTGCGTGTTTTTAATCATAGACAGATTAGCTGCCCATATCCAAAGCTCCACGTGTAGTCCCTAGATAAGTTTTGTTTTTGTTTTGAGATGTGGTGTGATCATAGCTCATTGCAGCCTCAAATTCCTGGGCTCAAGCCATCCTCCCACCTCAGCCTCCAGAGTGGCTGGGACTACAGGCACATGCCACTATGCCCAGCTGATTAAAAAAAATTTTGTTTTGTAGAGACAGGGTCTAGCTCTGTTGCCAGGGCTGATCATAAGTTTTGACTTACATTTTCTTGTTGCCTGATTCTGGTTAGTCCCTGATCCACTCAGCACTAATTAGCAAGGATGATTCCTGTTTTTGGTTTGAGTTCCCCTGAAAGAGAGGAAGCAGCAGCCATGTGCATGTTTATATTTGGAAGCTGGGGAGACAGACTGTGTGAAAGGAAGTCTCTGGGACAGCTCCCACCCCATTAAAACATGTACTGCATCCCTTCTAAGTGCAATTACATACATGCCTTTCTGCCTATCTGCCCTTCCAGTCTATGCTTTCCTTTTTCATTGCTGTTTGCTTATTTTTCTTCTTTGACTCCTCTTTTGCATATATTTTTGGAGGTTTCTTAAATTTTTTTAAAGAGTTCCTGTTAAGAATGAGTGATGAGAAAGATTAAAGAAGGAAAATTAAGAGGATAAACTAGCTGGGTGCTGTGGCTCACGCCTGTAATCCCAACACTTTGGGAGGCTGAGGTGGGTGGATCACCTGAGGTCAGGGGTTTGAGACAAGCCTGGCCAACATTGTGAAACCCCGTCTCTACTAAAAATACAAAAAATTAGCCAGGTGTGGTGGTGTGTGCCTGTAGTCCCAGCAACTTGGGAGGCTGAGGCAGGAGAATTGCTTGAACCCGGGAGGTGGAGGTTGCAATAAGCTGAGGTGGTGCCACTGCACTCCAACCTGGGCAAAAAAGCGAGACTCCATCTCAAAAAACAAACAAACAAACAAAAACCCTAAATGTATGACTTCAGCATACTTTTTGCTGGGTTAATTTTCCCCACTTAAGGTGGTGGTAAGCTACATGAAGGCAAGAACTGTATTTCTGTATTTTACCTGTTGTATTTATATTCACACCTTCTGCCTCCATCGTATGTTAAATATGTAATTAGAATTAAAATTGAGTCACGCTGTGCTAACAGTTTGATGGGTGATTTTGCAGCAACAGTTTTAACTCTGGACAAGTTTCTTCAAAAATGAATATAATATCTCAGTCTGTAAACTTTATAAAATGTATCAACAAATAAAACCATTGTATTAGCTTGGGCTGCCATAATAAAATACTAGATTGGGTGGCTTACACAACAGAAGTTTATTTTTTCAAAGTTATGTAGGTTGGGAGGTCCAAAAGAGGGTGCCAGCATGGTCAGTTTTGGGTGAGGGCTCTCTCTCTGGCTTGCAGATGTCTGTCTGCTTGCTGTGTTCTCAAATGGAGAGAGCTCTCTGGTGCCACTTTCTATAAAGACATTAATCTTATGGGATTAGGGCCCCACCCTTATGACCTAATTTAATTTTTATTACCTCCCTAAAGGCCTAGCTCCAACTAGAGATGGTCCCTGACTTAAGATTTTTTTGACTTTATGATGGTCCAAAAGCCATATGCACTCTAGAATCTGTACTTTGAGTACCCATAAAACCATCCAGTTTTTCATTCAGTATTTAGTAGATTACATGAAATACTCAATACTTTATTAAAAAATAAGCTTTGTATTAGATGATTTTGCCTAACTGAAAGCTAATGTAAGTATTCTGAGCATGTTTTAGGTAGGCTACTCTAAGCTATGATGTTTGGTAGGTTAGAAGCATTAAATGCATTTCTGACTTAAGATCTTTTCAACTTAAGGTATTTTCAGTTTATGGTGGGTTTATTGGAACATAACCCCTTTGTAAGTTAAGGAACATTTATATAGTCACATTAGGAGTGAGGGCTTCAGTATGAATTTTTGGGGGGGATGCAATTCAGTCCATACCAGTCATGATAAAATATGCAGTTATTTAAACCCTTAGAATAAACTCAAAATTCACCGCCATTATTCACTTTGGATGCTAATAACAGAATGTAGACATAGAGTAGCTGTTGCCCAGTTTCATGGTCTACTTGTCCCAGTCAACCTGAGGATAGTACAGCATAAATAGGTAAATTTGTGCTTGACCTTGTGATCCTACATATGGCAGGCTGTCTTAGTCCCTTTAGTGTTGCTAGAAAGGAATACCCAAAGCTGGATAATTTAGAAATAGAAAAGGTTTTTCGGCTTATGGTTCTGATGTCTGGAAAAGTTCAAGACTGAGCATCTGCATCTGATGGTAGCCTAAGACTGCTTCTACTCATGCCAGAAGGCAAAGGAGAGCTGGTGTGTGCAGAGATTACATGGCCAGAGAGGACGCAAAAGAAGAAAGGAAGTGCGACGTTCTTTTTAACCAGCTCTGGTGGAAATAAAGAGAACTCATTTACCCTCTCCCCAGGGAGGACATTAATCTATTCCTGAAGGAACCACCTCCATGACCCAACACTGCCCATTAGTCCCCACCTCCAACATTGGGGATCAAATTTCAACAGGAGGTTTAGGGGAACAAACATCTAAATTACAGCACAGGCCAACCACATGCATGCATTACCAATCACGTAAATAATTTTGAAGTTAAATGCAGAAAACTGCAAACTTTTGAGGCTGATATCCAGGGCCAGGATTAAAATAAAAAGTATTAATGCCTTAAACAGTATTTACTGACCATCTACCCTACTGCAAGGCCCTAGGGAGAAACTGAACAGACATGGTTACTGATTCAACGGAGTTTACAATCTAGGTAGACATACAGGCAAACCATTTCAATAGCTCGGATGGAGAAAACACCTGTGCTCCAAGGAAGGTACCTAACTGAGCAAGCTTCCCTGAGGAGCGATCCTAAACTGTGCCACAAAGATGGTTAAGAAGAGATGAGGCGGCTGGGCGTGGTGGCTCACGCCTGTAATCCCAGCACTTTGGGAGGCCGAGGCTGGCGAATCACGAGGTCAAGAGATCGAGACCATCCTGGTGAAACCCCGTCACTGCTAAAAATACAAAAACATTAGCTGGGCGTGGTGGTACATGCCTGTAATCCCAGCTACTCGGGAGGCTGAGGCAGGAGAATAGCTTGAACCCGGAGGCGGAGGTTGCAGTGAGCCGAGATCGTGCCACTGCACTCCACCCTGGCGACAGAGCGAAACTCGTTTCAAAAAAAAAAAAAAAAGAGGCAGGTTACGGCGCGGGGGCGGGGAAGGGGGCCTGCAGCACCGGCGAGGGGAAGAACCAACTTACTGATGCCTCAGCCAGTGGCTGGAGCCCTAAGAATGGACAGACCTGGCTCCGAAGGTCCTCTTCATAACACTACTGCCGCCAAGAATGTAAGCTGCCCAAGCACGAGGACACTTTTAGAGGGCCCTCAGACTCAGCTTCTTTTGGTCTGTGCCTCAAATTAAGCACATGTCTTACATTTCTCCCAGGTCCCAATTTTCAGGTCTGCTTTTCTTTGTTTTTCTTTGTCGCTCCCCGCTCCTAAGAACCTTCGGCTGGGATGACATTCTTCAGGTGCAGAAACCAGGGGGAAGCTCCCAGAGCAGTGGGGGCTGAACTCAGGACACAGTCATTTTTGCTGTTAAGTCTCTCCTGCGGCGCTGAGGAGGCAGGCTCAAAGTAACCAACCAGAGCAGCCGCAGAGGGAAAAGCTAAGACAGTTCTGGTCCGGCCCAGCGCTTCTCACCCTCTAGCTCTCTACTCTCCGCCGCGCAGCCTCCGCTCCCTCCACATCAGGCACGGCGCTTGATTGACATGAGGGCCCGCCCAATCCCAGTGCGGCAGAGACCGTTGTCGCGTCAGGGACCGGGGAAGGGGGCGACTGAACCTATCAGATTGGGTCCAGAGTGGGTTTCCTGCCCGCGCGGATCCGCCTGCCCACCGCGCGTGCCCCGCCTCTCTCCCAAGAGCTACGCGGCGGCGGCGGAGCGCAGGCCTCGTGCCGTTACGGCCATCACGGCGGCCGCAGTGGCGTCCTGGAGCCCTCCTCAGGTGAGCTGGAGCTGCCCGGCTCGGCAGCGGGAAGGTGAGACGGCCTTGTTGGCAGGCAGACACACACACACCCCCCTTCAGTCCGCTGTCCGTCCATACAGCCTGTTACTCGCTGCGTCGCTTCCTCTTCTCGCGCTGAGTTAGCCCCGGGGGCGCCGTCTGCAGGCTCGGAGCCGAGCCGGAGGGGGCGCGGAGGCTGCTCGGAGGGTCCAGACTTCTGCACCGGGATTCCGCGAGACCCTCGGGCCGTTGCCCCAGGGAGCGTGACCCCGCGGCCTCCTTGTCAGCCCCTGGAGCGCTGTGTCGGGCTGAGAGCCCGGGCGGCCGCCCGTGCGAGCCTGGGAGGTCGAGTGTGCGGCGCGCTGGTTGACTTGTCTGTTTTCTCATGAAAAAGTCCTTTTGCCAGCTGTGGCGTAATCCGAGGCCGGGAAGGTAGGGACGTGGTAGGAGGAAGGGCGCTCTCACCTCCAGCCCGAGAGGAGGGGAGGCGTCAGCCTGCGCGGTGCTGCGGGTGGACATCTTCGGGACGCGCCCTCTCCCCTCCCCCCACCCACCGGCCGTTTTCTAGTCTGGGGCTGTGACTTTAATGGTCTGGACCTGCTTCAGATTCGTACGCGAGTTGCTGGGGCTGTGAACTTTTGACTTGAGTTGTAATATGTTTGGTAAAACAAAAAACCATTTCGATAGGTTTTGTAACCTTTCTTCTGTATTAACATACAAGTTAAATTCGCCGTTAGAAGCTCAGGAAGCTGGGTTTTGTTCAGGGGTGAGGACGTAACCGTAGGAACGCTCTCGGTGTCAAACTGATGGACCCGGAGTCACCTGAAAATAATTATGCACGTTAGATTAGGTAAGAAGCCCTAGAAATTAGGAAAGAATTAGGTTAAAGAGAATTTCCTAACTCCTCTTTGGGTAGGGAGCAAAGCAGCTCAATGTCCTCCCAAAACGGGTGTTGCCAAAAGGTACTCATTTTTAAAATTTTACTTTGATAGACGTATGACAAACCAACTATAACGATTTCTTCAGCACCTGGAAACCAGTGTGCCTAGACTCTCAGCCTTCGGCGAGGTCACACAGTAAACGGAGAAATAACCTAAGAAGAAAGTTTTGTTTGGTAATTGTCAATAATATTCGTTCTTTTCTTTTTAAAACACTTAATTTTCTTGTGGGGGGTGGAGTCTGTGATATTCTTAAATAGGCATCCCATTCACAACTTGATAGTAATATGCACTGGTTGATAAATGGTGCTTTCTTTTCATCTTGACCACAAACTCTGAGACTTCTTTGGGAAAATTGTGATCTGTGGAAATTGGCTGTAATATCCATAAACATAGTTTGCAGAGTGTTCACATCTACTCAGCTGTTGGCTCATGTATTAAATTTTAAAATGTGTACTTATTTTTCTAGGCATTATCTTTTGTCCAGGTTTTGACAGTGCTTTCAGGTCCATCTAAATAAAATTTGAAACCTACGTGTAATGTTTTGTTCGATACTGAGGGAGTCCAGGCGGGGTAGCTCAAACCTGTAATCCCAGCACTTTGGGAGGCTGAGGCGGGCGGATCACGAGGTCAGGAGATTGAAACCACCCTAGCAGACACGGTGAAACCCCGTCTCTACTAAAAATACAAAAAAGTAGCCGGGCGTGGTGGCGGGCGCCTATAGTCCCAGCTACTCGGGAGGCTGAGGCAGGAGAATGGCGTGAACCCGGGAGGCGGAGCTTGCAGTGAGCCGAGATCGCGCCACTGCACTCCAGCCTGGGCGACAGAGCGAGACTCCGTCTCAAAAAAATAAATAAAATGTGTATTTATTTTTCTAGGCATTATCCTTTGTCCAGGTTTCTGCAGTGCTTTCAGGTCCATCTAAATAAAATTTGAAACCTACGTGTAATGTTGGCCGGGCTCGGTGGCTCACGCCTGTAATCCCAGCACTTTGGGAGGCCGAGGCAGGCGGATCACGAGGTCAGGAGATCGAGACCAGCCTGGCCAACACGGTGAAACCGCGTCTCTACTGAAAATACAAAAATTATCCGGGCGTGGTGGCACGCACCTGTAATCCCAGCTACTCGGGAGTCTGAGGCAGGAGAATTGCATGAACCCGGGAGTCGGAGGTTGCAGTGAGCCAAGATCGCCACTGCACTCCAGCCTGGCAACAGAGCAAGATTCCGTCACACACACACAAAAAAAAAACAGAAACAAAAAAAACCTATGTGTAATGTTTTGTTAGATACTGAGGGAGACCAGGCGGGGTAGTTCAAGCCTGTAATCCCAGCACTTGGGAGGCCAAGGCGGGAGGATAGCTGGAGGCCAGGAGTTTGAGATCAGCCTAAGCAATGTAGTGATACCCTGTCTCTAAATTAAGAAAATATAAAAAAATTTAAAAAGGAAAATAATAAAGAAAAGAGATACTTAGTGATACTTCATGGTTCTGGGTTTTTTTCTTTTCTTTTTTTTTTTTTTTTTTGAGACAGAGTCTCTGTTGCCCAGGCTGGAGTGCAGTGGCACGATCTTGGCTCACTGCAACCTCTGCCTCCCGGGTTCAATCGATTCTTGTGCCTCGGCCTCCTAAGTAGCTGGGACTACAGGTGTGTGCCACCATGCCTAGCTAATTTTTTTGTATATATATATATTTTTCTTTTTCTTTTGTTTGTTTTTTTTTTTGAGACGGAGTCTCACTCTGTTGCCCAGGCTGGAGTGCAGTGGCGGGATCTTGGCTCACTGCAACCTCTGCCTGCCGGGTTCAAGCAATTCTCTGCCTCAGCCTCCCCAGTAGCTGGGATTACAGGCGCCTGCCACCACGCCTGACTAATTTTTGTATTTTTAGTAGAGGCAGGGTTTCACCATCTTGGCCAGGCTGGTCTTGAACTCCTGACCTCGTGATCCACCTGCCTCGGCCTCCCAAAGTGCTGGGATTACAGGCATGAGCCACCACGCCCGGCCTGTATTTTTAGTAGAGACGGAGTTTCACCATGTTGGCAAGGCTGGTCTCGAACTCCTGACCTCAAGCAATCTGCCCACCTCCGCCTCCCAAAGTGCTGAGATTACAGGTGTGCGCCACCGTGGCTGGCCTATATTCATTTTTCAAAAATTTTCTAGAGTTTTACATTTTCATTGCTTTGTACTTTTACTTTGTCTTATTTTACTTTTTCACCATGTGTTTTTCAAAGCTGAAGGTATATTTGATGTGATTATTATAAATCACTTGTCAGGAAGACTTGACTTAATGAATACAGATACAGTTCATTTTTAAAATCATGGTTTAATAATTTTTAGAATTTACCTTTATAATATAGAAAAATACCAAATGTTCTTTATCTGCACTAGAAAATTAAATGATTATTTCATTAATAAGTAAAATTGAAGGGAACTTTTGAAATCACTGAGCAGTTAACAAATTCTCTATAAATACTGTGATGTTAGGAAGACAACAAGGCTAAATATGACATTTAAAGATTTAAGGAAACTTTATGTCTGGCTGATCCTCACCTTAAACTCTAATGAAGATAGAATTTATAGTCTTCCCTTCAAAACTGATTCCATATGCTGACTTTGTTTTGGTGACATTACCATGCTTTCAATTACCCAGACACAAACTTTGGTTTTATCTCTATGCGTGTAACAATATTGGCTGATTTTTGCCAGCCATTTTTATCTTTGAACTACTCACTAGCCTTTAATTGGGTTTTTTGCTTGATTTTTCTCTCTACTTAGTATGTCTTCCTAAATCTTAGAATTATGCTTCAAACACATCCTTCACTTTTCGGAAACCAGTGATAACTCTCTGTTATCTTCAGAGTATAGTTCAGAATTCATAGCCTAATAACAGTCTGCTCAAACCTGTTTTTCTGGGGCCAGCACTATTTCTTTCTTTTTTTTTAATCAGTGCCAGCACTATTTCTTTATAGGAGCTGTCCACTCTAACCAAACCAATCTCTGATTCTTATTTACTCTTTGTATTTTTGTACCTTCGTATCATTCCTTTTTCTTTCTTTCTTTCTTTTTTTTTTTTTGAGACAGAGTCTCGCTCTGTTGCCCAGGCTGGAGTGCAATGGTGCGATCTCGGCTCCCCGTAACCTCTGCCTCCCGGGTTCAAGCGATTCTCCTACCTCAGCCTCCCTAGTAGCTGGGACTACAGGCATGCGCCACCATGCCTGGCTAATTTTGTATTTTTAGTAGAGACGGGGTTTCTCCGTGTTGGTCAGGCCAGTCTTAAACTCCTCACTTCAGGTGATCTACACATCTCAGCCTGCCAAAGTGCTGGGATTACAGGTGTGAGCCACTGTGCCTGGCCTCTTTCTTTCTTCTTTTTTTTTTTCTTTGAGGCGTCTCACTCTGTCACCCAGGCTGGAGTGCAGTGGCACCATCTTGGCTCACTGCAACCTCCGTCTCCTTGGTTCAAGTGATTCTCCTGTGTCAGTCTTCCGAGTAGCTAGGATTACAGGTGCATGCCACCACGCCTGGCTAATTTTGTATTTTTAGTAGAGATGGGGTTTCACCATGTTGGCCAGGCTGGTCTTGAACTCCCGACCTCAGGTGATCCACATGCGTCGGCTTCCCAAAGTGTTGGGATTACAGGCGTGAGCCACTGTGCCCGTCCAGTTTGCCTAGTCTTTAAAATTTTTTTTTTCTCCTAAATTACCAAGTAGCAAATGAAGTAAAATTTGTTGAATTTTCGCTTTTGGTCCTTTGGTGCAGTCTTCCAAATGTTTTTCCTGTTCCCTATGTTGCTTGCTTTTCTTTCTTTCTTTCTTTCTTTCTTTCTTTCTTTCTTTCTTTCTTTCTTTCTTTCTTTCTTTCTTTCTTTGTTTCTTTCTTTCCTTCCTTCCTTCCTTCCTTCCTTCCTTCCTTCCTTCCTTCCTTCCTTCTTTCTTTCTTTTCTTTCTTTTCCCTTCCTTCCTTCCTTCCTTCCGTCCATCCATCCGTCTGTCCGTCCGTCTGTCTCTCTCTCTCTTTCTTTCTTTCTTCTTTCTTTTTTGACAGGATCTCGCTCTGTTGCTCAGGCTGGAGTACAGTGGCCTGATCACAGCTCCTCATTGTAACTTGAACCTCCCAAAGGCCAGGATTACAGGTGTGCATCAATGTCTGGCTAATTTTTTTTTTTTTTTTTTTTTGTAGAGATAGGGTCTCACTGTGTTGTTCAGACTGGTTTTGAATTCCTGGCCTCAAACGATCCTCCCACCTTGGCTTCTCAACGTGCTGGGATTATAGGGGTGAGCCACTGTGCCTGGTCTGTTGCTTTCCTTTAAACCCATACCCCTTATTATTTTAGTATTCCCTTGGTTTTTAATGTTGTGTGGACTTGAATCATAGAATTATAGAGCATTATTGCTGGAATGTTGGAATCCAACCTTGTGTTTTACAGATAAGGAAACTGAAATACAAATAGACTAGATGCACCAAAATTCAAACATTTAGTGATGGGGGCAGAACAAAGACTCAACCCTTGATCTTCTGACGCAAGTTCTGTGTGTTTATGAAACCATACTACTTCTCATCTCTTGTAATTTTGCCTTATTTGCCTCACATTATTTTGCATTTTGTGTATTTATGCCTTCTCATAGATTGAAAACTTCAGGGCAGGGGAACCTTCATATTTACATTGTAAATTTTTTTTTTTTTGAGACAGAGTTTCGCAGTTTTTGCCCTGGCTGGAGTGCAGCAGCATGATCTCGGCTCACTGCAACCTCCGCCTCTCGGGTTCAAGCAATTCTCTTGCCTCAGCCTCCTGAGGAGCTGGGATCACAGGCACCTGCCACCACACCTGGCTAATTTTGTATTTTTAGTAGAGATGGGTTTCACCATGTTGGCCAGGCTGGTCTCAAACTCCTGACCTCAGGTGATCCGCTCACCTTGGCTTCCCAAAGTTCTGGAATTACAGGCATGAGCCACCATGCCCAGCCTTACATTGTAAATTATTTAAACAATGATATAAAGTCTATATACAGTTTCTTTCCCCTATACTTGTTAGGTGTATTAACACCATTAACAAAAATAATATTGTCATGTTTACCATTGAGTTTTTTTTTTCTTGAGACGGAGTCCTGCTCTGTCACTCAGGATGGAGTGCAGTGGGGCAATCTCGGATCACTGTACCCTCTGCATCCCAGGTTCAAGGGATTCTCCTGCCTCAGCCTCCTAAGTAGCTGGAATTACAGGTGCCTGCCACCATGCCTGGCTAATTTTTGTATTTTTAGCAGAGACAGGGTTTCACCATGTTGGCCAGGCTGATCTCCAACTCCTAACTTCAGTTAATCAGCCTGCTTTGGCCTCCCAAAGTGCTGGGATTACAGGGATGAGCCACCGCACCTGGCCAGTGTTTACCATTGAATTCTATCATCTGCTAAAAAATGAATCTCTTACAGGTTTTACTGCTGCAATTTAGTTTGTCTTTTCGAATCTCTTGATAATGCCAATTAATCTTTGGAGGCCTTGAATGTGGATACAGAACAATGTAATGATTTAGAGGAAACCTGGAGGGCTTATCATATAACTAAATGCAGTGATCTAGCTGTAATGTTCTTTTTCTCTTTTGAGTGTTAGAACTGTAACACCTTCACATTTTGCTACTTTTTGTCCTCTTGTTCATCTGTCAGGAACCATCACTTCTTGTTGAGCAAGACAAGACAAAATATCTTGTTGAGGCCGGGCGCGGTGGCTCACGTCTGTAATCCCAGCACTTTGGGAGGCTGAGGCATGCGGAGCCCCTGAGTCCAGGAGTTTGAGACCAGCCTGGCCGGCATGGTGAAACCCCATCTCTACTAAAGATATAAAAAAATGAGCCCACTGTGGTGGTGCATGCCTGTAGTCCCAGCTACCCGGGAGGCAGAGGCAGGAGAATGGCTTGAACCCCAGAGGCAGAGGTTACAGTGAGCCAAGATCATGCCATTCCACTCCGGCCTGGGTAACAGAGCAAGACTCTGTCTCAAAAAAAAAAAAATTTTATTTGTTCCGCTAGGCCTGATGGCTCACTCCTGTAATCCCAGCGCTTTGGGAGGCTGAGGTGGGCGGATAACTTGATCCCAGGAGTTCGAGACCAGCTTGGCCAACATGGTGAAACCCTGTCTCTACTAAATACAAAAATTAGCTGAGTGTGATGGCGAATGCCTGTAATCTCAGCTACTCAAGAGGTTGAGACAGGAGAATCACTTAAACCCGGGAGGCAGGGGTTGCGGGGTTGTGAGATCCCGCCACTGCACTTTAGCCTGGGTGACAGAGCGAGATTGTCTCAAAAGAAAAAAAAGAAAGAAAGAAAAATCATTTGTTCCATTTGGTGAGTTAGAGTGCTTTTATATGTTTGTTCTTCATGTTTATTTTTCCTCTTAACTCTAAAGTTTCTGTAACAGAAACCATGTATGGTTGCTTTCGTATTTTTCTTATGTGTACGTAACAATAGTTGAATGCTGTAAGACAGCATAGAAGACTATCAGGTAAAATCTCTCTGTGGAGGGAAAGGAATGCTTATTCTCTTGGTCTGTTTTTCATTTATTTTTTGGTTGTTAATAGTTGCTTTTTCTATTTGTTTAAATTATCAGTTAAAAAAACCTGTTAAAACACTGATTCTCTTGTTTCTATTCCTGAAATTGTAAGTAATGATTGCTGAATTGGACATGAATATGGTATGGATAATTTTTGCTTTTGTTCAAACAGCCAGTTGAATAAAACAAGCAGTGAAAATATGTGGAAATATTTAAAAGAATGGATGTTTCTCAAAAGTTTTTTTTTTTTTTTTTTTTTTAAAAGAATCATCCTGGCCCAGCGCAGTGGCTCATGCCTGTAATCCCATTGGGAGGCCGAGGCAGGTGGATCGCTTGAGGTCAGGAGTTCGAGACCAGCCTGGCCAACATGGTGAAACCCTGTCTCTACTAATAATACAAAATTTAGCTGGGCGTGGTGGTGCATGCCTGTAATCCCAGCTACTTGGGAGGCTGCTGCAGGAGAATCATTTGAACCCAGGAGCCAGAGGTTGCAGTGAGCCGAGATCATGCCACTGCACTCCAGCCTGGGTGACAAGGAGAGACTTAATCTCAAAAAAAAAAAAATTCATCCTTTTCTTCCAAAAATTTTAGCACGTATTTTCATATGTTAGTGTGTAGATCAATTCAAATAATAGATACAACAAATACTGTAATATGTTGTGTACCTTGTAATTATTCCAGCTGTATCGCAGAAATATTTTATAAATTTAATAGGGCTGGGCAGTTTTTTTTGGAAATGCTTGATCATTTGCAAGTACTACATGCTCTTGAATAATATATTTTCATTTTTAGAAACATTTAGAATATTTAGTGTACAACCCCTGTCTCCCAGTAATTCTGCTGCCCAAGGAAATCAGTTACTTTATTTTTTCTTTTCATTTCTTAGCTATAGTCTTTAAAAAAAAAAAAAAAAAAAAGGCCTGTGAGGTCTTGCATGATTTGGCTTTTGTCTACGTCTCACTTCATCTCTTGCTTTTGTCTCTTTCCTCTTTCAGCCTTGAATAGCTTAGCCCTTTTTTGCTTTGGTGTCTGTGATCATGCTCTTCCTCAGGGCAGATGGCTCCTTTAGGTTAATCAGCATTAAGTTTGGCTACTAGTATCAGACAGATGCCAAATATTAATTTCTCTCACACCAGAGAAATCCAGGGTTGGCATGGCATTCATTTATTAAATGTTATTTCCAGGTGTGTGTATGTGTTTTGCTATTGTAAATTCTGCAATAAAGATCTTTGTGTATAAGGCTTTACATTTTTTTTCCTTTTGATTAATTCCTGTTGTGGATCCAACTAAAAAGCTTACTAATTTTTTTTTAAAAAATTGTTTAGTCTGGGCATGGTGGCTTATGCTTGTAATCCTGCACTTTGGGAGGCTGAGGTGGGAGGATGCCTTGAGGGTAGGAGTTAGAGATCAGCCTGGGCAATATAGCAAGAGCCGGCCTTTACAAAAGTAAAAAAAAAAAATTAGCCAGGTTTGGCTGTGAGCGTCTGTAGTCCTAGCTACTTGCAAGGCTGGCGGGAGGATTGCTTGAGTCCAAGAGGTCGAGGCTGCAGTGAGCTATGATCGCGCCACTGTACTCTAGCTTGGGGGACAGAGCGAGACGCTGTCTAAAAAAAACAAAATTAAAAATTTGTTTAGAGAAAGTATCTTTAAATGTTTATTGAAAACTGCACAAATTTAAATGTATAGAATGTTTATATTTGTAGATATCTGTGTAGTCATCACTCAAATCCAGATGTGGAACATTTTTAGTGTTCGAAAAGGCTCTCTTGCGCCCCCTCCAATCAGTGTCTCTTTCCCTCTCAAAGGTAATCACTATTCTGTCCTCTATCGCCATAAACTATTTTTGCCTGTTTTTGAACTTTATATAAATGTAACTGATATGGTTTGGCTGTGTCCCCACTCAAATCTCATCTTGAATTGTTACTCCCACAATTCCCACGTGTGGTTGGCAGAACCTGGTGGGAGGTAATTGAACCATGGGGGTGGGCCTTTCTCGTGCTGTTCTTGTGATAGTGAATAGGTCTTGTGGGATCTGATGGTTTTAAAAACGGGAGTTTCCCTGCACAAACTCTCTTCTCTTATCTGCCGCCATGTGAGAAGACATGCCTTTAACCTTGTGCCATGATTGTGAGGCCTCTCCTGCCATGTGGAACTGTAAGCCCATTAAACCTCTTTATTTTGTAAATTGCCCAGTCTCAGGTATGTCTTTATCAGCAGCATGAAAACAGATTAATACAGTAAATTGGTACCAGTAGAGTAGAGTGCTCCTGAAAAGATACCCGAAAATGTGGAAGCAACTTTGGAACTGGGTAACAGGCAGAGGTTGGAACAGTTTGAAGGGATCAGAAGAGGACAGGAAAATGTGGGAAAGTTTGGAACTTTCTAGACTTGTTGAATGACTTTGCCCAAAATGCTGATTGCGATATGGACCATAAAGTCCAGGCTGAGGTGGTTTCAGATGGAGATGGGGAACTTGTTGGGAACTGGAGCAAAGGTGACTCTTGTTATGTTTTAGCAAAGAAACTGGCAACATTTTGCCCCTGCCCTAGAGATCTGTGGAACTTTGAACTTGGGAGAGATGATTTAGGGTGTCTGGTAGAAAAAATTTCTAAGCAGCAAAGCATTCAAGAAGTGACTTGGGTGCTGTTAAAGGCATTCAGTTTTACAAGGGAGGCAGAGCATAAGTTTGGAAAATTTGCAGCTTGACAGCGTGATAGAAAAGAAAATCCCCTTTTCTGAGGAGAAATTCAAGCTGGCTACAGAAATTTGCATAGGTAATGAGGAGCTGAATATGAATCCCCAAGACAATGGGGAAAATGTCTGCAGGGCGTGTCGGAGGTCTTCATGGCAGCCCCTCCCATCACAGGCGTGGAAGCCTTGGAGGAAAAAGTGGTTTTGTGAGCCAGACCCAATGTCCCTGTGCTATGTGCAGCCTAGGGACTTGGTACCCAGCATTCCAGCTGCTCCAGCCGTGGCTGAAAGGGGCCAGCGTAGAGCTTGGGCTGTGGCTTCAGAGGGTGCAAGCCCCAAGCCTTGGTGTTGATGCTGCAATGTGGTGTTGATGCTGCAAGTGCACAGAAGTCAAGAATTGGGGTTTGGGAACCTCCACCTGCATTTCAGAAGATGTATGGAAATGCTTGGATGCCCAGGCAGAAGTTTGCAGCAGGGGTAGAGCATTCGTGGAGAACCTCTGCTAGGGCAGTGCAGAAGGGAAATGTGGGGTCAGAGCCCCCACACAGAGTTCCTACTCGGGTACCGCCTAGTGGAGCTGTGAGAAGAGGGCCACCATCCTCCAGCCTCCAGAATGATAGATCCACTGACAGCTTGCACCATGCGCCTGGAAAAGCTGCAGACACTCAATGCAAGCCTGTGAAAGCAGCCAGGAGAGAGGCTGTACTCTGCAAAACCACAGAGTCAGAGGTGCCCAAGACCATGGAAATCCACTTCTTGGATCAGCATGACCTGGATGTGAGACATGGAGTCAAAGGAGATCATTTTGGAGCTTTAAGATTTGACTGCCCTGCTGTATTTTGGATTTGCTAGAGGCCTTTAACACCTTTGTTCTGGGCAATTTCTCCCATTTGGAATGGCTGTATTTACCCAATTCCTGTACCCCCATCTTATCTAGGAAGTAACTACCTTGCTTTTGATTTTACAGGCTCATAGGCAGAAGGGGCTTGCCTTGTTTTGGATGAGACTTTGGACTGTGAACTTCTAAGTTAATGCTGAAATGAGTTAAGACTTCGGGGGACTGTTGGGAAGGCATGATTGGTTTTGAAATGTGAAGACATGATATTTGGGAGGGGCCGGGGGCGGAATAATATGGTTTGGCTGTGTCCCCACCCATATTTCATCTTGAATTGTAGCTCCCACAATTCCTGTGTGTGGTGGGAGGAACCTGGTGGGAGGTAATTGAATCGTGGGAGTGGGCCTTTCCTGTGCTTTTCTTGTGATAGTGAATAAGTCTTTTGAGAACTGATGATTTTTAAAAACGGGAGTTTCCCTGCACAAGCTCTCTTGTCTGCCGCCACGTGAGACATGCCTTTCACTATGCGCCATGATTGTGAGGCCTCTCCAGCCACATGGAACTGTAAGTCCATTAAACCTCTTTCTTTTGTAAATTGTTCAGTCTTCATCAGCAGCATGAAAGTGGACTAATACAGTAACCATATAGCTTGTATACCTTTTTGTGGATGGCTACTTTTGCTTAACATTGTGTTTGTGAGATTCATTTATGATGTAGAGTGCAGCAGTAGTTCCTTTTCAGTGATAGTAGTATTCCATTGGATGAATATAATGTAATTTTAAAAAATTGGACATTTGATTTTCAGTTTTTTGGCTATTGTGAATAAAGCTATTGTCAACATTCATTTACAGTTTTTTACATTTTTTATACTTTTTTTGAGATAGAGTCTTGCTCTGTCACCCAGGCTGGAGTGCAGTGGTGCGATCTCAGCTCACTGCAACTTCTGCCTCCCAGGTTCAAGTGATTGTCCTGCCTCAGCCTCCCAAGTAGGTGAGATTACAGGCACTTGCCACTACACCTGGCTAATTTTTATATTTTTAGTAGAGATGGGGTTTCACTATGTTGGCTGGGCAGGCTGGTCTCGAAGTCCTGACCTCAGGTGACCCGCCCACCTTGGCCACCCAAAGTGCTGGGATTACAGGCGTGAGCCACCACGCCCGGCCCGTTTACAGGTCTTTAATGAACTTATACACTCATTTCTCCTGGCTGTATATACACATTGGAGTAGAATTGTGCTGTCTTTATCTAGCAGTTTTTGAATCTGCTTGATCTGGCCCTCTATGGCTGATACATAGTAGTTTCCTGGCATTTCTTCCTTTCTGATAAAACTAGCGACTCCCTTTGTCTTTCTCCTGTGTTAAATCTTTTTTTTCCCTTTCCATGAATCATATAGTGTTTTTGTTTGTTTTGTTTTTTGTTTAACCTCTCCATTTGATGGAGTATATCATACAATAGATTCCTGTGGAAGACTGAAATCTTGCATTAATGAAAACTTTTTTTCATGTTCATGCTTGATTTGGTTGGCTAAGGATTCTAGGTTGGAAATAATTTGCCTTCAGAATTCTGAAGGCCTTGCTGCATTGTTTTCTAGCTTGTCATCCTTTTGAGAAGTCTGAAGACATTCTGATTCTTGATTGTAAAAATGTTTTGCTTTTCTGGAATTTTGTGTTTCCTATATTCTGAAATTTCATAAGGTTGTAGCTTGGTGTTACGTCTATTTTTAACAATTTTTCTTGGATATTTGTGTACCTTCTGAATCTGTAAAATTCATTAGTTCTGGGACATTTTCTTTAATTATTTTATTGACAGATGTATTAGTCTTTGAGGACTGTCATAACAATACCACAGTCTGCTCTCTGTTTGTCTGTTATTGGTGTATAAGAATGCTTGTGATTTTTGCCCATTGATTTTGTATCCTGAGACTTTGCTGAAGTTGCTTATCAGCTTAAGGAGATTTTGGGCTGAGACAATGGGGTTTTCTAGATATACAATCATGTCGTCTGCAAACAGGGACAATTTGACTTCCTCTTTTCCTAATTGAATACCCTTTATTTCCTTCTCCTGCCTAATTGCCCTGGCCAGAACTTCCAACACTATGTTGAATAGGAGTGGTGAGAGAGGGCATCCCTGTCTTGTGCCAGTTTTCAAAGGGAAATGGAAAACAAAAAAAGGCAGGGATTGCAATCCTAGTCTCTGATAAAACAGACTTTAAACCAACAAAGATCAAAAGAGACAAAGAAGGCCATTATGTAATGGTAAAGGGATCAATTCAACACGAAGAGCTAACTATCCTAAATATATATGCACCCAATACAGGAGCACCCAGATTCATAAAGCAAGTCCTGAGTGACCTACAAAGAGACTTAGACTCCCACACATTAATAATGGGAGACTTTAACACCCCACTGTCAACATTAGACAGATCAACGAGACAGAAAGTCAACAAGGATACCCAGGAATTGAACTCAGCTCTGCACCAAGTGGACCTAATAGACATCTACAGAACTCTCCACCCCAAATCAACAGAATATACATTTTTTTCAGCACCACACCACACCTATTCCAAAATTGACCACATAGTTGGAAGTAAAGCTCTCCTCAGCAAATATAAAAGAACAGAAATTATAACAAACTATCTCTCAGGCCACAGTGCAATCAAACTAGAACTCAGGATTAAGAATCTCACTCAAAACCGCTCAACTACATGGAAACTGAACAACCTGCTCCTGAATGACTACTGGGTACATAACGAAATGAAGGCAGAAGTAAAGATGTTCTTTGAAACCAACGAGAACAAAGACACAACATACCAGAATCTCTGGGACGCATTCAAAGCAGTGTGTAGAGGGAAATTTATAGCACTAAATGCCCAAAAGAGAAAGCAGGAAAGATCCAAAATTGACACCCTAACATCACAATTAAAAGAACTAGAAAAGCAAGAGCAAACACATTCAAAAGCTAGCAGAAGGCAAGAAATAACTAAAATCAGAGCAGAACTGAAAGAAATAGAGACACAAAAAACCCTTCAAAAAATCAATGAATCCAGGAGCTGGTTTTTTGAAAGGATCAACAAAATTGATAGACCGCTAGCAAGACTAATAAAGAAAAAGAGAAGAATCAAATAGACACAATAAAAAATGATAAAGGGGATATCACCACCGATCCCACAGAAATACAAACTACCATACTTTGTTTTCTAGCTTGGCTTTTATGAACATCCTTCCGTGTCAGTGTATATATAAATCTAAAGGTTTTTTGTTTTTTTTTTAAACCAAAAAACTTTGCCTATTTTGTCTCTGTTATAAAGTTCCTGATTTTCTTTAATAGAGCTGTTTCTACTTTTATTCCTACAAAGAATATACGTATTTTTTTTAGGTGGCTAAAAACTTCATTTTTTTCTCATCTCTAGTATGAGAGTAATACTTAGTCAAAGGATAGCTGTAAGGCTACAGTGAGAATTTACGAATCAGTGTAACTGCTAAGCAGTGTTTGGTATCCATGAAGAGCCTGTCTGGATCTCCCTTCCTGCCTAAGATCAATTTCTAAATGTAAAATAACTGGTTTCAAAGATACAGATGTTTATTTAAAATGTTGCTGACTGTTGCCAAACTGCTATTTAGAAAAGACATTCCAATTTACACCTTTACCACAGTGTTTTTTAACTCTGTGTTATCATTCTTTCTAATCTTTGCCAGCATGGTAGGCAAAAAATGGACAAAACTAAAAGGAGAATTAGACAAATCCATAAGCATAATATGAGATATTTCAGCTTGCCTCTCTGAGTAATTAGAATAATGAGACAAAAATACATAAAAGATTTAAACACTATAATTATCAAATGAATCTAATTGACATGCATTGAATATTTCACCTAATACCTACAGAATGCAGATTGTTTTTAAGTGCCTATGAAAGTTTTTCCCAAATTGACACATGCTGGACAATAAAAAAGATCAAAATAATCAATTCTTGAGTGTTTTCTGACGTGTTGGAATTAAGCAAGAAATGGATTACCAAAAAAACTAGAAAATTGTCAGCTGTTTGAAGATAAGCAATATATTTCTGAGAAATTCGGGGATTAGAGAAGAAATAACATTAAACTATTTAGAACAGAACCATGAAAATATAGTATAACTTAAAGGATGTGTATAGAGCCATGCTTAGAGGAAGAGTTATAGCCTTCAAATCTATACATGAGAAAGAATGAAGGCTAAAAATAATTGAAAGGACTTCTAAATAAAGATGGCTGAGTGAAAGACACATTTACTTTTACTCCCTTTGATAGCCCAGCAAGGTGACAGTAAAGGATACTTTTAGAAGATTTGAACTACACAGGTAAAGAGAATAAAGAAAAGACGGCAACAATAAAATCTGGAAACTGGAAAGCGAGTGAACTGATGGGAAACTTCTTAGTGGACTTAAAAATGTTCAATCCTAAGTGGCGGGAGCAAAAGTAGAAAATACTTCTTAGGCTCAGGAATTGGCAGCATCAGGTATTTTTGGCAGGGAGGAGGTGAGGGTGGTGCTAAAAACAGGAGGATTTCTTGAAAATCTGTTTAAGAAGCAGCTCAGTCATAATAGCCCCAAAGTAGAAGCAACTCAGATGTCCATCAGCTGATAAATGGTTACATGTAATGTATATCCACACAATTAAATACTATTTGGCAGTAAAAAGGAATATAGAACTGATACATGTTATAACATGATGAACCTTGAAAGCATTATGCTGTGAAAGAAGCCAGTCACAAACGACCACAGTATTGTATGATACATGCTATAACACAGATAAACCTTTAAAACATGCTAAGTAGGCCGGACATGGTGGCTCACACCTGTAATCCCAGCACTTTGGGAGGCCAAGACGGGCAGATCACTTGAGGTCAGGAGTTTGAGACCAGCCTGGCCAACATGGTGAAACCCCATCTCAACTATAAACACACAAATTAGCCGGATGTGGTGGCAGGCACCTATAATCCCAGTTACATGGGAGGCTGAAGCAGGAGAGTCGTTTGAACTGGGGAGGTGGAGGTTACAGTGAGCCAAGATAGCAACACAGCACTCTAGCCAGGGCGACAGAGTGGGATTCTGTCTCAAAAACAAACAAACAAATGTGCTAAGTATACTAAAGACCACATTGTATGATTCCATTTGTATGAAGTATCCAGAAATTGTGTATTTGTAGAGATAGAGTGGTTGCATAGGACTGGGAGTAGGGGAGGTTAGAGGGAAATGGGAAGTGACTCTAGGGTATGGAGTTTCTTTTTGGGGTGACAAAAATTTTCTAAAATTCATTGTGGTAATAGTTGCACAACTCTGAATAGACTAAAACATTGAATTGTATACTTTAAATGAGTGAGTTTTATGATAATCTGAGTTGTATCTCAATAAAGCTATTTTTTTTTAAGAAAGGTTGAGTCTAGATTCCTTTGTTAGTTTGTATCACTAAGTTACTGCCTTCTTGAGTACCCCAGCAAGAAGACTGACTATTGTTTCTGACACTGAGGGTGGGCCCTAGACACAATTGGAGGTCAAGCGTTCTACAGAAAACACTGAATTAAGTTAAAATGCTCAATATTGAGACCGTTACTGAGGCCTCTTCTCTTTGGCTTCCAGAATTCTGGCAATCAAGTAGGAATTTGGAGGATGGTTCTCTTACTAACCCAAGAAGAGAATCTGTGTTATTTACAATAGCTTTTATGGCCCTCCTTTTAAATATGAGAAGATAATCAAGGATCACCAGACATGTGAAGAAAGCTTCTCATATAAGAAACCTCTTAAAAGAAATAGAAAACAAACTGGGAACAATCAGAACAACAAAAAAAAAGGCTCAGTAGAACAGTCAATAGAAAAGTTGAAGTTAGAGTAAAGGAGTTCTTTCATAAAGTAGAGGAAAAGATGGAAAATAAATGAGAAAAGAAAATTAAAAGGTCCGTCAGAGGTCAACTTCCAAATAACAGAAGTACTAGTAGACATCAGAGAAAAGAAGGAATTATCAGTAAAATATTCAAGAAAAATTCCCAGAATCAAGGAACGTGATTTTGCAGAATGAGAGGCTCTATGGGTATCCTGGAAAAATGAAAGAAAATAGATATACGCTTTCAATTAAAGCCTAGTCAGGAAAATGGAGACCACACCAATTACTGTAACAGAATCTAAAATAAAGAGTTGTTTAGCCAGATATTATGGGTTGAGTTATATCTTCCTCAAAAAGATATTTTGAATTCTTAATCCCTAGTACTTAAGAATGTGACCTTATGTGCACTATTCACAATAGCAAAGACTTGGAACCAACCCAAATGTCCATCAACAATAGTCTGGATAAAGAAAATGTGGCACATGTACACCATGGAATACTATGCAGCCATAAAAAAGAATGAGTTCATGTCCTTTGCAGGGACATGGATGAAGCTGGAAGCCACCATTCTCAGCAAAATATCACAAGGACGGAAAACCAAACACTGCATGAGTTGAACAATGAGAACACATGGACACAGGGAGGGGAACATCACACATTGGGGCCTGTTGGCGGGTGAGGGGCTGGGGGAGGGATAGCATTAGGAGAAATACTTAATGTAAATGACAAGTTGATGGGTGCAGCAAACCAACGTGGCACGTGTATACCTCTAACAAACCTGCACGTTGTGCACATGTACCCTAGAACTTAAAGAATATTAAAAAAAAAAAAAGGCTGGGCACAGTGGCTCACGCCTGTAATCCCAGCACTTTGGGAGGCTGAGATGGGTGGATCACGAGGTCAGGAGAATGAGACCATCCTGGCTAACACGGTGAAACCCCGACTCTACTAAAAATACAAAAAAATTAGCCGGGTGTGGTGGTGGGCGCCTGTAGTCCCAGCTAGTTAGGAGGCTGAGGCAGGAGAATGGCGTGAACCCGGGAGGTGGAGCTTGCAGTGAGCCGAGATCATGCCACTGCACTCCAGCCGGGGTGACAGAGCGAGACTCCGTCTCAAAAAAAAAAAAAGAATGTGACCTTATTTCGAAGTGGGGTCTTTACAGAGGTAAACAAGTTAAAATGAGGTTATTAGGGTGGACCCTAATCCACCATGACTTCGGGCCTTTTAAAAAAGGGAGAGATTTTGACACAGAGACAGAACACCAGGGAGAAGATGACTATCTACAAGCCAACTAGGAGGGAGCCTAGAGCAGATTCTTCCTAGCATCTTCAGAAGGAACACGTTCCTGCTGAAATACCTTGATTTCAGACTTCTGGCCTCCAGAACAGTGAGAATGTGTTTCCTTGATGTTGCCACTTGATATCTCATGGATCTTGAACTTAAGACAATCAACAAACTTTGTTTGTTTGTTTTTTTGAGGCAGGTTCTTGCTCTGTGACCCATGCTAGAGTGCAGCCTCAATCTCCTAGGTTCAAGGGATCCTCATGTTTCAACCTCCCATGTAGCTAGGACCACCTAGGTGTGTGTGCCACCATACTAGCTAATTTTTTGACCCTTTGTGGAGATGGGGTTCTCACTTCTTTGCCCTGGCTGGTCTTGAACTCCTGGTCTCAAGCAGTCCTTCCACCTCAGCCTCCCAAAGTGTGGGGATTACGGGTGTTAGGCTACCACACCCAGCCAACAAACTCTTGATCCCTTCATTCTTAAAGTACACTCCAGGTCTGCTTTCTGCGCTCTACCCTACATTTGTTCATTCCTGTCTTTCTCATTTCATTAAATGATATTGCCATCCACTCAGTAGCTAGAAGCCAAGGTGTCATACTTGATACCTTTCTTTTCCTCATTCTAACTCACATACTTCCAGTCCATCAGCAAATCCTGTCTTTTCTACCTCCAAATACATCTTGAAGTCTTCTGTTCTTTATCTGCATCACCATACTACTCAAGTCAAGCAGCCATCATCTCTTCACTTACACTATTGGCCTCTTATTTTATTTAATTTTTTTTGAGATGGAGTCTCACTCTGTCACCCAGGCTGGAGTGCAGTGGTGCAATCTTGGCTCACTGCAACCTCTGCCTCCTGGGTTCAAGCAGTTCTTCTTCCTCAGCCTCCTTAGTAGCTGGGACTACAGGTGCACGCCACTACGCCCGGCTAATTTTTGTATTTTTAGTGGAGACGGGATTTCACCATATTGGCCAGGCTGGTCTTGAACTCCTGACCTCATGATCTGCCCGCCTCGGCCTCCCAAGTGCTGGGATTGGAGGCATGAGCCACCACGCCCAGCTTCTATTTTTTATTGTGGTAAACTGCATAAGCATAAAGTTGAACATCTTAACCATTTTAAGTATACAGTTCAGTATTAAGTATATTCACATTGTTGTACAACCAGTCCCCAGAACTTTTTCATCTTGTAAAACTGAAACTGTATACATACTAACAACTCCCCAAGTCTTCCCTCCTCCTAGCCCCTGGCAACCACTATTCTTCATGTTTCTCCTTTATGTTTGTATAAATTTGTTTGCTCTATGTACCTCATATAAATGGAATCATATTGTCTTTCCGTGGCTGGCTTATTTCACTTAATGTCTTGAAGGTTCATCCGTTTTGTAGCACATGTCAAAATTTTCTTCCTTGTTAAGGCTGAATAATATTCCATTGCTTATATATACCACATTTTGTTTATCCATTCATTTGTTGATGAACAGCTTGGGTTGCTTCCACATTTTAGCTGTTAAGAATAGTGTTTCCATGAACATGGGTGTAGAAATATCTGTTCAGGTTCCTGCTTTCAGTTTTTTGATGTACACCCAGAAGTTGAATTGCTGGATTATATGGTAAACTATTTTTTATCTTTTGAGGAACCACCATACCATTTTCCATAGCAGCTGCACCATTTTACATTACCACCAACCGTGCATAAGAGTTCCAATATCATTACATTTTCACTAACACTTGTTTCCTGCATGTTTTTTTAAAAATAGTAGCTATCTTAATGGTGATATCTCTGTGGTTTTGATTTGCATTTCCATAATGGCTAGTGATGATGAGCATCTTTTCATATGCTTGTTGGCTATTTGTATATATTTCGAGAAATGTCTATTTTGTTCGTTTGCCCATTTTTCATTTGGGTTATGTTTTTGTTGAGTCTGAACAGGTCTTTTTATTTTTACTTTTGTCTGTCCATTTAACTCATTCTTCACACAGCAGCACACAACAGCCAGAGAAATGTTTTTAAGATTTCTGCATTAATGATACAACAATACCTCTTACTTGGCAGCATAATACAATGAAAGTTTACATTACTTTCCCACATCACTGTGTGTGTGTGTGTGTGTGTGTGTGTGTGTGTGTGTGTGTGTTGAGGGGCACCTTTGCTTTATGCAGTCACTTGGAGCACAGGCACCTGTATCTTATGTCACCACCATAATCAGCTTTGGCTTCTCAGATTGTTTTGGAAGGGGAAGTGTGTGTGGAGAAAGATTTTAGGGTCCAGGCTAGAAGTGGCATATATCACTTTTACCCATTCAGTTCCATTGGTCAGAACTGAGTCATGTGATCTTATCTAATTGCAGGGGTGGCTGGGAAGTGTAGTATAGCAGTGTCTTAATGAAGAGAACACAGTCATTAGTGAATACTAGCAGTCTCTTTCACAGCGTGTGTTGGATTATAATTTCCTTGCTTAAAACCCTTATTACATGACTTTTTTAAAGACAGTCTCATTCTGTTGCCCAGGCTGGAGTGCAGTGGTGTGATCTCAGCTCACTGCAACCTCCGCCTCCTGGGTTCAAGCAATTCTTGTGCCTCAGCCTCCCAAGTAGCTGGGATTACAGGCATGCGCCACCACACCCAGCTAATTTTTTGTGTTTTTTAGTAGACACAGGGTTTACCATGTTGGCTAAGGCTGGTCTCGTACTACTGGCGTCATGTGATCTGTCCACCTTGGCCTCCCAAAGTGCTGGGATTACAGGCATGAGCCCCCATGCCCAGCCTACTTCTTATTACATGTAGAATAAAATTGGCCTGTGTCTCTCCCAACCTCACATTGTACCACTTTTGCCCTTGTTCTCTGGCCACATCTCTAGCCATACGGTCATTTTCTGTAACGTGAGACTTTTTTTTCCCCTCCTGGAACCTATGTACTTTGCAGTTTCTTTTGCTTGGAGCACTCTACTTTAAATATTTACATGACTGCCTCCTCTTCATCCTTAAAATGCCCACTTAAATTTTTTTTTCTCTAACTAAAAGCTGTAATTAGAGTAGCACTCATATTCTCTGTCCTTTATGGTAGCACTGTGTTAATCTTTGTCACAGCATTTTTTGCAACCTATAATTATTTTATTTGAAAAAATTTAATTTCCTCTGCTAGAAAGAGGTGTCTGTCGTGCTCACTGTTGTATCCCTGCATTAATTGGCCAGTGCTTAGGATACATTAGTCATTCAGTAGATATGTTGTTGGAGGGAATCTATTATATAGAACCGACTGAAATGGAGATAGTTGAATTTTAACCAAGGGCTCTTATGATAATTTAGGTGAGTTGCTGAAGGCTTGAGTTTTAGTGATGTCAGTGTAAATGGAACAGAAAAGGATGGATGAGAGACATTTCAAGAGAAAAACCAACACAAATTGATGTGTGACTTAAGGGGAGCCTGGGTGAATTGGAAGATAATGATTTACAATTATAATTAATAGATTGGTAAAGAGGATAGAAGAGCTGGATTTTTGGAGATGATGCATATTCAATTTTTGGAGATTGATGCATATTCAATTTGAGGTGATAGCAAGATATTTAAGTAGAAATGTTGAGGAACAGTAGCTTGGATTAGAGAACACAATTCAAATTACAGAGTCTAGGCCAGAGGTGATACGATGAAGTCATAATAATGAACGAGCTATCTAGAGAGAGGGTATATGTGAGAAGAGCAGATGGCTCAGTGGAAGGAAAATGAGGAGCCAGAAATGGAAACCAGAAGCAGGTGGCGTGGAGGGAGGGAAACCAATTTAATATAGGGGTAAGGAAACCAGCAGTTTCAAGAAAGAGGGATGATTAAGTTGGCTGCATCCAGTAGAGCTATCCCTTGTCATATGCATTTGAAAGTTCTGAAATGTTACCTTTTATTAAGTAGTTTGAGATCAGAGGGTACCTTGGGTTTTATTTATTCTATAAGAAAGTATAGCTTAATGAGAATGATAGAGTACAGCTTTGAGTTCTTGTCTTTTCTTTTTTTTTGAAACACGGTCCTGCTCTGTGGCCCAAGCTGGAGTGCAGTGGTGCAGGCTTGCTCACCGCAACCTCCGCTTCCTGGGTTCAGGCGATTCTTGTGCCTCAGCCTCCAGAGTAGCTGGGATTAGAGGCGTGTGGCACTATGCCCGGCTAATTTCTGTATTTTTAGTAGAGATGGGGTTTCATCATGTTGGCCAGGCTGGTCTTGAGGTGATCCTTCTGCCTTGGCCTCCCAAAGTGCAGGCTTGAGCCACCATGCCTGAGCTTTTTTTTTTTTCTTTTTTTGAGAGGGAGTCTCACTCTGTTGCCCAGGTTGGAGTGCAGTGGCCTGATCTCAGCTCACTGCAACCTCTGCCTCTTGAGTTCAAGGGATTCTCCTGCCTCAGCCTCCCAAGTAGCTGGGATTACAGGCACCTGCCACCACAACTGGCTAATTTTTGTATTTTTAGTAGAGATGGTTTTTCACCACGTTGGTCAGGCTGGTCTTGAACTCCTGACCTCAAGTGATCTGCCCACCTCGGCCTCCCAAAGTGTTGAGATTATAGGTGTGAGCCACTGCGCCTGCTGAAGTTCTTATGTTTTAGAGATATTTACTTAAATATTTATGGATGAAAATATTTTTTCAGGTATACACTGAAATATTTACATAAATTTTTAGAGGTATACACCGAAATATTTACAGACAAAAGTTTTTTGCTTCAAAATACTTAAGCAAGGAAACAGGAATGGGTGAGAATATGGATATTGTGGCCGTGGACAAGTGGCCATGAGTTGATGATTTTAGCTACATGATGGGTTTAAGGGGTTTGTTCTCTTCTTTAATGTATGTTTGAAATTTTACATAATAGAAATTATAAAAGGAGGGAATTGTCTTTTCCAGCTGTAATCTAGGGCACATTACTTAACTTTTTTGAGACAGGGTCTTGCTCTGTCACCTAGGCTGGAGTACAGTGGCCTGATAACTCTTCAGCTCCTTACGTAGCTGGAACTATAGGTGCATGCCACCATGGCTGGTTAATTTTTGAATTTTTTGTAGAGACAGGATTTTGCCATGTTGCCCAGGCTGGCCTCCAACTCCTGGGCTCAAGTGATTCGTCTACCTTGGCCTCTGAAAGTGCTGCAATTACAGGTGTGAGCCACAGCACCCAGCGTACTTAAACCTTTGAAGCCTTAGTTTCTTCAGTTAAAAATGGTGATATTAATACTGATTGTATCAGTTTGCTGTGGTGATTAATGACAGTGTATTAAAACTACTTAGCATACTTACTCTGTGCACTCATTGTCCAGTAAATATTTCTGAAGTGAAATACAGTGAGATAATACAGTTAGGCATCAAGGTTAAGGGGTTTGTAGAGGGAGAAAAGGTTCTGGGCTCTTTATAGCAACCTTTCATAAGAGATATGTTCTTTTTAGAATGTTATAAAGTTGGAATGGCTAACTTAAAAGCTTCCATAGACATAATATTTATTTATTTTGGCATGTTTTTAATAGGAGTTTTCTGATCTGAACGTGTACAAAAGCAGCAGTACAGTGGTATTTCATCTGTTCTAAACCACATCCTTTTACTGAATGTTATTCCGGAAGCATTTATAAGGCAGGTGCCCCTTTGAAAGACATTGTCCTTTAAAGTAGTTTGAAACTAAATTTTCATTTAACATTAAAGTCAAATGAGGGAATACTTAAGATGGAAGCATGGGTTAATAAAATTGTATTAACACTAATTTCTTAGAGCACCTGACTTAAAGTATATATTTTTTGGTAGTAACTTGGCTATAGGTAGTATATAGTTATCCTTTTTTTTTTCTTTTGCAGTAAAACTTGGTTATGGATAGTATATACTTGTCCTTTGGTATCCATGAGGTGTTGGTTCCAAGACTCCTTGCAGATACCAAAATTTGAGGATGCTTGAGTCTCTTGTGTAAAATGGGGTACTATTTACATATAACCTATGCACATTCTCCTGTATACTCGAACTCATCTCTAGATTACCTAATACATTGTAAATGGTATTTAGGTAGTTAATGCTATATTGTTTAGGGAATAATGACAAGGAAAAAACGTCTGTATATGTTTAGTACAGGTGCTTTTTTTTTTCCTGAATGTTTTAAATCCACGGCTGGTTGAATTCATAGATGCGGAACCCATAGATACAGAGGGCCAACTGTACTAAGAAATTGCTGTCACAGTCTGTAGATGTCATACAGTTTTGTCTCCAGATAAATGAGAGACCTGTGAACACAAAGGAAACTTTCTTGTATGCCTTTTCATTCTCATGTTTTTAAAGTTCGTTCATTTTTTGTTTAGGGAACTTTAATGAGTTACTTAGGCAGAGTTTGGAACTGTCCTGTAGTTACATGATCAGTCTTTTTTTTTTTTTTTTTTCCTATCTTTCTTTTTCTTTTTTTCTGAGACGGAGTTTTGCTCTTATTGCCCAGGCTGGAATGCAATGGCACAATCTCATCTCACTGCAACCTCCGCCTCCCAGGTTCAAGCGATTCTTATGCCTCAGCCTCCCAAGTAGCTGGGACTACAGGCAGGTGCCACCATGCCCGGCTAATTTTTGTGTTATTAGTAGAGACGGGGTTTCATTATGTTGGCCAGGCTGGTCTCGAACTCCTGACCTCAGGTGATCCACCTGCTTTGGCCTCCCAAAGTGCTGGGATTACAGGTGTGAGCCACTGCACCCAGCCCCTATCTTTTATATTGTGTTTTATTTCTTTAGAAATGAGGTTTCACTGTGTTTTCCAGACTGGAGTACAGTGGCTGTTCACAGGCACCATCATAATGCTGTGTGGCCTCCAACTCTTGGCCTCAAACGATCTTCCCACCTTATCCTCTTGAGTAGCGGGGACTACAGGAGTGCACCGCCATGCTCAGCATTTTTTTTCTATCTTAACATAAAATGGAAAAGTTACTGTTGCCTTTTCTCCTGATAAATAGCAGCCTAAGTAAGACTGGTAGTTTGGAATAAAGGATAAGTTAAAAGGGCAGGAAGGTGAGGAAAGAAGTGTTTAAAAATGAAGGCGAGAAGGAGAAAAAGAAGTTGAGAGATAAAGTTTATATTTTCCTGTGCCTTAGTATCGACTTGCAGTGAATTAGTTGAAAGTTGCCTTGCCAGTTACATATAATTGGTGACTTTTAAGTTATTTGTCACCTGGAACAGACATAACTTCTTTAGCATACAATTCAGATACAACTGTCATTGAATTTATGTTTCCATAAAATTGGTGGTAGAATTTTTAGCATTAGGTAGGAGAAGAGGACAGGGAAAGACAGCTGTGTCTCAGGCACTGTACTGTTTTACCTATTTTGTTAAATCCTCACAGCAACCCTGTAGGTAGGTGTTAACTGAAGCAGAGAGGTTAGATAACTTGCTCAGTGTTACACACTGATGATAAATGACAGAGCAAGAATTCAAACTGTAATGTTTCGGTTCTTGTTATCTTTTATTCATCGCCTTTATTGTTTCTTTTCTTTCTTTCTTTCTTTCTTTTTTTTTTTTTCTTTTGAGATGGAGTCTTGCTCTTGTCGCCCAGGCTGGAGTGCAATGGCATGATCTCTGCTCACTGTAACCTCCGACTCCTAGGTTCAAGCTATTCTCCTGCCTCAGCCTCCCAAGTTGCTGGGATTACAGGCGTCTGCCAGCACGCCTGGCTAATTTTTGTATTTTTAGTAGAGACAGGGTTTCGCCATGTTGGCCAGGCTGGTCTCAAACTCCTGACCTCGTGATCTGCCTGCCTCGGCCTCCCAAAGTGCTGAGATTACAGGTGTGAGCCACCGTGCCTGGCCCTCCTTGCTTTATTTTATGATTCCATTCAGTCATTAGTCTTGTCGGTTTTTAAAAAAAGGTTTTATTGAGATATGATTCACATACTATACAGTTCACTCATTAAAAGTATACAATTCAGCTTTTAGTATATTCAGAGTTGTGCAACCATCACCACAATATCAGAATTTTTTTTTTTTTTGAGACGGAGTCTCGCTGTGTCACCAGGGTGGAGTGCAGTGGCAAAATCTTGGCTGACTGCAACCTCTGCCTCCCAGGTTTAAGTGATTCTCCTGCCTCAGCCTCCGCAGTAGCTGGGACTACAGAAGCTTGCCACCATGCCCGGCTAATTTTTTGTATTTTTAGTAGAGACGGGGTTTCACCATGTTGGCCAGGATGGTCTTGATCTCTTGACCTCGCGAGCCACCGCACCCAGCCATATTGGAACACTTTAATCACCTCCCAAAGCAATGCCATACTCATTAGTTGTCACCCCTAACCTCCCCTCTCCGTGTCCTAGGAAACCATTAATCTGCCTTCTGTCTCTATACATTTGCTCATTCTGAACCTTTCATATACATGGAATCATATAGTATGTGGTCCTTTGTAACCGCTTTCTTTCACTTAGTTCAATGTTTTTTTTGTTGTTTGTTTTGTTTTTTTCTTTTTTGAGGCAAGGTTTGCTCTGTTGCTTGGACTGTAGTGCAGTGCTTGATCACAGCTCACTGCAACCTCTGCCATCCAGGCACAAGTGATCCTCCTGCCTCAGTCTCCTGAGTAGCTGGGACTGCAGGCATGTGCCACCATGCCAGGCTAATTTTTTGATTTTTTTTTTTTTTTTTTTTTTTTTTTTTTGTAGAGACAGTCTCACTGTGTTGCCCAGGCTGGTTTTGAACTCCTGCGCTCAAGTGATCTTCCCATCTCTGCCTCCCAAAGAGCTAGGATTACAGGAGTGAGCCACTGCACCCAGCAGCTTGATGTTTCTAAGGTTCATCCATGTTATAGCACATACTGGTACTGTGTCTGGAATTGGTGGGTTCTTGGTCTCTCTGACTTCAAGAATGAAGCCGCGGACCCTCGCGGTGAGTGTTACAGCTGTTAAGGTGGCGCGTCTGGAGTTTGCTCCTTCTGATGTTCAGATGTGTTCGGAGTTTCTTCCTTCTGGTGGAATCGTGATCTCGCTGGTTTCAGGAGTGAAGCTGTAGACCTTCGCGGCGAGTGTTACAGCTCATAAAGGCAGTGTGGACCCAAAGAGTAAGCAGTAGCAAGATTTATTGCAAAGAGCGAAAGAACAAAGCTTCCACAGTGTGGAAGGGGACCCGAGCGGGTTGCCACTGCTGGCTCGGGCAGCCTGCTTTTATTCTCTTATCTGGCCCCACCCACATGCTGCTGATTGGTAGAGCTGAGTGGTCTGTTTTGACAGGGCACTGATTGGTGCGTTTACAATCCCTGAGCTAGGCCCAAAGTTCTCCACCTCCCCACCAGATTAGCTAGATACAGAATGTTGACACAAAGGTTCTCCAAGTCCCCACCAGAGTAGCTAGCTACGGAGTGTCGATTGGTGCATTCACAAACCCTGAGCTAGACGCAGGGTGCTGATTGGTGTGTTTACAAACCTTGAGCTAGAGACAGAGTGCCCATTGGTGTATTTACAATCCCTGAGCTAGACATAAAGATTCTCCAAGGCCCCACCAGACTCAGGAGCCCAGCTGGCTTCACCCAGTGGATCCCGCACAGGGGTTGCAGGTGGAGCTGCCTGCCAGTCCTGCGCTGTGTGCCCGCACTCCTGAGCCCTTGGGTGGTCAATGGGATTGGGCGCCCTGGAGCAGAGGGTGGTCCTTGTTGGGGAGGCTCGGGCGGCACAGCAGCCCATGGGGCGGGGAGGCTCAGGCATGGCGGGCTGCAGGTCCCGAGCCCTGCCCCACGGGGAGGCAGCTGAGGCCCGGCAAGAAATCGAGCGCAGCGCTGGTGGGCTGGCATTGCTGGGGGACCCAGTACACCCTCTTCAGTTGCTGGCCCGGGTGCTAAGCCCCCCACTGTCCGGCCGGCAGGGCCGGCCGGCTGCTCTGAGTGCGTGCGGGGCCTGCCAAGCCCACGCCCACCCGGAACTCCAGCTGGCCCGCCAGCGTTGCACGCAGCCCCAGTTCCCGCTGGCGCCTCTCCCTCTACACCTCCCCCCAAGCTGAGGGAGCAGGCTCTGCCCTTGGCCAGCCCAGAAAGGGGCTCCCACAGTGCAGTGGTGGGCTGAAGGGCTCCTCAAGTGCTGCCAAAGTGGGAGCCCAGGCAGAGGAGGTGCCAAGAGCGAGCGAGGGCTTTGAGGACTGCCAGCACGCTGTCACCTCTCAGTACTTCATTCCTTTTTATTGCTGAATAATATGTAATTTTACAGTTAATACCACATTTTATGCATTCATCAGTTTACAGGCATTTGAGTTTTTTCTCCCTTATGCCTATTACGAGTAATATGGCTACTGGCATTCATGTACATGTTTTTAAAAAGTTATTGTGGTAAGATATGTGTAACATAAAATTTACCATTTTAACCATTTTTAAGTGTACAGTGATAAGTATATTCACATTGTTATGCAGCCATCACCACCACCTGTTTGCATAAGTTTTTCATTTTTGCCACCTGAAACTCTGTACCCATTAAACAACAACTCCCAAGTCTGCCATCCCCCCAACCTCTGGCAATCACCATTCTACTTTCTATCTCTATGAATTTGACAACTCCTGGAACCATGTGTAAGTGAAATAAATCATACAATATTTGTCCTTTATGACTGGCTTATTTCACTGAGTATAGTGTCTTCAAGGTTTATTCACATTGTAGCATGTGTCTAAAGTTCCTCCCCGACCAAAGGCTGGTACTGTTCCGTTGAATCTATATTTACCACATGTTGTTTACTCATTCAACTGATGACAGACACTGAGGTGGAGTTTTGCTCTTGTTGCCCAGGCTGGAGTGCAGTGGCACGATCTCGGCTCATTTGCAACCTCCGCCTCCTGGGTTCAAGTAATTCTCCTGCCTCAGCCTCCCAAGTAGCTGGAATTCCAGGCATGGGCCACCATGCCTGGTTAATTTTGTATTTTTAATAGAGATGGGGGTTTCGCCATGTTGGTCAGGCTGGTCTTGAACTCCTGACCTCAGGTGATCTACCCGCCTCAGCCTCCCAAAGTGCTGGGATTACAGGCATGAGCCACCACGCCTGGCCTGATCATGGACACTTTGGTTGCTTCCACTTTTTGGCTGTTGTGAATAATGCCAATATGAACATGGGTGTACAAGTATCTATTTGAGTTCTCACTTTTACTTCTTTTGGGTTTGTATCCATAAGTGAAATTGCTGGATTGTATGGTAATTTTGTTTCTAATTTTTTGAAGAACTGCCATATGGGTTTCCACAGTGGCTGTACCATCTTATCTTCCCACCAGCAGTGCACAAGGGTTCTAATTTTCTACATTTTCACCAACACTTGTTATTTTCTGTCATCATCATTTTTTTAATAATAACCATGGTGATGGTTGTGAGGTGGTATTATTGTGGTTTTGATTTGGATTTTTCTAAGGGATGGTGATATGATCATCTTTTCATGTGCTTATTCACTGTTTGCATATCTTCTTTGGAGAAGTGTCTATTCAATTCCTACTCCATTTTTGTGTTGGATTTTTATTTTATTCTTTTTAGAGACAAAGTCTCACTGTATCACTCAGGCTGGAATAGAGTGACATAATCATGGCTCATTGCAATCTCATCCTCCTGGGCTCAAGGGATCCTCCTGTCTCAGCCTCCTGAGTAGCTAGGACTATAGGTGCATGCCACTGCTTGGCTCATTTATTTATTTTTTGTAGAGATGGGGATCTCACTATGTTGCCCAAGCAGGTCTTGAACTTTTAGCCTCAAGGGATCCTCCTGTCTCAGCCTCCCAAAGTGTTGGGATTATAGGTGTGAGTCACCACACCCAGCTGGATTTTGTTGTTGTTGTTGTTGTTGTTTTTGACTTGTAAGAGTTCTTTATATATTCTGAATATCAGTGTCCTATCAGATGTGATTTCCAAATATTCCTTTCTGTGGGTTACCTTTTCACTGTATTAATTTAGTGTCCTTTCATATACAAAGTATGTTAAAAAGATCTTAATTTTGATGAAGTCCAGTTTGACTCTTTTCGGTTGCCTGTGCTACTGATGTCCTGGATTATCTGAGTGGGCTCTGGTAATCACAAGAGTCCTTATCAGAGGGAATCAATTAGTCCAGGAAAGGGATGTGATGCTGAAAGCAGAAATCTTGATGATGTGGCCAAGTGCAAAGGAATATAAGCAGCTTCTAGGAGCTGGAATAGACAAAGAACAGATTCTTCTCTAGAGCCTTCTGAAGGAATGCAGGCTTTGATTGTAGCTTTGTAATCTACTCCATCCAGGCTGCTGCAAATGCCAAACAGGCCTGTAAGACCTGTTTTAGACTTAATGACCTCTAGAACTGTGAGATCACAAATTTGTGTTGTTTTAAGCCACTATTGTTACACAGCATTAGGCAATTAATACAACTAGAATCAAAGGAGAGACTGAGAGCATGAAGATTATACATGAGACTTTTAAAATACTTTATTTCAGTAGGTTTTTGGGGAACCGATGGTGTTTGATTACATGAGTAAGTTCTTTAGTGGTGATTTCTGAGATTGGTACAACCATCACCCAACAGCAATGTACACTGTACCCAATGTGTAGTCTTTTATCCCTCACGCCACCACCCTTATCATTCATATGCTTTTGCGTCCTCATAGCTTTGCTCCCACTTATGAATGGAGAATATACGATGTTTGGTTTTCCATTCCTGAGTTACTTCAGTTAGAATAATGGTCTCCAGTTCCATCCAGGCTGCTGCAAATGCCATTATTTTGTTTCTTTTTATGGCTAAGTAATATTCCATAGTGTGTGTGTGTGTGTGTGTGTGTGTGTGTGTATATATATATATACACACATGTGCAAGTATCTTTTTCGTATAATAACTTCTTCTCCTCTGGGTAGATACCCAGGAGTGGGATTGCTCGATCTACTTTCAGTTCTTTAAGGAATCTGCGCCATCCACGTCAACATCTATTTTTTGATTTTTTGATTGTGGCCATTCTTGCAGGAGTAAGGTGGTACTGCATTGTGGTTTTGATTTGCATTTCCCTGGTAATTAGTGATGTTGAACATTTTTTCATATGTTGGCCATTTGTGTATCTTCGTTTGAGAATTGTCTATTCACGTCCTTAGGCTGTTTTTTGATGGGATTGTTTTTTTCTTGCTGATCTGAGTTCCTTGTAGATTCTGGATATTAGTCCTTTGTCAGATGTATAGATGGTGAAGATTTTCTCCCACTCTGTGGGTTGTTTACTCTGCTGATTGTGTCTTTTGCTGTGCAGAAGCTTTTTAGTTTAAGTCCCATCTCTTTATCTTTGTTTTTGAGGCATGAGACTTTTGATAGAATCTACATCTTGCTTTGCTCAGATTGGCTTAAACCCTACATTGATTCTAATCCATCACCAAGTCTTGACATCTTCCATGGAAATTTGAGAAGGGTTAGTGATATAAGCCAGTGGTACCTGCTACTGCAACTGGTATTGAGGCAGGAATTACTATTCATCATTACCTTCTTTTACTACCTATTCTAGATTTCCTTTATGCTGGGCCAGCATTTAAGCTGGTTTAAGTTGCTTCTGTCCTTTCGGCTTTCATCCTTGTGGGACTTGAGCCTTTAGTTGCCTTGCCTGTTTTGAGCCATGGTTGCTGTAATTTCCTGTTTACCCTATTAGCAAGCATGGAAATACCCTGCATTCCAGACAGATTGCTCCCTAATCTCATTGTGTACAACAGGTCCTAATAATCAGGGTCATTTATCACTGCTAGTATATTTATTCCTTTCTTTGCCTGCTCGTTCATCAGTATGAGAAGCCCATAGTGACCAAGTGGTGGTTGTGGCTTTAGGCTCCGTGAACCCCTACTGTGGAAGCATTACCCTCAGGATCTCTAGTACAGCAGAGATTTTAAATTGTGGGGATAGGAAATCCACATGCCATAAGTGAGTTACTGGGAGTGATGGTGAAGAGTCAATCTAACTTCTCTACCCCTTGGTTTCTAAACCCGTGCATCTCAGGTAGTAGGGATATAATACCCTAGCCATTGGTTCAGTGCATATGCTGCATCCCAAATGACCAGCAGAATGACTTCTTAATCGAGCTTTTAATTTAATGCACCACTTTATGATTTTGTTAGCCGGACAGTTTCTAGGTGATGTGGTATGTGGTGTAGGACCAGTGGATGCCATGGTCATGTGCTTAATGTTGTATCTTCTTCACCATTAAACGAGTCCTTTAGTTTGAGGTGATGTTAAAGTGAATCCCAGATTGGCAAAGCAAACATTTTGAAACCATTGAGGTACTGTAAATGTCCAGAGACACTCAGGGCAGGAAAGGCAAACTCATTTCTACAGTAAGTGTAAATCCTACTTCCCCTGGAATGCAAAGGTTCCAATTCCATCCTGCCACCTGCTCAGTTCTGTGTCTGATAAGTTGTTTCCTGCATTCTGCTGTGATCCTAAATTTTGCTAGATTTTTTAAATCTTATTAGTACTTTTAATTATATTTTTCAGAAATAAGCTGATTTTTTTGTTTTGTTTTGTTTTTTTTTTGAGATGGAGTTTCACTCTTGTTGCCCAGGCTAGAGTGCAGTGGCACTACTATCTCGGCTCACTGCAACCTCCACCTCCTGGGTTCAAGCAGTTCTCCTGCCTCAGCCTCCCAAGTAGCTGGGATTACAGGCATGTGCCACCAAGCCCAGCTAATTTTGTATTTTTAGTAAAGACAGGGTTTCTCCATCTTGGTCAGGCTGGTCTCGAACTCCTGACCTCAGGTTATCCACCCGCCTCGGCCTCCCAAAGTGCTAGGATTATAGGCATGAGCCACTGCGCCCAGCAAGCTGATTTTTTTTGATAATAGGGATGTGATAAACAGTTTTCACTTTAACGTAGTCAACTATATGATTCCATTTGTATGGAATTCAAGAAAAGGCAAACTGATGATAGATGTGTATAAGGCTTTGGTATGTTTTTGGTTTATTTTATTATATATATATATCATGTTTCCGTACCTTTTAATGTTGCAATAAAATTGTTTTGTCTGACATTAAAATTGCCATACCACCTTTTTTAAAAAATTGCCATACCACCTTTTTTAAAAAATTGCCATACCACCTTTTTAAAAAAAAGGTTTGTCAGAATTTATTTTTTTCATCTTTTCTCTGTTAATGTTTTAGTTCACTTTTATAAACAGCTTTAGTTGAATTTGTATGTTGTTTTTATTTTATTTTATATTATTTATTTTTTGAGATGGAGTCCCACTCTGTTGCCCAGGCTGGAGTGCAGTGGCACAATCTCGGCTCACTGCAACCTCTGCTTCCTGTGTTCAAGTGGTTCTTGTGCCACAGCCTCCCGGGTAGCTGGGATTACAGGTGCGTACCACCACACCCCGCTAATTTTTGCATTTTTAGTAGAGACAGGGTTTTGCTATGTTGACCAGGCTGATCTCTAACTCCTGACCTCAGGTGATCCTCCCACCTTGGCCTCCCAAAGTGCTGGGATTACAGGTATGAGCCACCATGCCCAGTCTGTATGTTATTTTTGTTATTTTCTGTTACAAATGAGTTAAATTCATTCACATCTATTTTAATTATGATATATCTGGATTTTTGTCATCTTGCTTTGTTTGCCATCCTTTTTCTTTGCTTCTCTTCTCCTTTCCTGTTTTTTGTTTTTTATTGATATATAATATTTTACATATTTACGAGGCACATGTGACATTTTGTTACATAGGATGTGTAATGATCAAGTCAGGGTATTTGGGATATCTATCACCTTGAGTATTTATCATTTCTATGTGTTGGGAACATTTAAAGTCCTCTCTTCTATCTACTTTGAAATACACAGTTTTGCTAGCTATAGTCACCTTAGTCTGCTATAGAATATTAGAATTTTTATACTTTTTCTTTAACAATATGTTTGTGTACATTGAGCAACCTCTTTTCATTACCTACCACCCATGTACCCTTCTCAGATTTTGGTGTCTGTCATTCTACTGTCTACCTCCATGAGATCATCTTTTAAACCCACTGAATGAGTTAGAACATACTATATTTGTCTTTCTAGTCCTGGCTTATTTCACTTAACATAGTGACCTCCAGGTCCATCCATGTTGCTGCAAATGACATGATTTCATTATTTTTTAATGGCCAAATAGTATCCCATTGTGTATATATGCCACATATGTCCATTAATCTGTTTTTGTTTTGTTTTGTTTTTAAAGGCAGGGTCTCACTCTGTCACCCAGGCTGGAGTGCAGTGGTGCAATCATGGCTCACTGCAGTGAGTAGCCGGGACCACAAGCATACCCCACCACACCTGGCTAATTAAAAAAGAATTTTTTTTGTAGAAATGGGGGTCTCACTATGTTGCCCAAACTGGTCTCAAATTCCTGGGCTCAAGCAGTCCTCCTGCCTCGGCCTCCCAGAGTGCTAGGATTACAGACCTAGCACTGTGCCTGGCCCCATACATCTGTTGATGAACACTTAGGTTGATTACATATATTTGCTATTGTGAATAGTGCTACAGTAAACATGCAAGTGCAGGTATCCCTTTGATATACTGATTTCTTTTCCTATGGATAACTACCCAGTAGTGGGATTGCTGGATCTTGTGGTAGTTCTGTTTTCAATTTTTTGAGAAATTTTTGTAGGTTTCCAAAAAGTATGTACTAATTTACATTCTTACCAACACTGTATAAGAGTTCCCTTTTTTTCTACATCCTTACCAGTGTCTTTTTTTCTTTTGTTTTACTTTTATTTATTATTTTGAGACAGAATCTCACTCCCTGTCACCTAGGCTGGAGTGCAGTGGTGTGATCTTAGCTCACTGCAACCTCTGCCTCCCAGGTTCAAGTGATTCTCCTGTCTCAGCCTCCCAAGTAGCTGGGATTACAGGTATGTGCCACCATGCTCGGCTAATTTTTTGTATTTTTAGTAGAGATGGGGTTTTGCAAAGTGTTGGCCAGGTTGGTCTGAAACTCCTGACCTCAAGTGATCTGCCTGCCTTGGCCTCCCAGAGTGCTGAGATTACAGACATGAGCTACCACACCTGGCCTTTTTTGTTATTTAAATAACAGCCATTTTAACTTGGCTGAAATGATATTTCATGTGGTTTTTATTTGCATTTCCTTAATGATTAGTGATGTTGAGCATTTTTTCATATACTTGTTTGCCATTTGTATGCCTTTCTTTGAAAAATATCTATTCATGTCCTTAGCCTACTTTTAAATGGGATTATTGGTGGGGTTTTTGTTTTTGTTGTTTGAGTTCCTTGTATATTCTAGGTATTAGTCACTTGTTGAATAGTTCGCACATATTTTCTCCCATTCAGCAGATTGTCTCTTCACCCTTTTTTTAGACAAATGCTCACTTTAATCACAGTTCTAAATTAATTATTTTCACGTTAACATAGATGTTCCCATAAACTGAGAAGAACTGAGCTAAGTATTATACATTTTTAATGGTTAATATGATTTGAAAATTTTTTATAAAAATTGATCAGAAGCTAGTTGAAATTCTCACCATAAATATAAAATATTGATTACAATTGTTTTTCACAGTAAATTGAGATCTGAGCTTCCTAAAAAGCTGTATTATCTAATATCATAATAGGGATGACTAAATACTTGACAACTACTTTCTGAAGACTGGCTTAACAAAAAGTTACTATTTGAAGAAACAGCTTTCCCTTGTTTATATTTACAAGAAAAAGGCTAACATTTTTGCAGAACTCTCATTTTATCATGAAGTGTGGACAGTCAGAAGCAGGTGGCTGTTGGTGGGGTGCAGTGGCTCACACCTGTAATCCCAGCACTTTGGGAGGCCAAGGCAGGCAGATCACTTGAGGTCAGGAGTTCAAGACCAGCCTGGCCAACATGGTGAAACCCTGTCTCTACTAAAAATACAAAAACTAGCTGGGTATGGTGGTGATTGCCTGTGATCCCACCTATTCGGGGAGGCTGAGGCATGAGAATCACTTGAACCCGGGAGGCGGAGGTTCCAGTGAGCTGAGATCGTGCCAGCCTGGGTGATAGGCAAGACTCCCTCTCAAAAAAAAAAAAAAAAAAAGGTGGATGCAGTGGTATCAAGAAAAAAGCATTTCAAAACATTTCCACTTTTATTAAAGGTTTTGACAATGAAGATATCACTAAATGTCTTCAAATTCTATTTGTTATAGAATAACCATCTAAATAGGAGACACATGCCATAATACAGCAACCATTTTAGTGTGTAAAATACTTCTGAACTCTTACTATGAAAAAATTTGGCTAAAATACAAAACATCTTTGCAATAAAACTGATAATATAGCTTAAGTAGCTTATAAGATTTCAGAAATGTCTTATGAAAGAAATGAGAATGTTTCCCTGTGCGAGATAAAACTGAACGGTTAACGTTAAGGTGCTATAAACTAGACAAAGCTGGAAAGGCACATCATGTAACTAGAAAAGAACGGCATGTGATGTGGACTTCCTCCATGTCAAACTGACAGGAAAATAGAATATGCTCTTCAGAAGGAAAGGCATGAGAAGATAATTCTTACAAAGCTCTCATTGAGATCTTGAAGAGCTTTACAGAGAACATAATCATAAAATGGCTAGAGATCATTTATAGGACATGGTAATGGATTCCTTTGTATTACAATACCTGCCTCAGATATAAACACAAATCAAATATAAACACCCTTGTAAAGCTGTGCTTCTTTCAGCCAAACATTTCTCTGGTACCACAGTCAGCCTCTAGTAGCATTTGGATGCAAAGGTTTAACTGGTGCTGATCTGGACAAGCCACAGCAGAGACTCTGATTTGGAGACTTCATGGACACTCCTGCCAGTGCGCTGCTGCTATTGCTGCTACTTCCAGATGCTGGTAGAACCATTTAGGTCTCTTGCTTTCAGCTGAAGGACTGCATATTTGTAATGGTTTCCTAGTGGCATCTGAAGAAAGATAAATCTCTTTTGGCGAGGACTGAGATTCTGATTTGATGGCAGCCAGAGCAGTCTACCAAAGTCACTAAAGCATTACATTTGGATTTAGGTTCCTTCTCTTTCTTTTCTACTGGGGATTTTACCTTCATTTCTTTTCTTTTTTTTTTTTTTAAATTTCTTTAACTTTACTTTTTCTCATAGAGGAGTCTTTGTCATTATCCTCACTCTCACCAAAATCAGAATCATCCTCAGAATCTTCACCAGTTGCCAAGTCTGGTTTGGTGTTATTAGCACTATTGCCATCACTGCCTTCCAGAAAAATTTTCCTCTGTTGTACCGCAGCTTTAGATGCTGCTTTTCTTTTCCCTTGAATACCACCATTGTCTTTCTTAGTAATCTTATCCAAATCTAAATAATCACTGGCTACACTGCAATTAGAGATACGAGGAGACTTACTCACTGTTTCTGTTCTACTATTGCCATGTTTTTCAACTCTTTTATCTTGAGACTTCTGCACATTAGTGGTGACTGTTGAAAGTTCCTTCACTGATAAAGCTAGTGCAACTTCTAAGTCTCTCTGGTAGAGCTTATCATCTAAAGCCATCCTTTTTTTTTTAGGGGTTTTCTCTTCTAGTGGGATTTCTTCTTTCTGGAGATTGTTCAAATTAGGTTTTGGTTTATCTTGTTTTAACTCCTTTGATGTTCTGGATTGCTTGTTTAAAGGTACAGTTGCAGAAACAAAATCATCATCACTGTCAGAGTCGCCAAACTGTGAGTAATTGATTGGTTTCTTACATCTCACAGGCTGCACCATGGTCCCTTTCAGGGCTTGATATTTACACTTCCCAAGTTCTTGTTGGCTGTAGTGGTGGTTTCAGTTCCCACCCAAAACCAGACATTGGCGCTCTCCCTTCACTCTTCATTGTTTCCTTTGCTGTGCAGAAGCCTTTTTTGTTGTTGTTGTTGTTTAATATAATCAGTTGGCTTTAAATATGTGGATTTATTTCTGAATTATCTGTTTTATTCCATTAGTCTATGTGTCTGTCTTATACCAGTACCATGCTGTTTTGGTTACTGTAACCTTGTAATGTATTTTGAAGTCAGGTAGTTTTATTCTTTTTGCTTAAGATTGTTTTGGTTGTTTGGGCTCCTTTTTGGTTTCATATGAATTTTAAGATTGCTTCTTCTATTTCTGTGAAAAAAGACATTGGTATTTTGATAGCCATTGCATTGAAAATGTAGATTGCTTATGGCAGTATGGTCATTTTAATGATGTTAATTCTTATTCTTGAGCATGGGATGTCTTTCCATTTGTTTGTGCCCTCTTTATTTTATCTAGTGTTTTGTAGTTTTTATAGCTATTGTAAAAAGGGAATGCCTTCTTGATTTCTTTCTCAGCTAGTTTGTTTTATTGGTATATAGAAACAGGTTTTGTATGTTGATTTTTTTTTAACACTCCCTACTTCACAGATGGATGCATATTGATTTATGTGTGTTGATTTTGTCCTGCAACTTTACTGAATTTATTTAGCAGAACTAAGTTTTTTGGTGGAGTCTAGGTTTCTCTAGATATAAAATCATATCATCAGCAAAGAGGGACAGTTTGACTTCCTCTTTTCTAATTTGGATGCCTTTTCTTTTTTTCCCTCTTGCCTGATTGGTCTGGCTAGGACTTGCAGTACTATGTTGAATAGGAGTGATTAAAGTGGGCATCCTCGTCTTGTTCCAGTTCTTAGAAGAAAGGGTTTCAACTTTTCCCCATTCAGTATGATGTTAGCTGTTGTCATATATGACCTTTGTTATGTTGAAGTATGTTTCTTTTATGCCTAGTTTGTTAAGAGTTTTTATCACGAAGGGACACTGAATTTTATCAAGTGCTTTTTCTGTGTCTGTTGAGATGAACATATGGTTTTGTCCTTTATTCTGTTGAGGTTATGAATCATATTTGTTGATTTGTGTAACCATCCTTGCCTCTCTGGGATAAATCTCACTTCATTGTGGTGTATTTTTTTTTTTTTAATGTTGTTGGATTCAGTTTGCCAGTATTTTGAGAATTTTTATCTCTGTGTTCATTAGGGATATTGGCCTGTAGTTTTCTTTCTTTTTTTTTTTAAATATTTTTTATTGCATCCTTGTCTGGTTTTGGTGTTAAGGTAATGTTGGCCTTGTAGAATGAGTTGGGGAGAATTGATGTTAGTTCTTCTATGAGTGTTTGGTAGAATTTGGCAGTGAAGCCATCCAGTCCCGGACTTCTGTTTGTTGGGAGACTTTATTACTGATTAAATGTCTTTACTCATTATCAGTCTGTTCAGGTTTCGTATTTCTTCCTGATTCAATCTTGGTAGATTGTATATGTCTATGTCTAGGAATGCATCCATTTCCTCTCAATTTTCCAGTATGTTAGTGTATCGTTGTTTGTAATAGTTTTTAATGTTCTTTTGTATTTCTGTGGAATTAGTTGTAATGTCTCTTTTCATTTTCTGATTTTACTTGGGTCCTCTCTTTTTATGTTGATTAGTCTAGCAAGTGGTTTATTGATTTACCTTTTCAAAAAATCAGCTTTTTGTTGTTCTTTTGTGCTTTTTAAAAAAGTCGTTTCATTTAGTTCTGCTCTGATCTTTATTATTTCTTTCCTTCTACTAATTTGGGGTTTGGTTCTAGTTCCTTAAGGTGCATTGCTAGATTGTTTCTTTAAAATCTTACTACTTTTTTGATGTAGGCATTTGTTGATATAAATTTCCCTCTTTGCACTGTTTTTGCTGTATCTCATAGATTTTCGGTATGTTGTATTAGATTTTCATTTGTTTCAATAATTTTTTTGATTTCTTCCTTAATGTCTTCCTTGACCCAGTGGTCATTCAGAAGCATGTTGTTTAACTTCTGTGTATTTATATAGTTTCCAGAGTTCTTCTTAACTCTTTGTTTTTTTTTTTTTTTTTTGTTTTTGTTTTTTGAGACAGAGTTTTGCTTAGTCACCCAGGCTGGAGTGCAGTGGCACTATCTCAGCTTACTGCAACCTCCGCCTCCTGGGTTCAAGCAGTTCTTGTGCCTCAGCCTCCTGAGTAGCTGGGACTACAGGTGCATGCCACCATGCCTGGCTGATTTGTATTTTAGTAAAAACGGGGTTTCAGCATGCTGCCCAGGCTGGTCTCGAGCTCCTGAGCTCAGGCAATCTGCCCACCTCGGCCTCCCAGAGTGCTAAGATTACAGGCGCGAGCTATCCCACCTGGCCTATTATTCTTGATTTCTAGTTTTATTCCATTCTTATCTGAGGAGATACTTGATACGATTTCAATTTTTAAAAATTTGTTGACACTTGTTTTGTGTCCTAACTTGATCTATCCTGGAGAATGTTCTATATGCTGATGAAAAGAATGTGTTCACAGTGGGGTGCTGGTGCCCACTTTAATCACTCCTATTTAACACAGTACTGCAAGTCCTAACCAGACCAATCAGGCAAGAGGGAAAAAAAGAAAAGGCATCCAAATTAGAAAAGAGGAAGTCAAACTGTCCCCCTTTGCTGATGATATGATCTTATATTTAGAAAAACCTAGACTCCACCAAAAAACTTAGTTCTGCTAAATAAATTCAGTAAAGTTGCAGGACAAAATCAACACACATAAATCAATATGCATCCACCTGTGAAGTAGGGAGTGTTAAGATGTTAGATGAAATGTTCTGTAAATGTCTGTTAGGTCTATTTGGTCTGATATGCAGTTTAAATCCAGTGTGGCTTTCTTAATTTTTGTATCTACATGATCCATTTAATGCTCACAGTGGGGTGCTGGTGTCCCTAACTATTATCGTAGTGGAATCTATCTCTCCTTACAGATCTAATAATACTTGCTTTATATATCTGGGTGCTACAGTGTTGGGTGCCTTATATGTTTGGAATTGTTAAATCCTCCTCCTGAATTTTTCCCTTTACCATTATATAATGACCTTCTTTGTCTCTTTTTACTGTTTTTGACTTAAAGTTTGTTTTGTTTGATACAAGTATAGCTACTTCTAGTCACTGTTGGTTTCTGTTTGCATGGAATATCTTTTTCCATCCCTTAATTTCAGCCTATATGTCTTTACAGGTGAGATGAGTTTATTGTAGGTAGTATATAGGTGGGTCATGCTTTAAAAACATTTTAAAAAATCTATTCAATCAGTATCTATCTTATTTATTTAATTGAGATGGAGTTTTGCTCTTGTTGCCCAGACTGGAGTACAATGGTGCGGTCTTGGCTTACTGCAACCTCTGCCTCCTGGGTTCAAGCGATTCTCCTGCCTCAGCTTCCTGAGTAGCTGGGATTACAGGCACCTGCCACCACGCCTGGCTAATTTTTGTATTTTCAGTGGAGATGGGGTTTCACCGTGTAGGCCAGCCTGGTCTTGAACCCCTGACCTCAGGTGATCCACCTGCCTCAGCCTCCCAAAGTGCTGGGATTGTAGGTGAGAGCCACACCGCGCCTGGCCAAATTAGTCTGTATCTTTTAAGTGGAAAGTTTGATCAGTTTACATTCAGAGTTATTGATGTGTGAAGGCTTATTTCTGTCATTTTATTAACTGATTTATGGCTGTTCAGTATATCATCTATTCCCTCTGTCTCTTATTAATTATTATTTTGGCTTGGTGGTTTTCTGTAGTTGTGAGTCTCTTCCTTGTTTGTGTTTGGTCTATCAGTGGTTTTTATATTTTTTTGTGTTTTTGTGATGGTAGATAGTGTTCTTTTGCTTCTGGATGTAGGACTTTCTTAAGCATTTCTTCTAGGGCCAGTCTAGTGGTGATATATTCCCTCAGCTTTTGCTTGTTTGTGAAATACTTTATTTCTTACTCATTTATGAAGGATAACTTTGCTGGGTATAGTATCCTTGACTGACAGTTTTTTTTTCATTGAGCACTTTTTAAAAAAATTATTTTTTTAGACAGTCTCGCTCTGCCACCTAGGCTGGAGTGCAGTGGTGCAGTCTCAGCTCACTGCAGCCTCTGCCTCCTGGGTTCAAGTGATTCTTCTACTTTGGCCTCCTGAATAGCTGGGATTACAGGAATGTATCACCGTGCCCAGCTAATTTTTGTATTTTTAGTAGAGATAGGGTTTCACTATGTTGGCCAGGCTGGTCTTGAACTCCTGGCCTCAAGTGATCCACCTGCCTCAGCCTCCCAAAGTGCTAGGATTACAGGCGTGAGCCACCGTACCTGGCCTTCTTTCAGCATTTTGAATATATCATTTCATTCTCTACTGGCCTATAAGGTTTCTGCTGAGAATTCCACTGTTAGTTTGATGGGCGTTCCTTTATAAGTGACTAGATGCTTTTCTTGCCATTTTTAGAATTCTGTGTATTTGATTTTTTGACAGTTTGAAGATAATGTGCTGTGAAGAAGACCTTTTTGATTTGTATTTACTGAGAGATCCCTGAACTTGGTGTATCTGATGTGTAAATCTGTTGCTAGACTTGGAAAATTTTTACCTATTATTTTATTGAACAGGTTTTCTAACATTTTTGTTTTCTCTTCTCCTGAGACACTGAAAATTTGAATATTTGGTTACTTAATGGTGTTCCATATGTCACACAGGCTTTTCTCATTTTTTTTTTTTTAATTATTACTTTTTGTCTCACTGGCTCATTTCCAAGGGCCTTTCTTAATGTTCTGAGAATCTTTTATCTGCTTAATCTAGTCTGTTGTTGACACTTTCCAACGTAGTTTGTATTTCATTCAGTGAAATCTTCAGTTCTGGAATTCCTGTTTGGTTTTTCCTTTTTTTTTTTTTTTTTCTTTTTGAGATGGAGTCTCGCTCTGTTTCCCAGGCTAGAGTGCTATGGCACGATCTCAGCTAACTGCAACCTTCACCTCCCAGGTTCAAGTGATTCTTCTGCCTCAGCCTCCGAAGTAGCTGGGACTACAGGTGCCTGCCACCACACCTGGTGTGGCGGCAATTTTTTTGTATTCTTTGCAGAGACAGGGTTTCACTGTGTTAGCCAGTCTTGTCTTGAACTCCTGACCTCCAGTGATTTGCCTTCCTTGGCCTCCCAAAGTGCTGGGATTGATTACAGGCATCAGCCATTGTGCCCAACCTGGTTTTCCTTTGTGATATCTAGTTCCTTTAGTAAATTTCTCCCTCATATCCTGAATTGTTTTTCTGAATTTTTTGTATTGTTTTTCAGAATTCTCTTGTATCTTTTTTTTTTTGAGACAGAGATGGGGTTCTGCCAGGTTGGTCTTGAACTCCTGGCCTCAGGTGATCTGCCTGCCTCAGCCTTCCAAAGTGCTGGGATTACAGACAAGGGTCACAGTGTCTGGCCTCAGAATTCTCTTGTATCTTACTGGGCTTCTTTAAAATCAGTATTTGAGTTATTTTTCTGGGATTTCATAAATTTCTTTTTTTCCCCCCTGAGACAGGGTCTCACTCTGTTGCCCAGGCTGGAGTGCAATGGTGTGATCATGGCTCAGTGCAGCCTCGACCTCCCTGGGCTCAGGTAATCCCTCAACCTCAGCTTCTGAGTAGCTGGGACTACAGGTGCATGCCACCACACCTGGTTAATTTTTGTATTTTTTTTAGAGATGGGGTCTCACTATGTTGCCCTGGCTGGTCTTGAACCCCTAGGCTCAAGCAGTCTGCCTGCCTCAGTCTCCCAAAGTGCTAGAATTACAAGTCTGAGCTACTGCACCTGGCCAGATTTTTTTGATTGGGATGTATTGCCCGTGAATTATTGTGGTCTTTTGGCGGTGTCATATTTCCTTGCTTTTTCATGTTTCCTGTGTCCTTACACTGGTATCTGTGCCTCTGGTGTAACAGTTGCTCCTTCTAATTTTTTGAATTGTCTTTCATAGGGGAGGACATTTTCCTGAAGATGTATTTGTGGTGTTGGTTGAATATGGCACTTTGGCTTTGATTCTAGGTATGTGTCATAGTGTAGTCTCTGTGTGTTTTCTTTCAATGTGAATGCTGTCAGTGGTGTCTGTGATTTCTTAGGTGGCTTAGATTGTGGTTGTTAGTGGAGGCTGTGATAAAGTTTTTTATAAAAGAAAATTTTAACTTTCAATAAAAGAGGTCTCACTCTGTTGCCCAGGCTGGTCTCGAACTCCTGAGCTCAAGTGATCCTCCCGCCTCAGCCTCCCAAAGTGCTAGGATTACAGGTATGAGCCACCATGCCTGGCCTGTGATAAGGTTTTGCTGAGGTCTGGGTTGCCAAGTAGGCCAGCTCTCAGGCCCCAGTGGTGGCACCAGTGGGTTGAAATTGCCTGTCCTTGGGCTTCAGGGCAGTGTATGCTGGCACCAGTGTTAGCAGGTTCAGGTAAGCCAATCTTTGAGCCTCCAGGTGTCTTGCTTGGGTACCAGGAGTGGCACAGGTGAGCCAGGCAGGTTGACAGGTTTTTAAACCTCTGTGCAGTGGGCATGGTGTGGATGATGGCAGTAGCAGTGGTGGGATAACCTTTAGGACCCAAGCTGTCTGTGCTGGTGTAGGCAGTGGCTGTGATGGACTGGACAGGCCAATCCCCCAGGCTTGCAGGTGGCACGTGTGGTTAGTTGCCAGCTGTGGTGGTAGAGGCAGGTTGAATAGGTCCAATCTCAGACCCTGGGAGGAGTGCTTAGGTGCCAACAGTGGTGGTCTATGCTAGGTGATCGCCAGGCCCACGGATTGCATGCTTGGTTACTGAGAGGGATGGAGCCAGGTTGTAGGAGCCTGTCCTTAGGCTCCCCACTGGTACGTGCAGGTACTGGCTGTGGTAGGCAGGGGAGAGTGATCCTCAGACTGCCATCAGAATGCTCTGGTGGCAACAGCAGGGCTTGTGCTGTGGCCTTGTTACCGGGAAGGGTGGGGTTGCTGTCAGTGGGAGCATTCATAGGCAGGTGGCTTGCAGGGTCACATACTTTGCTTGTGCCTTGCTCCTGCTGCTGCAGCAGCTATTGCAGGCAGTGGAATTTTTCCTCAGTGCATGAAAATGCACGGGTCCCCCTCTGCTGCAGTGTAGGGAGACAGTTGCTGCCAGTGGCTTTGGTCTTGGACCCTGTGGAGCAGCTATAGGTGGAGAATGTCAATGGGGTCTCCAGGGATGTGGAGATGCAGGGTCTGTTGGGTTCCCGGGCATGACAAAGTCTGGTGGGGGCTGGGCTCTCAAAATGAAGGTACACTGTACCTGCTTAGGTTTGTGGGACTTAGCGTGAGCTCTCTCTGGAATAATGTTGTTGCATGGTTTCTAGGCACCTCTTTATGTTAGACTCAGGGCCTGCAGCACTTGAGGGCTTCTCCCATGGCTAGGATTGTAAGAGTCTGGTGGGACTGTGGACCAGTGGAGGTCTCTCAGCTCTCCGCTGATCCTGGTTGAGCAGGCTGTCTTGCCTCCTCCTCCTTTCTTGCTTTCAGTGCTTCTCGTCACCACCCTGCTGAATTCCAGTGTTCTCTCTTAGGTGATCTATTTGAAGTGTGATTATCTCCTCACTATTTTGTTCCCTTTTCATGGAAGAGGCAAGTACCAAATGCATGTAGTCAGCCATCTTGAAGTTCCTCCCTTTCCTGTTTTTTTGATGAATTGATAATTGAATACTGTCCATGACTCAGACTGTAACAAAGTGAGAACATAGAATCTTACCTATTGTCCTCAGTGCTACAGGTATTATATCCTTATATATGTGGCGTCAGCCTCAGTCCCCAGATCTTTTTGTACCTAATAAGCTAGGAACCGGTAATATCATGGTCAGCAAGAGAGAGAACATCCTTAACCTAATATTTGATCACTTACTCTCTTTGGGAATATTTTTTCAATCTTAGTAGTGATGGTGTTTCTGAAAGTCCAGTAGTTAAAGGTAGAATTGAAAGTGTTTACCATTCAAAAGTACTTCAGTATTTTAGTAAAAACATACATTATAGTAAACAATGATAAATATGATTTTCAGGGAGGAAAAAAAGCATGAGATTCTTTATAATAGCAAAATAGTCTGTTTACTTAGGGTACATAGGTCCGCAACCGTATCACTTCGTCATATTAACATTCCTTCACCAGTAGCTGCAGGGACCCATATAGTCTTAATAATTAAAGTACTTTTAAATTAGTTTTTAAAAATATTAGAACAGATCATGTATGCCTGGTTTAAATACAAAGGAATGATAGAGGGTTTTAAAAGATAAAGCCTTGTTCAAAAAATGAGGTAAATTTATCTGTAGAATTAGTGGACTAGATGTACAGCTTGCAAAGTGAGGGTGAGGCCACAGTGCCAGCATTTGGATATGGAAACAGGGTTGACGTGGTTCTGAATTCATGTCCTTATAAGATCATCAGGGCTGAAAGAGTCACACATGAAACTGGAGACCAAATCTGTGGATACTGAGTAAAACAAGAAACAGGGATAGGTTGTCCCACCTGTTAAAGGAGGTGAACTGCGACTGATTACTGCCAATGTGGTGACATCTAACTCCAAAGGAGACTGACAATATATATTTTTTACTGTGGTTGCCATGTCCCTTACTCAAAATTGGTAGCTCTTAGGAAGAAGAGAAAAGATATTAAAAGTAGACAGCTAATGGTTTCTGCATGTGAAGGTACAAAAATTATAAGACCATTACAAGAGAATTTCAGATTCAGTGGGATATATACAGTATAGTGCTGTGGTTTGAATGTGTACCCCAAAGTTAATGTGTTGGAAAGTTGATGCAGTGGTGTTGGGAGGTGGGGCATAATGGGAGGTGTTTGGGTCTTGGGGACACTACACTCATGAATGAATTAATGCTGTTATTTTAGGAATGGGATCCATGACTCTTCCCCCACTCACCCCCAGATATTTGATGCCTTCCTCCTTGTTGTTATGTAGTAGGAAGGCCTTCACCAGATGCTAGTGTCTTGATCTTGAACTTCCCACCCTTCAGAACTATGAGGAAATAAATTTCTGTCCTTTATAAATCACCCAATCTCAGATATTCTGTTATAGCAGCACAAAATGGACTAAGACAGTAAGAGAGAGGCAGAAGTTAGGTAGAATCACAGAGAAGGGAGTCACTGACTACTCAGAGATATCTAGGCAAATGGTGCAAAGAAAATATGTGAATTGGGTCTTAAAAATACGTAGAAGTTTGCTGAGAGGGGAAGGGCATGCTAGACTGAGGACTGAAACACCGTGTGAAAGGAGCTGAAACTCATAATTTGTAAATGCTAAAAACCACGTGTATGATATTCTGTTGAGGTGCCAGGGATACAAAATGAAACAAGGCTGTTTCCTCTAAGAGCTTGCTCTGAGAGACAATTATTTAAACAACCAATTTCAATGGCAGAATGTCGAGTGCTGTAATAATATAAATGTCCCATGTGCACTTGAGAAGAATATGATTTGTGTTGTTGGATAGTGTTCTCTGATACAGCTAATTGGTTTATAGTATTAAGTCCTCTTTCCTCTTTTGTCTGATTATTCTACCCATTATTGAGAGTCAGGTATTGAAGTTTCCAATGATTACTGTAGAACTGTCTTGTTTCTCCCTTAAATTCTGTTAGTTTTTGCTTTATATATTTTGATGGGCTGTCATTACATGTTAAATGTTTATCATAGTATCTTCTTGCTATATTAAACTTTTTATTAATGTATAGTATCCTTCCTTGTCTCTTACACCTTCTTGTTTTATAGTCTATGTTGTCTGATGTTAATACAGCCCACCTCACTTCTCTTACGGTTCCTATGTGCATGGACTAGCCTTTCCCTCCTTACACGTTTTACCTATTTGTGTCTTTGGATCTAAAGTGAGTCTCTTACGGATAGCATATATTTAGAATTTTTTTTCTATTCATCTTGCCAATCTCTGTCTTTTGATTGGAGAGTTTATTTACATTAGAGTAGTTACTGATTAGGAGAGACTGCTGTTATTTTGCTATTTGTTTTCTTTATGCCTTACAGCTTTCTTGTCACTCATTTGCTGCATTACTGTCTTTTGTGCTGAATTTAATAGAATAATTCCATTCTAATTTCCTTTTGTGTCTATTCAGTAGCTACTTTTTGTAGTTACCATGGGGATTACATTTAACATTCTGAAGATAAAACACTCCAATTTAAATTTATACCAGCTTAACTTCAGTAACATAGAGTAACTTCCTGTACAGCTCCATCCCTACCCCCTTTTGGTTATTTTATGCATTTGTCTCTTATGTAGAAAATAAAATGTGTAGTAACAAACTAAAGTTACAATTATTCTAGCTTTTAGAGTAATGTTTTTGTTGTGTAGTAAAGTTATGTTTAAAAAATTACAAACTGAATAAACCTCAGAGTTACAAACTAAAGTTACAGTAATACTAGCTTTTATACTTGCCCATGCATTTACTTTTACTTTATATAGCTTCAAATTACTGTCTAGCATCCTTTCCTTTCAACCTGTTTGACTCCTCTTAGCATTTATTTATTCCAGTTTTAAATTTAATGTTGTTAATTGACAAATCATAATTTTATACTTTTCTGGGGTACAATGGGATGTTCTGACACATGTATACAATGTGAAATGATTAAATCAAGCTAATTAACATATCCATAACCTTGTTTACATATCATTTTCATAACGAGACATTTAAAATGTACTCTTAGTTATTTTGAAATATATAATACATTAATACTGACTGGAATCACTGTGCTGTGCAATAGGCCTCAAAGCTTATTCCTCCTCTCTGAAACTTGATATCCTTTGACCAACACCTTCCCATCCTGGCTTCTCCCCAGTCTCTGGTAAGCATCATTCTACTCTCTACTTCTATGAGTTCAACTTTTTTAGATTCCACATGTATGTGAGACCATGTCTTTCTGTGCCGGCTTATTTAATTTAGCATAAAGTCCTCTAGGTTCATTTATGTTGTTGCAAATGAAAGAATTTACTTCTTTTTTAAGGCTGAATTTCATTGTGTATATACACCACATTTTTTCTTCATTAATCCATTGATGGACACTTAAGTTGATTCCATATCCTGGCTATTGTGAATAATGCTGCAATGAACATGGGAATATAGATGTCCCTTTGCCATATTGATTTTAGTTCCTTTGGATATATACCCAGAAGTGGGATTGCTGGATCATATGGTAGCTCTAATTTAGTTTTTTGAGGACCCTCCATACTCTTTTTCATAATGGCTGTACTAATTTAATTTACATCCCCACCAGCAATGTACAAATGTTTGCTTTTCTCTGCATCCTCATCAACCTTTTTATTGTTCTTTTTGATAAAAGCCATGCTAACGGATCTTAGTGTTTTAAATTGCATTTCCCTAATGATTAGTGATGCTGAGCATTTTCTTATGTATCTGTTGCCATTTTCATGTCTTTTTTTGAGAAATGTTTGTTCAAGTCTTTTGCCTATTCTAAAACCAGGTTGCTTTCTTGCTACCGAATTGTCTGGAGTTCCTTATATATTTTGGATATTAACCCCTTATCAGTTGTATGGTTTGCAAATATTTTCTCCCATTCTGTGTGCTGTCTCTTCGCTTTGTTAATTGTTTGCTGTGCAGTTGCTTTTTAGTTTGCTCTTTTAGCATTTCTTGCACAGAAGTTCTAGTGGTAATGAATTTCCTTAACTTTTGTTTATTTTGGAAAGTCATAATTTTTCCCTCACTTTTGAAGGAGAGTTTTGCCAGTATAGGATTCTTAGCTGACAGTTTTTTTTTTATTCTCCCCTTTGGTAGTTAATTAGACTATTAGACTATATTAGCCCACTGTGTTTTGGCCTACAGAGCTGCTGATGAGAAATCTGCTTATAATATCATTGAGGATCCCTTATATGTGACAGATTACTCTTACTCCTTTCAAGAGTCTCTGTTTCTTTTTGGATAGATTATAATGTGTCTTGCTGTGCATCTCCTTGTGTTCATGCTACTTGGAGTCTGTTGAGTTTATTGAATATGTATATTTATGTCTTTCATCAAATTTGGGAAGTTTTTAGCTATTATTTTTTCTTTTTTTTTTTTTTTTTTGAGACCGAGTCTCGCTCTGTCACCCAGGCTGGAGTGCAGTGGTGTGATCTTGGCTCACTGCAACCTCTGCCTTCCAGGTTCAAGCAATTCTCCTGCCTCAGCCTCCCACGTAGCTGGAACTACAGGCACATGCCACCACGCCTGGCTGATTTTTGTGTTTTTAGTAGAGATGGGGTTTCGCCACGTTTGGCCAGGCTGGTAGCCATTAGTTTTTCAAATAATCTCTTTGCCCCTCTACTTTTGGCATTCCCACAATGTGTGTGTTCGTTCTCTTGATAGTGTCTGTTTGCCTCTTTTGACTTTTCTTCAGTCTTTTTTTTTTTTTTATGTTGCCCTATCATCACACTTGTTGATTCTTTCTTCTGCCTGCTCAAGTCTTTATTCAAATCCCTGTAGTGAATTTTCCATTTTAGTTATTGCCCTCAGGAGCTCCACAGTTTGTTTTTAGTTTCCTTTGAGATTTTTCCCTCCTCTTTTTTTTTTTTAAGACAGGGTCTCAGTTTGTCACCCAGGTTGGAGTTTGGCTGTGTGATCACGGTTCATGGGCTCACTGCAGCCTCAAACTCCTGGGCTCAAGCAGTCCCCCTGCTTCAGCTTCCTGAGTAGCTGGAACTACTTGCGCTGCTGTGCTTGGCTAATTTTTAAATTTTTTTTGTAGAAGCAGGGTCTTGCTGTTTCCCAAACTGGTCTTGGTCTTGATATCCTGGACTCAAGTGATCCTTCTGCCTCAGCCTCCTAAAATACAAGGATTACAGGTGTGAGCCACTGCACCCAGCCTCCTTTGAGGTTTTCTATCTCTTTACTCATTTTCCTACTTTCTTTCTACATTGTTTTCTTGCCTTTCTCTGTGTCTTCTTTTAGTTCTTTGAACACCTTTAAGGTAGCTTTTTAAAAGTCTTTGTCTATTAGGCCCGTCTTCTGATCTTTCTCTGGGAAGGTTTCTGTTGGTTTATTTTTTTTTCTTTCATATAGGCCATACTTTCCCATTTCTTTGTATCCCTTTTTGTTGTTGAAAACTGGACATTTAAATCTGCTAATGTGATAACTCTGGAAATCAGATTGTCTCCTTTCCTCAGGATTTGCTGGGTTTTTGTGTGTGCTTGTTTTTCTTTTTGTTTTTAGAGTCTTGCTTTGTCACCCAGGCTGGAGTGCAGTGGCATGATCATGGCTCACTGTAGCCTTGACCTCCTGGGCTCAAAGGATCCTCCTTCCTGAGGAGCTGGGACTGCAAGTGTGCACCACTATGCCTGCCTAATGTTTTATTTTTTGTAGAGACAGGGTCTCATTATGTTGCCCAAGCTTGTCTAGAACTCCTAGGCTCAAGCAGTCCTCCCGCTTTGGCCTCTCAAAGTCTTGGAATTACAAGTTTGAGACACTGCACCCAGCCCTTTTTATTTTTTGATTGTTGTAGGCTATCTCAGATCTTTTCTGAGCCTTTGCCTTTTCCTGGACATGCACAGTGATTTTCTTTTGTTTTGTTTTTTGTTTGTTTTGTTTTGTTTTTTTGAGACGGAATCTCACTCTTTCGCCCAGGCTGGAGTGCAGTGGCGCGATCTCGGCCCACTGCAAGCTCCGCCTCCCGGGTTCACGCCATTCTCCTGCCTCAGCCTCCTGAGTAGCTGGGACTACAGGCGCCCGCCACCGCGCCCAACTAATTTTGTGTATTTTTATTAGAGACGGGGTTTCACCGTGTTAGCCAGGATGGTCTCGATCTCCTGACCTTGTGATCCTGGCCTCCCAAAGTGCTGGGATTACAGGCGTGAGCCACCACGCCCAGCCGCACAGTGATTTTCTAAATTCCCCATTTATATGGTTGCTTCTGAATGTCCTAGTCCTTTAATGTCTGGCTTCCAAAAAGGGAGAAAGAGAAAAATGAAGAAATAAAAATAAAAGGCCCTGGTCTTTTAAATCCCCTTTAGCCTGACTGCGGGGAGCAGTGGCCTCTAGCTATTGGGAGGGAGGTGAAACAATAGCTGCCTGCTTCTGTGTCTGTATCTCAGTGATCAGAAAGCGCAATTAGCTGTCAGAGCATAGATACCTGATAGTTGGAGGACAGGTCTTATTGCCCGAAAGCTGTGGAACACATGCGTGTCTGCCTGGAGATTGGGGAATGGGTAGTCACTGCTGAACTAAGAGCTGAAATTGACTAAAAGTAACAGCAGTTTATTTTCAGGCCCTTTCCCTGGAACTTGCAAGCCTTAGAATGTGCTCCAGAGTTCCAAAATACTTAAATAAGACAGATTATACTAGTACAATTGTTGTCTAGGTGGAGAGAAGATTCTTGTTGCTTCCTACTCTGCTTTCTCCCCAGAATCCTCTAATGTTTTTTAAAGGTTTCATTAGAGTTAGAAGAGTTCTTTTTCTCCTTAATTTTGAGGAACTCAAGAATAGTAAGTTCATTATAACTCAAAGAAAATCCATTGGAGACCTTTTATTTAGCTTTTATCTTCAGTTAGCAAACATTTATAGAAGGAATTTGTGTTTCAGATCTTTTTTGCGCCCTAATGTGACAACTAATGTGACAACTTCTGGCTTCCAGCCAGAAGATATTGGGACTTGAAATTGGGAGATCGCTTGCTATGGTTTGAATGTTCTCTCCAAATCTCATGTTGAAATTTGATCCCCATGTTGGAAGTGGGGCCTAATGGGAGGTGTTTGGGTCGTGGGAGTGGATCCCTCATAATATATTACTGCCATCCCTCTTGAGTAAGTGAGTTCTCACTATATTAGTTCCTGTGGGAGCCAGTTGTTAAAAAGAGCCTGACACCTCCCCATTCTCTCTCTTGCTTCATCTCTCGTCATGTGATCTGTGTACATGCTGGCTTCTCTTTGCCATCTTTCATGGGTGGAAGCATACTGAGGTTCTCACCAGATGAAGATGCCCAATCTTGAACTTTCTAGCCATGAGAATTTTGAGCCAAATAAGCCTTTTTTCTTTATAGATTAGCCTCAGGCATTCCTTTGTAGCAACACAGACAGACTAATACGTACCTTAAGGAGGCTTCATCAAGTAGATCACATTACTACTAAGGGGTAGTAGTAGTGAGAATGGAGATACATGGATTCATTTGAGTCCTATTGAGAAGATAAAAGGGACATGATTTGGTCTGTGGGGGGTTGACGTAGTAGCATTAATTAATCCAGACAGCTGGATTTATGGTGGTACTTTTTCTTGAATTATAGGTCACAGAAGCACAAAGTATTGTAGGGAAAGGTGTATGAAGATGTGCCTATGCAATAATATTGTAGAAGTTGCAAAGTTCTTTTATACCCAGGATTTTTAAGTAAGAATGTACGGAGTGTACTGGTTCCCTGTAACTCCAGTAGGTCTTATGGCTTGCATAGGCCAAAATGATAATGGGAGGCATGATAAACTTTAATAGGGCTGTATTAGTCTGCTCTCACGTTGCTATAAATAACTACTTGAGACTGGGTAATTTATAAAGAAAAGAGGTTTAAAAGGTTCACAGTTTCCTCAGGCTGTATAGGAAGCATGGCCAGAGCAGAAGGAAGAGAGTGAAGGTGAAGGTGCCAAACACTTTTGCTTTTGTTTTTTTTTTTTTGAGATGGAGTCTCACTCCGTCATCCAGGCTGGAGTGCAGTGGAGCCATCTTGGCTCACTGCAACCTCCACCTCCCAGGTTCAAGCAATTCTCCTGTCTCAGCCTCCCGAGTAGCTGGGATTACAGGTGTGCATCACCACGCCTGGCTAACTTTTGTATTATTAGTAGAGACAGGGTTTCACCACGTTGGCCATGCTGGTCTCGAACTCCTGAGCCCGGGTGATCTGCCCACCTCGGCCTCCTAAAGTGCTGGGATTACAGGTGTGAGCCACTGGGCCCGGCCTAGCCAAACACTTTTAAACAACCAGGTCTCATGAGAATTCATCATGGAACAACAGCTATCACAGAACAACAAGGGGGGAAATCTGTCCCCATGATCCAGTCACCTCGCAGTCACCTCCAGTCACCTGGAGATTACAATTCGACATGAGATTTGGGTGGATACACAAATCCAAACTGTATCAAGGGCTAAGTGGTAGAGTCCTAAAACCATTTTGTGATTAAAAATGACATAAGCTCATGGAAGGCATGAGGGGGAATTGGAATTAAGTGCAGCAATTAATATGAAAAATTCTCAAATGTTATGATTAGTCATAAGTTAAATACGTCTGATATTTCAGGTTAACACAGGTTTTATGTATGTGAACTCACTCAAGAGGGATGGCAGTAATGTATTCATGAGGTATCCACTCCCACAACCCAAACACCTCCCATTAGGCCCCATTTCCAACATGGGGATCAAATTTCAACATGAGATTTGGAGAGAACCTTCAAGTAAGCATATTCAGGTTTTATGAATATGCTTACTAGAAGAGATGACACAATCTAAACCTTATTAATAATGTAAAGCATGGGGAAATTATAGTCAGTGTTCTCTGTGTTAGTTTGTGTATGTTGTTTTGGAAATATGTATAACTTGGAGTGACACTGAAATATAATAATTAGATTAGAAGGGTAAGGATCAGAATGAGGGTTTAGTGTAATGAAAAACTTAGAAAATAAAACAGTTTGTTTAGTTCAAAAAATTGAAATTGTAATTTTGATACTCAATAAAAGAGACTTTTTTATATTATCCAGTTCAATTCCCTTATTTTGTAGATAAGGAAATGGAGTTTCTGGGAGGTTGGTATGACAGGCCCTGAGTGATCACTAACGGCAGAGCAGTGGCTACAACCCAAGTGTGTGGCTAGGAGGGAAATTAAATATATTATAAGCATATTTTGCTTATAGGGGCAGCCAAACAGGGCTGAAAACTAGGGTAAGATAAACAAGTTGCCTAAGGTGAAATATTGTACATTTGTAATTTATCAAATGTATTCATATGTAATATGTAAACATAGTATAAAATGTGGAGCATTGGTTCAGTTTATGTGAGAACAATGTGGCATGTTCTGTGTCAAGCTTGTCCATCCTATGGGCTGCATGCAGCCCAGGACAGCTTTAAATGTGGCCCAACACAAATTTGTAAACTTTCTTAAAACATTATGAGCTTTTTTTTTTTTTTTGCTTAATCAGCTATCGTTAGTGTATTTTATGTGTGGCCTGAGACAATTCTTCTTCCAGTATGATCCAGGGAAACCAAAAGATTGGACACCTCTGTCCATGTTAAGCCTCATAGATCTTTCTCAGGCCTGGCCTGGTTCCTATTCTCATTTTTTCCTTGAATCAGATCTCAGAGACTATATTTTACTTTGCATCTTTAAAGTTGTTTTAACCTTCACAATCCTTTGGGGGTTTTTCTCCAGCTTTTGAAAAATTGGAGAATCTAGACCATCTTCCTAGTGCCCTCCACCTTATAGCCCATGTAACCAAATATGAAAGCAATTTAGAGATAATAGTAAAAGGGAAATAAAGGATAGTTCATATCTTACACTTTTCCTGTCATGCCTCTGGTTTCTAGTTTGTGACTCCCATTTTACTTTTGAGGGTCAAGTTACCTAGGTCAGTTCTCTCTCCTTAGGTAAAGGTCACGTTTCTTTATTTATAACAGTTCTTTCCCACAGCACTTACGAGTTAGAGGTGGTTTAGGTTGAGTAAAATCTCTGCTTCCATGTCTCAGGAAGATAATTCCCAGAACCTTCGCAATGGATGACAAATACATCAGTAAGCTCTCACCAAATATTAGTGCTTCCCTTTTTGGCATCACCCTTTGTGAGGAGAATAAGACCAGAATCCATAGTCTCTATCTTACAACCAGTGGGTGTAAATTTCTTGTGTTGCTTCTCTGGATCTGTCCTGTTTTATACCTGACACCTGGCCTGTCCCCAGGATCATTATTCTTTTTGTTCTTTACACCCTTAGAGTTCAAGGCAGGCCGTTTGTTTTTATATTACATTTAAAAATAAATTGTTTATGTGGAGCATTCTGGGAGCTTAGAGTTTGTAAAGTGAAAAGATGGGTGGTTTTATTGATCCAGCAAGAGTTGGCTAAATGTATAGCTAGGTTTCTTCTGATATTCTTTATAGATACATATCTAAATAATATATACATATTATCTCTTAGTTCATTTCTATTAAGATAAATGAAGATACAGTCAGCCCTCCACATCTCTGGGTTCTGCATCCACAGATTCAACCAACCACAGGTAAAAAATATTCTGGAAAAAAAAATACACTAATTAAAATATACAAACAAAAAACCCAATACAGTGAAACAACTATTCACATTTTATTATATTAGGTATTACAAGTAATCTAGAGATGACTTAACGTATACAGGAGGTTGTGCATAGGTTATGTACAAGTACTAGGCCATTTTCATATAAGAGACTTGAGCATCTCTGGATTTTGGTATTGGGGAGGAGGAAACTGGCACTGATTTCCCTTAGATTAACCTTATCCAACCTGTGGCCTGCGGGCTGCATGCAGCCCAGGATGGCTTTGAATGCAGCCCAACACAAATTCACAAACGTTCTTAAAACATGATGAGATTTTTTGGTGATTATTTTAAGCTCATCAGCTATCGTTAGTTTAGTGTATTTTATGTGTGGCCCAAGACAATTCTTCCATTGTGGCCCAGGAAAGCCAAAAGATTGGACACTCCTGCCTTAGATACTGAGGGCCAACTGTATTCATTCATGTAACCTTTCTTGGCCTCATTGTCTTGATAAAGTGATATATATTCAGTGTTTTCACTAATGACCGTGTAACCATGTGAGTATTGTTCATTACTGGCTCACCTCCTATGATTAAATTTATTTTCTTGTTTAACTTAGTTTTTCTTGAAATTTATAAAGTTCTCATTAAATAAATGATGGTTCGTCCGTACAATGGACTACTCAGCACTAAAAAGGAGTGAACTACTGATTTACACAACACAAATGAAACAAATGCATTATGTTAACTGGAAAAGCCAGACTCAGCGTCTGCATAAAACATTCTGGAAAAGGCAAAACTACATAGGGACAGAAAATAGATCAATAGTTGTCACAAATTAATGGTTGGGGATGGGTTTGAATACAAAGCATAAAGCAATTTTTTTTTTTCTTGAGGGGGAGTGATAGAACTGTTCTTATTTTCTTATTTAGATTGTGGCAGTGATTACATAACTCTTAAATGTTTGTCAAATTTTATTCACAACAAACAGTGAAAATCTTACTGTATGTAAAATAAACAGCAAAAAAATATATGGCCCTATTTTTATCCATCTATTATGTATCATTCCTCAATATATATTGACAGTTTTGTAGATCTTACAAATACTGACAATGTAATTGAATTTCATGTAGCCTCTGGAATCTCTAGTGAAAAGGGAAATTAACATCCTAGTATTATGAAAATAGTTTTGGCTCCGTAGACCCCTTAAGAGATCCACTTTAGTAACCCTTTCTTAGAGAACTGCTAATGTAAATACATGAATAATGCTAGACAAAACACCTGAAAACATGTTCTTTCCCAAACTACTTTTATAAATTCTATAGGTATAGCTATATATTAATGACACAAAGTTTGTCAAATCATTTAATCAGTCATATTGTGTATAATTTGTAAACTGAGGAAGGGTACTGTTGGCTGTGTATATAGGTCATGATAAATATGACCTTTTTTGGCAAGTCAGTAGTTATACCCTAAGGAAAATGTAAGGAACCAGCTAGCAATAAAATAAAATTCTAAAGGGAAATCTCTTGTTCAGTTTTAGATTCTGTTGTACTTTAACACATAACTTGACAATTTCCTGCTTCTGATAAGAATCAGCTAAGTAACAATACCCAAGTGACTAAGTCCGGAAGTTTGGTTGGGGTACAGATCTCACAGTAAACAATGAAGGGGGAGAAAGTCCCCAATTAACTAACTTGGATATGCTGTAAGTAATGCAAAAAGACAAGGCAATTCATAAGATGATTTTATTCTCTTCAGCTTTTTAAACCCTAGTATCTCATCAAGTAATTTTAATTGGTAAATACTCTTACTAATGAAACAACTAATGAAACAGATCCCACCACTGGGAAAACAAAAAATTACAGGCTAGTCAGAAATAAAGGCTACTTAAAAATTAAGTTTTTCTTCTTTTTTTTTAAAAAATAGTGTAGGTCAAATAAAATTCCATCTAATTCTGTCCACTTTTGGAAATATCACTTTGAAATCATCCCCAATATGAGAAGGCACAAAATAATGACAAAGGCAAAAGTGCTGTGCATAGCACAATTCATTCACTTATTCACTCAACAAATGTTTATTGAGTAGTTAGTGGAGACTAGGAGACAGAGCAAAGGAATGAGAATAAAGAAAGATAAGCAAAAAGTTTGCTCTTAAAAAAACCTCAACTATAATTCTGTTTCTTTGACAAACTTATAAATATCTTAGGTATATAAGACATTACTGTCTATATGATTATTTTGTTAGGCATTACAGAATATTACTTATTACCCCTCTGAACTATAATAAACTGATCCAAGATCAGTATCATCATCCTATAATCTGAAGATTATTACATTTTATCTAAAGAAAGAAGCCATTATGTGACTACAAACGTAAGAGCAATAATCTTGCTAAATTATGAGCAATTAGATATAAACCACCAATTATGAAAACGTGTAACATAATGAATTTATTGTCATAATTAACACAGCAAACATGTAAGTACATTAATTGATCTAAGTCTTATATACTATATGGGAATTAAACATAAATGGCCTTATAGTTGATTGTAATCATATTTTTAAATTTCTAAAAAATTGTGGTAAAAACAAATGTTATGAACTGAATTTTGTCCCTTCAAAAATTCACACATTGAAGTCCTAACCCCCAGTAGTTCATAATGTGACTATATTTGGATATAGTGTCTTTAAAGAGGTAACTGAGGTAAAATGAGGTCGTTAAGATGGACCTTAATCCCTTATGACTCCTCTTCCTGGTTCACCTGGCTAGAAATATTGGCATTAAGTACATTCACATTGTTGTACAACCATCTATTTCCAGAATAATCTTCATCTTGCAAAACTTAAACTCTGTACCCATTAAACAGTAACTCCCCTGTATATAGATAGCCAAACTACCAGTCATGTATGAGAGAACAAAATCACTTTCAGATATGCATTCTAAAAAATTTAATTCCAATATATTTTTAACTCAGGAAACAACTAGAGGACGTGCTCCAGCAAAATGAAGGGTAAAGCAAGAAAAAGTAAGACATAGGATCTAGGAAGCGGAGGAACTGTGGGCAGTAGTTCCAATATTGGTTTCATTTTCTAAACTTTTGCTGTGGTATTTGCATCTTTGCTTTATGCAGGGATGTGTGGGGCTTGAGTGGTGTTTATATTGTACTTCATTTCTTAGTGCCTTTGTGATGCTTCTTTGGATATTCTATGCATGTCCAATTTGGGAGAGCCCAGTACTTGTGTTGGTCCATAACTAGAATTATAGATGTCGAAGATAAACTGGACACTAGTTAAAATGGTAAGGACAGATTTTATTCAGTAACTATTGCAGTAGGGAAGAGTGTCCAGTGTGAACTCAACTCACTTTTGCCAAAACAAAAGGGGAAGAGACTTTTTTAAAGGTTGAGTATGCTAAGGGAAAGACACTGCTAAGGGAAAGAAAGATGGTTTTTTTGTTTTGTTTTGAGACGGAGTCTGTCTCTGTCACCAGGCTGGAGTGCAGTGGCGTGATCTCAGCTCACTGCAGTCTCCGCCTCCCAGACTCAAGCAATTCCCCTGCCTCAGTCTCCTGAGTAGCTGGGACTACAGGCACGCACCACCACGCCCAGCTAATTTTATTGTATTTTAGTAGAGACGGGGTTTCACCATGTTGGCCAGGATGGTCTTAGTTTCCTGACCTCGTGATCTGCCTGCCTCGGCCTCCCAAAGTGCTGGGATTACAGGCGTGAGCCACCGCGCCCGGCCACTGAGTGGTTTTTAAGGGCAATAGGTGGTCCATGTGAGTAGGCCATCTGGGTTTGTTATTGGCATTTATCTGGAAGAGAAACAAACTTATTATTTATGACAGGAGGTGGTGGTACAAATTAGGCCCACCAATGTTTGGCCCTTACCCTCTCGCCAGGGACTGGGAACAAAAGTGAAAGTTATCTTTTTGATTGTTTGCATTCCAAAGAGGTAGTTCTCAGGTCCTTGGGAAGATAGTTCTTGATGGTAGAAGATTTAAGTCACAAAGGGACAGAGAAAGGATTTATAATTTCAAGCTTTCTAAGGTAACTGCTCTAAATGGGGGTTCAGGTGACCATCTGCCTATCACCAGGTTTTGGCTGGAACAAACGGTAAATTCTGGCCATGTGGAGCCTTTTCAGGTAAGGAACTTGATGGAGTTGGAGTCATTATTCTAGGATATGGGGAAAAGATATGAACAAGCACTTTACACAGAAAAACAAATGTAAATGTCCCTTAAATATGGGAAAAGAAATCACTGTAATAAGAGAAATACAAATTACAACTCTGAAATACTATTTCTCCCCTATTAGATTGGCAAAAATCCAAAAGATTGACAACATAGTTTGTTGGCAAGGCTGTGGGGAAATAATCACTGATATATTGTTAGGAGTTTTTAAAAATAGTTTATGAATACAGAATTTAGCAGTATCTCACAAAATTATACAAACTTTAGCTGTAACTCAGCATTCTTCTATGATTCTAACCCAAAGGTACACTAACAGAAAATCAAAATGACACATGTATGAGGCTGTTCATTGCAGCACTATTTAATCCCAGAAAATTACAAACAACCCATTGACCATCAGTAAGGTCTAGTTGAAGAAAGTGCTACTTACATAATGATGACGCACTCTGCAATTGTTAGAAGTAGTAGATGTATTAGTAAAGGAAGTCTCATGTGCTGCTGTGGAATGATCTTAAGGATAGATTGTTAAACTGAAAATGAAAAGATTCAGGCAATATAGTCTATGCCTATGTGTATGTGTGTGTGTGTGTGCGCGCCTGTGTGCATGTGTGTGTGTATGTTTTGTTGTGGGGGTAGATAAAAATTAGAATTTTCAATTTTCTTATATATTTTTCTTGAATACTTTCCTTAAATTATTTAAAAAAAAATAGAAACATAAACCAAAACAAATAAATAGCTGTCCAGGCCGGGCGCGGTGGCTCACGCCTGTAATCCCAGCACTTTGGGAGGCCGAGGCAGGCGGATCACGAGGTCAGGAGATCGAAACCATCCTGGCTAACACAGTGAAACCCCGTCTCCACTAAAAATACAAAAAAATTAGCCGGGCATGGTGGCGGGCACCTGTAGTCCCGGCTACTCGGAGGCTGAGGCAGGAGAATGCCATGAACCTGGGAGGCGGAGGTTGCAGTGAGCCAGGGTCGCTCCACTGCACTCCAGCCTGGGTGACAGTGCAGTGCGAGACTCCGTCTCAAATAAATAAATAAATAAATAAATAAATAAATAAATGGCTGTCCAGTGGGGTGGATGGGAGAGGGGAGAGAAAAGAGAAGGTATGGAAGAAGACCTCTCTAAATGTTTTAAATATGTTTGATATTTAAGCATATTTAATGTTTAAACATTCATATAAACAATATTAAACATAATGTTCAAACATGTTTGATATTTAAACATCTACCTTGCTTGATAGTTTAGCTTTTAGAACCATCCAAATGTTTTACATAATTATGAAACAATTACATTTTAAAAAGGGAAAATAAAGTGATCTTCAAAAAATGAAAACAAGTGAGCCTAACTCTACGTCCAGTTGGTGTCATAACCACACAGAAGTATATATTCTACCTTTTCTGTAAGGTTTTATGTTTTAGGGTAATAGAACAATAAGCAAAATTTTCCTTTGAGAATAATCACAGTTTCTGAAAGCAGGTAGAGCTAGCACATCATCATTATTGAAATAGTTGATCTAGGCAGTGATCATCAGTGGCAGGTAAAACCATTGGGTAGAGGTTTGATGGGGGAACTTTATAATAATGGATAAATCAGTTCAGTGCTACAAATCTACCATTCAGTCTTAACATCACAGAAAATGGTTCAGGCAGACATAATGTGCCTCCTAATAAATGGCAATAACAAGTACACAAGAATACTTAACGAATTATTCTTGCAACAATGACAAAACAACCTAGAAAAAGTAAAGCCTCTAGAAATAATTACCAGTTTATAGGAGATAGGGGGGATAGAGGAACACCATGAAAATATACACTAGCCAAATTCACGATGTGGGAAATGCTACAGGACAAGTGAAGCCAGCTTCTTAAATAAATGACATAGAGTGGGGAAAGAGAACAGTGTCAGAGACTTAAAACATGTTAGCTTAAGTGCAATATATCGACTTAGTTTGGATCCCAGTTCACACCAACTGTAAGAATGTTTAAAAAAATACACTTAGCAAAAATTGAATATTAGCATTAGATGAAATAAGTGTTGCAGGAGTTCTTAATAAAGGAACACCTTTTCAAAATGAGCTTTTGAAAATATACTGATAATTTAATTTTAGTATAATTGACTTGTTTGCAATCTTATATATTTTTATGCATCAGAAACATTGTGAGTAGAGGTTCTATGTTTCACCACACTGCCATTAGGCAGGAGGAGGGGAGGTCCATGGCTTAACCCATTTGTGCCTAGTGTTCCATTATTGGAACGCTAAGCTTGTGAGAGTTATTTATATCATGCTCAAGGTCGTCACCAAGGTCTGATTTTTCACACAAGAAATTGCAACCTCCGGCATATATGGGTTAAAAAAGGGAAAAGGTCAGGAGCCCTTGATTTGTTCATTTTTGAGGGGTATGGGTTTTTAATCTGTTAGTGCTTAATGAAATCATGGGATTCCAGTTCCCCCACCAAAAATTAGGGGGATAGCTGAACCACAAGGCATAATATTGATAAAATTGGGTGATAGGTATAGGATTCATTATACTATTCTCTTCTGTAAATGTTGAAAAGTGCCATAATTATAAAACTTAAAAGCATTATATAAATTTTTAGTTATTATACCAGTAATGTAGTAGAATGCTATTTTTGTACATTCTGGGGAGGACTAGATAATATTGGTAATACTTTTGTCACCCTGATAGGTAAAGTGTGGTATTTCAGTTTAGTTTTCATTTCTTTAATTATAAAGATATTCAGGATCTTTTGAATACTTTTTGACTATTTGTGTTTTCTCTTTCAGTTTTTATTTTAATTAAACTTTTTATTTTGAGATCATTATAGATCCACATGCAATTCTGAGAAACTTTAGAACTTATTGCGAGATCCAGTGTATGCTTTCCTCCAGTGGCAATACATCTGGCAGAAGTATAGTACAATATCACAATAATATTACAAAATTTCTTCATATTGCCCTTTTATAGTCATACTTACTTCCCTCCTGTTCCTGCTGCCCCGTTAACCCTGGCAACTACTAATCTGTTTCTAATTTCCATATTTTGTCATTTTGAGAGTGTTATATAAATGGAGTCATATAGTTAACCTTTGAGATTGGCTTTTTTCACTGAGCAGTTATAATTCCCTGGAGATTCATCCAGGTCGTTTTGTGCATCAATTGTTCTTTTTGGTATGAACGTACCAGTTTGTTTAATTATTTGCCTGTTGAAGGACATCTGGGTGGTTTCCGGTTTTTGACTGTTAGAAATAAAGTTGCTGTTAACATTCATGTAAAATGTGAACATAAATTTTCATTTCTCTGGGATAAATACCCAGGGGTGCAGTTGCTAGCTTGTATGGTAGTTGCATGTTTAGTTTTATGAGAAACTGTCAGACAATTTTGCGGAGTATCTGTACCATTTTACATTCTCATCAGCAGTATACGTGTGATCCAATTTCAACTTACCCTTGTCAGCATTTGGTATTACCACTCTTAGCCATTCTGACAAGCGTATGTAGTGACATCTCAGTGTGGTTTTAATTTGCATTTCTTTAATAGCTAATGATGAATACCTTTTCATCTGCTTATTTGCCATCTGTAAATCTTCAGTGAATGCCTCTTCATGTTTTTTTGCTCATTTTCTAGTTGGATTTGTTTTTCTAATGTTTCTTTAACTTTTCTAACTGCTTAAGATAGATACTCAGTTCATTAATTTATTTTTAGCTCTTTTTAAAATTTTATTTTAAATTTTATTATTATTATTATTATTATTTTTTGATACAGAGTCTCGCTCTGCGGCCCAGGCTGGAGTGCAGTGGCGCGATCTCGGCTCACTGCAAGCCCCGCCTCCCGGGTTCAAGCCATTCTCCTGCCTCAGCGTCCCAAGTAGCTGGGACTACAGGCACCCGCCACCACGCCTGTCTAATTTTTTTGTATTTTTAGTAGAGACAGGGTTTTACCGTGTTAGCCAGGATGGTCTCGATCTCCTGAACTTGTGATTCACCCGCCTCAGCCTCCTGAAGTGCTGGGATTACAGGCATGAGCCACCGCGCCCGGCCACTCTTTTTGTTTTTTAATGTTACTATTTAAAACTAAAAATCTGTCTATATACACTCCTCTTGCTACATCCCACAGAGTTCGATGTATAGTTTTTAAAATTATTTACTTCTAAGTATTTTCAAAATTCAATATGATTTCTTCTTAGATTCATTAGTTTTTAGAAGTTTCCAAACGTGGTATTTCAAAAGTTATCTTTTTGTTATGGTTGTTGGAGAATATGGTTGTAGGATATCAGTTACGTGAACATTGAGACATTCTTTATGGCCTGGCATTTGATTGCTTTTTGTATGTGTTTCATTTGTTTTCTATTTGGAAGCAATATTCTGTATATGTCTATTAAATCAGACTTGCTGGTTGTGATATGAGTTCTTCTCTAGCCTTAATAATGTTTGTATTTATTTATTTATTTTTTTGAGACCAAGTCTGGCTGTGTCACCCAGGCCTGGAGTGCAGTGGCACGATCTTGGCTAACTGCAACCTCCGCCTCCCAGGTTCAAGGGATTCTCCTGCCTCAGCCTCCTGAGTAGCTGGGATTCCAAGTGTGCGCCACCATACCTAGCTAATTTTTGTATTTTTAGTAGAGATGGGGTTTCACCATGTTGGCCAGGCTGGTCTTGCATTCCTGACCTCAGGTGATCCACCAGCCTCGGCCTCCCGAAGTGCTGGGATTACAGGTGTGTGCCACCAGGCCTGGCCGTTTTTATTTCTTTGTTTTGTTACTCTGATAATATGTTAAAAATTGTCCTCTGTGGTAATGGGTTTGTCAAGATCTCCTTGTGGTTCTGTCAACATATTTTGAAACTATCTTGTTACTAGGTACATAGAAGTTTAGATATTGTAATTGAGTAGAACATTTTTCATTGGGTAGTGAACTTTATTGCTAGTAATGGTTTTTGCCCTTTAAGTTTTGTTTGATACTAATAGAGCAACACCAGTCTCTTTATTGATTGGTTGATTGATTGATTGAGACAGATTCTCCCTCTGTCGCCAGGCTGGAGTGCAGTGGTGCGATATCGGCTCACTGCAACCTTCGCCTCCCAGGTTCAAGCTATTCCCATGCCTCAGCCTCCTGAGTAGCTGGGACTACGGGTGTGCACCATCACGCCCAGCTAATTTTTGTATTTTAGTACAGATGGGGTTTCACCATGTTGGCCAAGCTGGTCTCGAACTCAACCTCAAGTGATCTGCCTGCCTTGGCCTCCCAAAGTGCTGGGATTACAGGCATGAGCCACTGCGCACGGCCATACAGTCACAGTCTCTTTAAATTACTATTTGCCTCATGTATTTTTTTCCATATTTTTTACTTTTCATCTTTATGTCTTTAGATTTTTAGGTGTGTCTCTTTTGAAAAGCATGTGAACTAATACTACCTCAACCTTACATAAAAATATTTTCCATGTGTTTACAGTGCTGAAGCTGCTGAAAGATGGCAGAAGAAGTGGTGGTAGTAGCCAAATTTGATTATGTGGCCCAACAAGAACAAGAGTTGGACATCAAGAAGAATGAGAGATTATGGCTTCTGGATGATTCTAAGTCCTGGTGGCGAGTTCGAAATTCCATGAATAAAACAGGTTTTGTGCCTTCTAACTATGTGGAAAGGAAAAACAGTGCTCGGAAAGCATCTATTGTGAAAAACCTAAAGGATACCTTAGGTAAGATATTTTTTAAAAGAAAAGCAACTTTGTTTTAAATGAAACCTGCAACTTAGTTCTTTGTACATAATTCTGGCAGCAGTGTGCATAATTGACTTGAAAAGGCAAGGGCTAGGTAAGTTTGAGTCATAGCAGGTGGTCAACCCAGAAGACCAGTGAAGGTCATAAGTGTTAACATGCAGTTTCTGTAAATCTAGGCCCATGCTCCAAGTCAAGGCAGAGTGATACCAATGAGTAGAACTAACTCTCACCTTCTAGCAGGGGCTTTTTGAACCATGAATCACTGTTGGAGTTTAGACTTATAGGCAGAATTGCCTCTTTGGCACCAAGGCAACTTATGTACATGGCACATAATGAATTTTAACATCTAATGACCTTATGTTTTGAACTTCACTTAAAACCCTCCATTTTGTTTTTCTATTTGATAAGAGAACTGTGGATCATTACTGTACATTAGCACCTACAGAGCTCTTTTCTATTTTGTTTCTCTTTTTCCCTTTATTTCTCCAAAGTTTTTGTTTTTTATTTTTACTGGCCCTCCATTAGGGCCTGAGACAGTGGAGCCCACTTCACACTGGACTTGGCTAAGCTGATAGGAAGGAAATATGCATGGGCAAGGAATGGCCTCTTCTTTAAAAAAAAAAAAAAAAAAAAAAAATTAAACTCTCCTTAGCTGACAGGAAGGAATTGGGAGGGACAGAATTTCATTTTTGGTGTTCAGGCAAACATGCTATTTGCGTAATTGTTCTTTGTCTAGGTGTAGAAGAAAAGTACAATTTCTCCTTGTGCAGACAGTTTGGGAGCAATATAGCATGACTGACAAATATGAAATACTGTTGACTCACTACTTTACATTAGTTTTTATTTATTTATTTTTTATGGTTTTGTAGAGATGGAGTCTTGCTCTGTTGTCCAGGCCAAACTTGAACTCCTGGGCTCAAGCAACCCTCCCACCTCAGCTTCCTGAGTAGCTGGGACTACAGATGCTTACTACCATACCCAGCTTAGTTTTTATTCTTATTCAACATTATTGTTATTCTAGAATGTTCTTCTAATTATCAATAAAATACAAATATTTAATGTTTTTAACCATTGTAAAACTGCAAAAACTAAAATATAGTACAATTTGGAGTAAGATATAAAGTAGTGGATTATCAGTTTCTGAGATAAAAATATTTCCAGTGTTCTAAAGGTAATTAAGTAGATATAATGTGATGTTTAACTGCTGAGGTAACTTTTTAAATACTTTTGGGTTTTGTGATTAAGACCATTATTTTTAGTTTTTCAATGGAAGACAAATCAGAAAGAGATTTTCCTTCAGTAGCAGAAGAGACCAGGGTTAGAATCAGCAATACTGGTTTTGTAAATACTGGAATTTATTTAAAGCATGATGATTAGAGATATTGGGAGAAATTAAGGTAATTTCTGTCAAGAAAGTATGCCTCATAGTGATACGTGCACAGGGTACTAAGACATACCCAGTTAGACTTTTTTGTTCCATTTTAAGAGGACACTGGTATCTTGGGATTAGAGTGAATGTGACAGTAATTAACAAAATATAGTGAAAAAACTATTATCATAGAGCAAAGGGGGGAAGTAGTCCAGTATTAGGTATTACTGTATGTAAATCTAAAATCCCATTTAAATATAATTTTTATTTGTTAATACTCCAGGATGCATTCCGTACTACAGTATTCTGATGTTATTGAGACAGTTTTATCAAGATTTTATCTCTATTTAAGTCTTAGGAAATCTCTGTTAACTTTATTACTGTATTACAGTTATTGCTACCTTTATTCCAGGGTGCTTGGAAACATTGTTTTGAGTTAGTGATCTGTAGTTAACCTGTAAAGAGATATAAGTCCAGCTTTTACATTAGATAAACTTTTCCCTTTTCTCATAATTTCTGTATCCCTTTTTGGTAACTTAAATATCCGGTGTAATTAATGGATTTGTTTCGCAATGGTTGTGCTGGTGGAGACATTGTTTGAAAGTTGAGAAGGAAAAGGGGAAAACAAAAGGATTAATTCATGAATATATTTTAACTATAAAAAATATATATGCTTTAAAGCATCTTCCAAAATAAGTCTGAATAATAAGGTCATATTTTTGGCCATGATTATTTACTTGTTATACAGGCTGTGTTATAATTTAGAGGAAAAAAAAGTTTTGGAAAGAGAAGCCTCAGAAAAATTTTCTATTGCCTGGGTGTGGGCCAGGTCACATGGATTGGGTGTGGGAAGTTTCAGTGTTGCAGAACAGACGAGGAAGCTCACTGAGAATTATCCTGAGCTGTGTTAACAAACTGACAGAACACAGAATTTTTACTCAAAATGGATTGGTTAAACGTCTTTAAAGATTTTTTCAGTAAGTTAATCTGTTTATTAAATCCACTGTTTTCTTGAAGTTGTGAATTAGATTTTCTGCTTTTGTAAATTTAAAGGAAAACTCTTATTTGGTGGGTTTATGTAAGCTACTACATTATGTGTATGTAATATAAACCAAATGATTGGTGATATATCCAAAAATTGTAGTTTCGACTTGGTAAGTAAAATAATTTTAAAATGTTTTAGCATGAATGTTTAACAAGTAGAGAAAGGATATAAATGGTTTGAGTTTGATGCAGTTCTAATTCAGTAATTTTCAACTTAGCACAGACATTTGAAGTGAATTAAATAAATTGTAAACATTAAAAACATTAGATAAAAAGGATTAGGTGAACAAATTTCTTCATCCTCAACTTTGGAATTAACTTTTTTTTTTTTAACTACTTTTTGCTTACTTTTTTTTTAGCGGAACAGTGTAAAGATAATCTTTAATAAAAACACTAGTAAAGAGAATATTTTTATTTAATTAATGTAGTATTGCTAGAAATTGATGTTTTGATTAATGTGAGATTTGATATTTTGATATGAGTTATGAGAACAGCTATACAACCAAGAGGAAAATAGTGAATTCTTGACTGTTATTGAGTTTGGGTCATGAAGTAAAACTAATAATAATTTATAAGAGCCTAATTCTGCTGATTCTGCTAGTGGCCTCCTTATGATCTTATAGTGAACTTAATTTGATCTCCTTGAACATTTGCTTGGTGTTTCTAGAAAAATGAACAGAGGAATTATTATAGAAGTCTCTTATGCACAACAAGCCTAAGGAAACAAAGAGTAACCTGACAAGAGATTCCAGAGAAAAGGGCAAAAGAGAAAAGGAATAAGCACTTTGTTGAAAAAGAATGTTGTAATTGTAATGTGAAGACTCATTTGTTAGCTTTAGTGACTCCCTCTGGAATATGTCTCTTCTGTTTACTTTTTGGGGAGTTACTAAAATTTCAGATCTTTGCATTTTTCATTTTTTGGGTAAGTTTTACCTTTGAAGAACTTACTTATTTGCTCATTCATTTGTTTATCAACACATTCTTATTGAGAGCCTACTCCAAGCCAGGCAGAAATCATAGGGTGAAAAACTAATACTAACTCTAGCAAATCTTACATTCTGGTGGAGAGGTATATGATGATTGTTATTAATAATACAGTGGATTTCATATCTAGATTTAGTCATAAGTGATGTTGACCATAAAGCAACCAGAAATGACATAAAAAGAATCCATTGTGGCTAGGCGTGGCAGCTCAAGCCTGTAATCTCAGCACTTTGGGAGGCCGAAGTGGGTGGATCACTTGAGGTCAGGAGTTTGAGACCAGCCTGGTCAACATGGTGAAACACTGTCTCTACTAAAAATGCAAACATTAGCTGGGCGTGGTGGCGGGTGCCTGTAATCCCAGCTACTTGGGAAGCTGAGGCAGGAGAATCACTTGAAACCAGAGGTAGAGGCTGCAGTGAGCCAAGATTGTGCCACTGCATGCCAGCCTGGGCAACAGAGCGAGACTCCATCTCAAAAAAAAAAAAAAAAAAAGAATCCATTGTATCATTGATACAGTGATTCAATATATATCATCAATACAGTGGTAAAATTATTCTTTTTGCTGAGTCTTAGGAAGTTGATAGTTAATGCATTTGCAGACTGGGAGTCAGGATTTGAAATTTGTAACCAAAATGTTTCTTTGCTCAATCCCTGCAGCAACCCCAAATTTTTATTTATTTTGCCAGGCAGTTTGTCAGAGTAGAGACAGGCTATTCATCTACTTCCTACCTGAATGGGCTTATAAAGTAGAAGAAACAGAGTATTATGTGCTTTTTGTGTGGCAGCCAGAGTATCTTTGAAAACAAAAATTGTACAATGTTTTAAATAAAACAATAAAAAATAATTTATTTCATGTAGATGAAGTGAACAGATGGACATATAAAAATTTAAATAAAAACCTGTAATGGAAGGAATACCATATATTTATATGTGGTATTTCTTAGTTCTGTTCCCAGACATATCACTTACAAGCCATGTGGCCTGCAAAATATAACTGAACTTCTCTGATTTTCTGTTCCTTGTAAAAGAGAGAGTTGGGCAAGACTAAATGATCCTGGAAAGTCCCTTCTAACTCTAAAAGTCTTACATCCTGGTAAACAACTAAGCAGTCTTAGGTGTGTCATAGGAATTGAGCGAAAGCAATGAGTGAGAAATTGGTTTTGAAGAAGTAGAAACATGGGAACAGAATTGTAGTTGACTAAGGAATTAGAAGAAACAGAAAAACTTTCTTTGGCCCCATTCTCAACACTTACTCAGTGATACAGGTGAAGGAAAAACAACATGCTTAAACTAAAGAATACTGAAATCACTAATAAGTACACTGGGTTCAGAAATATATTTGGAAACTAAAATCAAGATAGAAATAAACAAGATGAATAGGAACAGACAGTATTGTAAAACTCTACATTAAAATTTTAAAAGGAATTGTATAGATTGGTGAGAACCTAGCCTGGCAGCAGCTTACATGAGTAAAAAACTTAGTAAGAGCTGCTGTGGTAATGTAGGTACTAAAACTCTCAACACAGTCCATGGTGACATTGATTCGAGTCTGAGAGGTGCTTAGGTGGAGGTATGCTCCCTTATGTGTGTGTTGGCCAAATAAAACATGATGTAATTAATCCACTTTTGATAGATATTCTTTAACAATGGTATTGAGAAACTTGGATGCTTCCAAATGCTGGCATCCAGTATATCAAGGATTTGCAAACCAGGTCACATAAGGAATAGTTATGGGTACAAAGACTTGCCTCAGGGAGCACAGCTGTCATATGAAGAAGGAATGTTCACAGTGCTTAACCAGGTTCTTAAGAATTCTTGTGGAGTTTATAATGCATTGTTCTGGTTAAGAAACAGTGCTATAGGAAAAGAGAAGTAAAGACCAGTGGGTGGTAGTGAGGGAAAGATCAGAAATTATCTTTACACTTTTTTTTTTTAATTTAAGCAAAGCTAACAATAAAAAACTGCCTCAGAATGGTACACTTCCTCAGTGCTTAGATCTGAGCAGTTTCCTTCCAACTACAGCCAGGTCCAGCTATATAATGCAAGAATAAAGATTTAAGTAATCTTTTTTTTTTTCTTGAGACAGTCTTGCTCTGCCACCCAGGCTGGAGTGCACTGGTGCCATCTCAGCTCACTGCCACTTCTGTCTCTCAAGTTCAAACGATTCTCGTCCCTCAGCCTCCCAAGCAGCTGGGACTACAGGTGCATGCCACCACACCTGGCTAATTTTTTTTGTATTTTTAGTAGAGATGGGGTTTCCCCATGTTGGCCAGGCATGTCTCGAACTCCTGGCCTCAAGTTATCTGCCTGCCTCAGCCTCCCAAAGTGCTGGGATTACATGCCTGAGCCACCTTGCCCGGCCAAGTTTAAGTAATTTTGAAAATTAAACACCATAAGCACTAGAAGGTAGGAAAATAGTAACCACCATTGATGGAGTTCCTGCTATGTACTGTAAGTGCTTTACACATAGACTTCTAAAAATTTTTTACAAGCATTTTATGAATTTATTTTTTTACACACCACCATTGTACAAACAAGGATACTGGAGGTTTTTTTTTTTAACTTTTAGGGTTGGGGGTACATGTGAAGGTTTGTTACATAGGTAAATACATGTCATGGGGGTTTGCTGTTCATATTATTTCTTTCTTTCTTTTTTCTGAGACCAAGTCTCACTCTGTTGCCCAGGTTGGAGTGCAGTGGTGTGATCTCGGCTCACTGCAACCTCTGCCTTCCAGGTTCAAGTGATTCTCCTGCCTCAGCCTCCCGAGTAGCTGGGATTACAGGTGCCTGCCACCACGCCTGGCTAATTTTTGTGTTTTTAGTAGAGATGGGGTTTCACCATGTTGGCCAGGCTGGTCTCGAACTCCCAACCTCATGTGATCCATCCGCCTCAGTCTCCCAAAGTGCTGGGATTACAGGTGTGCACCACCGCGCCTGTCCTGTTGTACATATTATTTCATCACCCAGGTATTAAGCCCAGTATCCAATCATTATCTTTTCTCCTACTCTCCTTTGCCCACCCTTCCCCTTCAAGGGGGAAGCATTTGGTTTTCTGTTCCTGTGTTAGAAATAAAAAAGATTAAATAACTTGACCAAGATCACACAACCAGTAGCGGAACTAAAATTTAAACTTGTATCTCCTATTAAAGTTCTCATAGTAGATATTTTATTACTAAAGAGTAGAGAATTGGAGTCGGTTAAGCAATGGGTTAGAAGGGTTTGATGCAAAAAGGACTAGTCAAGGTTAAGAAGATTGTGGTGAACTGTGAGGTCAGGAAGTGCTATGACCTGAGTGTTTGTGTCCCCCAAAACTCCGCATGATCTTGGCTCACTGCAACCTCCGCCTCCTGGGTTCAAATGATTCTCATGCCACAGCCACCCAAGTAGCTGGAATTACAGGTGTGCGCCACCATGACTGGCTAATTTTTGTATTTTTAGTACTGACAGGGTTTCGCATGTTGGCCAGGCTGGTCTTGAACTCCTGGCCTCAGGTGATCTGCCTGCCTCGGCCTCCCAAAATGCTGGGATTACAGTGTGAGCCCCCGTGCTGGGCCATTCTTTTTTTGACAATGTGTAATTAGTCTTAGACATAATGTTTTTAAATATAAGCTTCCAGAGAGAATCATTCTAGGTTTTACTGATCTTTTGCATTTCTTTTACCATACAAAACTGTGCAAATTCTGAATTTTCAAAAATATCATTTGAAACTTAGTCTGTATTTTCAGGTTTAACTTTTTTTTTTTGTATGTGCCTCATATCATTATTCACTTTTACTCAATTTGACATTTATTGAGAATCTGCTATGTGAAACAGCCACTGTTGGCTTTTGAGCAGTGATGTCATGTGATTGCAGCTTTATTTATAGGAAGATCAGACTGGTTGATATGGATGATGGGTCGACTGAGGGAGAAACTGAATTAATAAGGAAACTAGTTTAGTGGGGTCACGAAACCTCTGGTACAACATAATAGGCCTGAAGAAGAGTGACCATAGTGAGAAGGGAAAGTGTTGGCAATAAGGAGATAGGATTGTGAGGATTTGATGTAAGACTCTTAAAAATTTTTTTATGAGGTAAAATTTGTATAACATAAAATTAACCATTTTAAAGTATGTAATTCAGTAGTATTGAGTACATTAACAGTGTTGTGCAGCCATCACTTCTGATTCCAAAATGTTTCCATCACCCCAAAAATAGTCACTCTCAATCAGTCCCTGGCAATTACTAATCTGCTTTCTGTCTCTATGGATTTACCTATTCTGGATAATTTATATAAATGGAATCATACAGTATGTGACCTTTTGTGTCTGGCTTCTTTCATTTAGTATAATATCTTCAAGTTTTGTCCATGTTGTAGCATATATCAGTAATTCATCCCTTTTATGTCTAAATAACTTTTTTTTTTTTTTTTTTCTGAGACAGAGTCTCGCCCTGTCACACAGGCTGGAGTGCAGTGACGTGATCTCAGCTCACTGCAACCTCTGCCTCTTGGGTTCAAGTGATTCTCCTGCCTCAGCCTCCCAAGTAGCTGGGATTACAGGCACATGCCACCACGCCTGGCTAATTTGTGTATTTTTAGTAGAGATGGGGTTTCACCATGTTGGCCAGGCTGGTCACGAACTCCTTACCTCAAGTCATCTGCCCGCCTCGGCCTCCCAAAGTGCTGGGATTACAGACGTGAGCCACTGTGCCCGGCTGGCTGAATAACTATTATATGTATATATCACATTTTGTTTATCCACTCATCTGTTCATAGATGGACATTTGAATTGTTTCCATATTTTGGTTATTGTGAACAGCGTTGTGATAAACATTCATGTACAGTTATTGTTTGAATATCTATTTTCAGTTAAGTGTATACCTAAAAGTGGAATTGCTGGATCGTATGGTAATTCTTTGCTTTTTGAGAAACCATCTGTTTTTCACATGGTGGCACCATTTTACATTCCAACCAGTATTGTAAGGGGGATTCCAGTTTCTCCATATCCTTGCCAACACCTATTTTCTTTCTTTCTTTGCTTATATCCATTGTAGTTGGTGTGAGGTAGGGTCATTGTGGTTTTGATTTACATTTCTCTAATGACTAATGATATTGAGGATCTTTTCATGTGCCTGTTGGCCATTCGTATACCGTAGTTGGAACAATCTTTATTCAAGTCCTTTGCCCATTTTTGAAGTAGTTGTTTTTGTTGTTGGGTTCTAAGAGTTGTTTATATGTTCTGGATACTAGACCCTTATCAGAATTATGATTTGCAAATATTCTCTTCTAATTCTGTAGGTTGTCTTTTCACTTCTTGATAGTGTGTTATACACAAATGTTTTCAATTTTAATGAAGTATAATGGATCTTGTTTTTTTGGTTGCTTATGCTTTTAGTGTCAGTATCTAAGAATCCATTGCTAAATCCAAGGTCACAGATATTTGCTCCTATGTTTTCTTCTAAGAGTTTTATAGTTTTAGCTCTGACATTTGGTCATTTCGAGTTAATTTTTATATATGATGTGAAGTTGGAGTCCAGTTTCATTCTTTTGTTTATAGATATCCATTTGTTCCAGTACCCTTTGTTGAAGAAACTATTCTTTCTTCCCATTGAGTGATCTTGGCACCATTGATGAAAATCAATTGACCATAGATCCATGGGTTTATTTTAGGACTCTCGATTCTATTTCATTGCTGTATATGTCTGTCCTTATTCCAATACCACACTGTTTTGATTACTGTGGCTTTGTAGTAAGTTTTGAAATCAGAAAGGGAGAGTCCTCCCACTTGATTTTCCTTTTTCAAGATTGTTTTGGTTGCTTAGGGTCCACCTTGCAGTTCTGTGTGAATATTAGAATCAGCCTTTTCATTTCTGTGGAAAAAACAAAATGGTTGAACTTTAGTAAGAATTGCATTGAATCTGTGGATTGTTTTGGATACTGTTGCCATCTTACACAGAATATCTTTCCGTTTATTTAAGTCTTCTTTAATTTCTTTCAGCGGTGTTTTGCAGTGTTTAGTATATGAGTCTGATACTTGGTTAAAATTATTCCTATGTATCTTATTCTTCTTAATGCTGTTATAAATGGATTATTTTCTTAATTTTGTCTTTGAATTGTTCATTGTTAACGTATAGAAATACAACTGATTTTGTGTGTTGATCTTGCAGCTTTGCTGAATTTTTTTATTCTCACTCTGTGTGAGTGTGTGGGTGTGTGTGTATTCTTTAGGATTTTCTATTTATAAGATCATGTCATCTGTGGATACTTTTTCCCCTCCCTAATTGCTTTGACTAGCACTTCCAATACAATGTTAAATAAAAGTGGTGGAAGGAGAGCATCCTTGTTCTTGTCTTGTTCCTGTTCTTACGGTGGAAAACTTTGTCTTTCACCATTGAGTGTGATGTCAGCTCCACAGTTTTTTGCAGATGCCCTTTATTATATTGAGGAAATTCCCTTCTAATCCTAGTTTGCTGAGCATTGTTATCATGAAACGGTTTTGGATTTTGTCCAATACTTTTTCTGCATCAATTGAGATAGTCATTTGTTTTTTCCCCTTTGTTTTACTAATATGAGGTGTCTTATATTGATTTTCATATGTTGAACCACCCTTGCATAAATCCCACTTACTCATATACAGTCCTTTTAATATGCTTGCTGGATTTGGTTTTCCTAGTACAAATGATCCTTATTTTTCACAGATTCTGTATTTGTGAATTCACTTATTGGCTAAAATTTATTTATAAGCCCAAAGTTGATAATTGCAGTGTTTTGTGGACATGTGCAGTGTGGCAAAAATGTGAGTCATCTGATGTGCACATTCCCAGTTGAGGCAATGTTCTTCCTTCTTATTTCAGCTTTCATACTATAAACCAGTGTCCTTTGTGCAGTCTATTTAGTACCACATTTTTTGCATTTTTGTGCTTGTTGATGATTTTGCTGTTTAAAATGGCCCCCAAGCATAGTGATGAAGTGTTGCCTAGAGTTCATAAACACAAGAAAGCTGTGAATTTGCTTATGGAAAAAATGTGTGTTAGATAAGCTTCATTTAGGCATGAGTTATAGTGATGTTGTGAATTCTATGTTAATCACAATTTATATTAAAGTGTCTTTAAAGAGAAACACACATAAAACAGGGTTGTGTAGTGATTGGTTAACAAAAACATGATTGGAGCCTAACCCTGTTTTTCCCTTAGGAGCTGTGGTTCAGTATTTGCTAATTCAGTATTTATGGTAACTTTATAGAACATAACTACTGCAAACAATGAAAATCAACTGAATTTTGTTGAGGATTTTTGCATCTATATTTCTAAGTGATATTAGCCAGTTGTCTTGTGATAGCTTTGGTATTCTGGGTAATATTGGCCTCATAGAATGAGTTAATAAGTATTCTCTCCTTTTTTCTTTTTAGAGATGTTTTAGAAGCATTGATGTTAATTCCTCTTTAAACGTTTAGTAAAATCCACCAGTGAAACCATCTGGTCCAGAGCACATTTTTGATGCGAGATGTTTTGTTACTGATTGAATCTTTTACTTGTTATATGTCTGTTCAGATTTTCTATTTTTTCCTGAGTCAGCTTTGGTAGTTTGTGTGTTTCTTGGAATTGATGTTTTTCTTCTAGGTTTTTTAATTTATTGGCATACAGTTGTTCATAGTATTTGTTTATAATCCTTTTTAAAATATCTGTAAGGTCTGTAGAAATGTTATTTCTGATTTTATTTATTTGAGTGTCTCTCTTGTTGGTCTAGCTAAAGAGTTTTCAATTTTACTGATATTTTCAAATAACCACATTTTGGTTTTGTTGATTTCCTCTGTTTTTCTGTTCTCTTTTGTGTATATCTCTGCTCTGATTTTTATTATTTCCTTCTTTTTGCTTTGAGTTTAGTTTTTCTTTTCCAGTTCCTTAAGATTAAATTTAAGTTGGTAATTCGAGATCTTTCTTCTTTTTTATGCAAGCTTTTAGGGCTATAAATTTCCCTCTGAGCATTGCCTTTGCTGCCTCCCATAGGTTTTTGTATGTTGTGTTTTCATTTTCATTTGTCTCACAGTAGTGTCTAATCTTGTGAAATTTCTTGGTGACCTATTGGTTTAAGAGAGTGTTAGTTGCCACACACTTGTTAATTTTCCAGTTTTCCTTTCTGTTATTGATTTCTAGGTTCATTCCATTGTGGTCAGAAAAGATACTTTGTATGACTTCAATCTCAAATTTATTGAGGCCTTTTTTTTTTTTTTTTTTTTTTTAAAATAGAGACAGGGTCTCTCTTTGTTACCTAGGCTGGAGTGCAGTAGCATGATCATGGCTCACTGTAGCCTTTGAACTCCTGGGTTCAAGCAATCCTCCCAACTCAGCCTCCTGAGTAGCTGGAACTACAGGAATGCACCACCACACCTGGCTAATTATTTTATTTTACTTTTTATTTTTGTAGAGACAAGGTCTCACCATCTTGCCCAGGCTGCCGTCAGACTCCTGGGCTCAAGTGATCCCCCGACCTTGGACTCCCAAAGTGTTGGAATTACAGGCTTGAGCCACTGTGCCTGGCCTATTGAGCCTTGTTTTGTGTCCTAATATATGGTCTATCTTGCAGAATATTCCATGTATACTTGAGAAAAATGTGTGATATATTCTGCTTTTGTTTGATGGGATATTCTCTATATGTCTATTAGGTCTAGTTGGTTTATAGTACTGCTCAAGGCCTCTATTTCCTTAATGATTTTTCATTTAGTTCTGTCCCTTACAGAAAGTGGGGTATTGATGTCTCCAAGTATATTGAACTATTTTTCTCCCTCAATTCTGTCATTTTTTGCTTTATATGCCTTGAGGCTCTCTTGTTAGGTATGCATATATTTGTAACTGTTACACTTCTTGATGGACTGATTCTTTTATCAATATATGCTGTCCTTTGTCTTTAAGTCTGTGTTGTGTGATATATATTTATTTATTTTTAGACAGTCTCGCTCTGTTGCCCAGGCTGGAGTGCAGTGGCGTGACCTCGGCTCACTGCAACCTCCGCCTCCCAGGTTCAAGCGATTCTTCTGTCTCAGCCTCCTGAGTAGCTGGGATTACAGGCACCTGACATCATGCCTAACTAATTTTTGTATTTTTGGTAGAGACGGAGTTTCACCATGTTGGCCAGGCTAGTCTTGAACTCCTGAGCTCAAGTGATCCACCCGCCTCGGCTTCCTAAAGTGCAGGGATTACAGGCATGAGACACCGCGCCGGGCCTATGCTGTGTGATATTTATATAGCCACCCCACTCTCTCAGTTATCCTTTACATGGGATATCTTCTTCCATCCTTTCATTTTCAAACCTATTTGCATCTTTGTTTGGATCTAAAGTGAGTGTCTTGCAGATAACAGTTGCATCATGTTATTTTTAATCTATTTACATTTAAAGTTATATCTGATAAGGAAGGATTTCTGCTATTTTGCTGTTTTCATTTACTTTTTTTTCTTTCAATTCTTCTATTACTGTCTTCTTTTGTGATTTCTTTTTCTTTTTTTTTTTTTTTTTTGGAGGGTGGGGGTCAGGGTCTCACTCTGTCACCCAGGCTGGAGTGCAGTGGTGGAATCTCTGCTCACTGCAACCTCTGCCTCCCAGGTTCAAGCGACACTTATATGTCAGCCTCTCGAGTAGCTGGGACTACAGGTGCATGCCACGATGCCTGGCTAATTTTTTGGTATTTTTTTGGTAGAGACGAGGTCTCAGCATGTTGGCCAGGCTGATCTTGAACTTCTGACCTCAAGTGATCCGCCCACCTTGGCCTCCCAAAGTGCTGGGATTACAGGTGTGAGCCTCTGTGACTGGACTATTTTCTCTAATATATTGTTTTATTACCCTTCTTGTTTCTCTTTCTGTATTTTTGTTTTTCCTTAGTGGTTACCCTGGGGATTAACATCTTAGGTTTTTAACAATCATGTTTGAATTAATACCAACTTAGTTTCAGTACTATGCATAACTCTGCTCCTTTGCAGCTCCATCTTTGTATATTACATCTTTACACATTAAAATATATGCCCATTAACCTAGAATTGAAATTTTTGTTTTATGCATTTGTATTTTAAATTGTGTAGGAAAGAAAAGGAGAATTTACAAAAAAAAACTGCAATACTACTGACTTTTATATTTACTTATGTAGCTACCTTTACCATTGTTCTTTATTTCTTCATATGACTTCAAATTACTGTCCAGTGTTTTTTCATTTTAGCCTGGAGGATTCTCTTTAGCACTTCTTTTTTGAGACAGTCTTGCTCTGTCTCCCAGGCTGGAGTACAGTGGTGCGGTCTTGGCTCACTACAACCTCCACCTCCCGGGTTCAAGCAATTCTCCTGCCTCAGCTTCCCGAGTAGCTGGGACTACAAGCGTGTGCCACCACGCCCGGCTAATTTTTTGTATTTTTAGTAGAGACGGGGTTTCACCATGTTGGCCAGGCTGGTTTCGATCTCCTGACCTCGTGATCCACCCACCGCTGTCTCCCAAAGTGCTGGGATTACAGGTGTGAGCCCCTGTGCCCAGCCTCTCTTTAGCATTTCTTAGCACAGGTCTGGTAGTGATGAATTCCTTTAGTTTTTGTTTATCTGGGAATGTCTTATGTTCTCCTTCATTTTTGAAGGACAGTTTTGCTAAATATAGAATTCTTTGTTGGCTCTTTTGCTTTCAGCATCAGATCAGATTCTATCCCCTCCCCAGGGCTTATTACTGCTGCTTATTGTGAGTGGTTGTTGTTTGCTTGTTTAGTGACTTTACTAAACTACTTTTATAAGCTCTATATTCCTGGTCATGTGGGGCCGCTGAAGTCTATTCCATTTGCTTAGTAATCAGCTAGGGTTTTAACAGAGTTTCGTTAAACACCTGGAGCCAAAAGAAAAAACAAACAAACAAAAGAAAACCTCTCCCCATCTTTACAGATGGCTTTATGTTGGGGCAGTTTTTGACCACTTAGTGATGCCATTTATAATTCTGCCTTAGCCTTTGCTTACTGTTTGCTCAAAGCCTGAAGATCAGCCAGGGTGAAAGCTTAGGGTCTTCTTGGGCCTTTCCTGAATGTGCATCCAGCCCTGGCCATGTGCACGTCCTTCTTGATTGGTATACACACCCCTTATTACCCCATGTATATTCTTTCCCATCCCCTTTCTGTCCAGGCTTTTCCATCTGTCTGTTCCTTGTCCCAGTTGTTGTCCCTTGCCCCAGGCTGCTGCATCCATTAAATGATTTTTGCAAAAACCACCCAGGAAGACTCCCTATGCCTGGGAATGATTCAAGTCAGGCAAAGCCAAGGCAAGCCATTGCTCAGGTCCTTCAGGGAGCTGCCAGACAAGTTGAAACCCACAATCACAATTGTTTAAGAATGAGATCTGTATTGCTTCCTCTGGCATTAGGAGTGCAGGTTACTGTCCACACAGCCATCACTGACTTGGGGTGTGGGGGATGGTGGGCAGGCAACTTAGGATGCGATAGCACTCTCTTTACCACAAAGCAGCAACTTCTTTCTTTACCAAGCCTTGCCCTAGATTTTATAAGTTTTTTTTTTTTACTAGATTCCAGAGTTCTGCAAAAGTTGAGTCTGACAGTATTTACCAGCTCATTAATTGCATTCATTGCTTTTTGCAGGGACAGTGCCTTGGAGTTCCTTACTCTACTATTTTTGGTGGTATCACCCCAAATGTAGGGATTTCTCTGAAGGCTATCATTAACCGGAAGTAAGAAAATTAGGAAGGAAGAAGTTGATTTAGGGGTATAGACTGGATTATTTTTATTTGGACATGAGTGTTGGGTTTGAGGTACTGATGGCACAATCTGTGGGTGTCTAGTGACAGTTGGAATTGTAATGCCTGAATTCCAGAAAGGTCTTAGAGCTGCAAAGAGATCTGGGAACCTTCTGCACAGAAATTATAGAAAATGAAAGTGTATGATTTCCTTGGAATAGAGAGGAAGGTCAAGTATGTCATCTTGTGAAACACTTTCAGCTAAGGAATTCTTCATTTATTCATTCAGCATGTTTGCTGACTGCTGAATACATAATTTTGTTTTTCCTTTGTTCCTACTACTGATGTATGTACTGCTAAGCGTTGGAGACAGAAACGAATAAGATCTCGTTTTCTGCCCTCAGGAAGTTCACTCATATTGAGGAAGACAGACAAGTAAACAAGTACAATGCAGTGTTATAATAACAAGGTTAGAGGAGCCTAGACAGAGGTAAACAAGAATATGTAAACAGGTTGGGAGGGAAAATAAGAAATTCGGGGAAGTCAAAGAAGAAGAAAACATAATGGAGAGAGTGGGCTGTGATCTTGGTTGCTGCATATAGAGTTTGAGAAGGCTGAGGACTTTAAAAGTTACTGATTTGACAGTAAGGAGAGATGACATAAGAATGGTATTCATAAGAATGGTTTTAATTGAGTAGTTTTGTTAGAATGTTGGAGACAAAGGATCAGATAATAAAGAGTTGGGAGTGTGAGTGGTGAAAAAGTCGAGGGAAAAGGAAAAACAACCTTTTTTTTTTTTTTTTTTTTTTTTTGAGACAGAGTCTTGCCCTGTCGCCAGGCTGGAGTATAGTGACGTGATCTTGGCTCACTGCAACCTCCGCCTGCCAGGTTCAAACGATTCTCCTGCCTCAGCCTCCTGAGTAGCTGGGACTACAGGTGCACACCACTGCACCCAGCTAATTTTTGTATTTTTAGTAGAGACGGGGTTTCACCATGTTTGGCCAGGATGGTCTCGATCTCTTGAGCTTGTGATCTGCCCGCCTCAGCCTCCCAGAATGCTGGGATTACTGGCATGAGCCACCGTGCCCAGCCGGGAAAGACAACTTTTAAAAGAGTGGTATAGTTTATTCTATAGGAAAATTGGACCAGTTAGAGAAAAAATAAATAAATTACCAAAATGTTACGGTTTAAAAGTTGTAGCAGAGTTAAAGTAACTTCATTTTGGAGTAGAAAAGATATGAGTGTGTTTTTAGACAATTGAAGGGACTAAATAGGAAGGAAAACAAGGATGTCGAGAGTCCCAAGAGAGTCAGGAAAGATAGTATTAAGATCCTAGAAGGATCAGGATTTGGAGACTTGAGTGAAGAACGAGAGTGAGGATAATGAGAGTTTTGAGACAAAAGGAATTTGAGAAGTTTTACCTAGGGAAGCCTCAGTTTTCTAGGTAAAGTAGAGCATAAAATCACACGCTAAGAAATGGGCAGCAGTGAAAATGCCTGACTGAAGTTGATGTAGCGTACATTTGTATTGATAGTACCATTTGGTGATTTTCTCATTTCTTTCAACACATATGTGTTAAGCATTTACTGTGTACTAAGCACTATACAAGATCCTTGGGATTCTATCTGTAAACAAACAAAACTCCCTGTCCTTTTGGAGGTTACATATGACTGGGGTAAGGGGAGAAAAACAAATAATATTTTAAAATAAACATATGAGGTAAATAGAGCTACCTGGGTCTGGGAACCAAGAAAGCAAATGGGAAGATTAGCCAGACATAACTGCAATTTTATATTGCATATCATATTCTGATTTAAGATAGAAATAATTTTATTTTTATACAGCTCATTGTAGAATCTAGCTTGCTTAAACTAAGACAAGAAGAGTATGGGTGTGGTGGAGCCTTTGTGTACTTAGATTGTAGCTATGAAAGAAATCTATATTTACATTTAAGAGGGAATTCATTAATTTAGGACAACTTTATAATTATGTTATATAGTTATTTCAGGGCCTTTGACAAGAGAAAAGATGGTGAACTGTCATATAATAACAAATTAAATATTTATTTGGTTAAGAAAAAGAAAATTTGCATCTTATTTCCAAAAAGATGATTTTTAACTACATAGAAATTTGTTATATTTAAAAGCTTTAAAGATCTATATAGAGTTGAAGATCTCTTTTTAATAATGAATAAGTTCATTCTTTTGGTAATCATTTTTTTATATTCTCCTCTCATGGCCCTTTTTAATTTCAACAGGCATTGGAAAAGTGAAAAGAAAACCTAGTGTGCCAGATTCTGCATCTCCTGCTGATGATAGTTTTGTTGACCCAGGGGAACGTCTCTATGACCTCAACATGCCCGCTTATGTGAAATTTAACTACATGGCTGAGAGAGAGGATGAATTATCATTGATAAAGGGGACAAAGGTGATCGTCATGGAGAAATGCAGTGATGGGTGGTGGCGTGGTAGCTACAATGGACAAGTTGGATGGTTCCCTTCAAACTATGTAACTGAAGAAGGTGACAGTCCTTTGGGTGACCATGTGGGTTCTCTGTCAGAGAAATTAGCAGCAGTCGTCAATAACCTAAATACTGGGCAAGTGTTGCATGTGGTACAGGCTCTTTACCCATTCAGCTCATCTAATGATGAAGAACTTAATTTCGAGAAAGGAGATGTAATGGATGTTATTGAAAAACCTGAAAATGACCCAGAGTGGTGGAAATGCAGGAAGATCAATGGTATGGTTGGTCTAGTACCAAAAAACTATGTTACCGTTATGCAGAATAATCCATTAACTTCAGGTTTGGAACCATCACCTCCACAGTGTGATTACATTAGGCCTTCACTCACTGGAAAGTTTGCTGGCAATCCTTGGTATTATGGCAAAGTCACCAGGCATCAAGCAGAAATGGCATTAAATGAAAGAGGACATGAAGGGGATTTCCTCATTCGTGATAGTGAATCTTCGGTAAGTTGATTTTCGGAGGTAAATACAAATAGAGCTCTGGGTATTTTAAAAAAAAGAGAGAGAGAAATGGAGAGGTTAAGTGGCTTCCCTAAAGTTAACCAGGTAACAAGCTGGGACGTAACATAAGCATAAATGTTCCAAAGCTAAAGTCCGCATTCTTTCTAGCTATCTATTTTGAATAAAAGAGAGCTGTGGCAGTGTTGCTACACACTGAATTATTTCGTCTTGTCTAGTTCTGTTGATTTTGCATTCCTGATATATTTTCTGTTTCTGTTGCATTAAACTAAATGGAGAAAATGGAACACTGGCCTCTTCATTGAGAGTAGAATAATACTATAGATTAAACTGGGAAACATTTAAAAAATTGCTATTGGATGCAATGTGTAAGAAGGTAGTCACTGTAGTCCTTATGACATAGGAAATCCCTGAATTTAAAAAATTGATATTAAGTTTCTTCATAAATTGGTTACTTGGAAATTGGAATGCACTTTTATTATAACCTCAAAAAACCTATTTTAGCAGTGTTTGAAATGCATTTGCAATAAAAGATAAATTATATTGCAATACTAGTAAACAATAAAACTATAAAACCATAAAAGTTGAAAAATAATATGGTTTCATGGTCTCTTTTAGATACTGCTTAGGATATTAGAATTTGATGACACTCATTTTCCTTAAAAATGGCCTTTCTTTTTCCTTGATGAAAGATATCACTACTTTTCCATTTATTAAATCATGGTTAATCTTGGCTTTGCGTGAGTATATTTGTACAAAAGGGAATGTGTAATTGCACAAAATTTTGAAAGAAAATGTGTGGAAGTGGGGTGTGGTGGGGAGAGAGATTAATTGAACTTCCTGATGTGAAGTTCAGGAAAATGGGGCCTGTGCCTAATCCCTCAGAAAAGCAGTTGGTTGGCAGTAGGGAAGAGTGATGACATCCATTTTCTGTTAGTTGCCTGATCTGGCTCACTGTTTGAAACTTTGGGAGTAACTGTAGAAAAAGAGGCTTTGGGGGTTGATATAGACTGTAACAACAACAACAAAACTAATTAAAAAGAAGATAGCTTGAATGCAGAATTGTATGTATTTTCTTGTGGGTAATTGAGTGTAGATATTAGACAAAATGCAATATATACCATTATTTTTAGCAGTATACTTTTTAAGGTTAGAGGTCTCAAGTAGGCATATTTTGTTTAGCCTTCACAGTGTTTTTTAAACATTTAAATTCATTGCCGATATTTAAATATTAGGATATTTATTATAAAAATTCAGACTTTAGACCATTTAAAATTGGAAGAACTACCAACATTGAGACCCGGTTCCTGCAAGGCAACAATCACAGCTGAGAAGTCACCACTTGTTTAGATTGGTGATACACTGTCATTTCCTCTGCCCATCTACCTTTCCACTCTGACACTTATTTACATTATTCTTTTGGCTCTTGTAGGCATTTGAGTTTGTAGCCTCTCCTTAAAGTTTAGATTAATTCTCATTTGTGTATTCTTCATTTTTGGGAATTCAGCATGTTATCTCTAAGACAGCTACTGTTAGCTACACATTGAAAAGGGGTTGGGTGGGTATCTTAGACTTTCTCATGTGTTTCTCTGACTGGAGAGAAGATAGCTCTTGTTCTTCAAATATTTAACTAAAGGATTTGCTGTGGGTGTCTGCTGTTGGAGCCGTGGGTGTTAAGAGACTTTTGATTATGCAGGTTTGAATCCTGGCTCTGTTGTTAACTAGATGGATGATATTGGCCAAGTTATTAATAGCTTCTTTGAGACTCAGTTTTCACATGTGTAAAAAGGGTTTGTTTTGAAGAGTAAAGGAGATAATCTATGTAAATAATTTACCATGGTGCCTAGGACTTAGTAAGTGCTTAGATTTTAGCTTTTAGTTTAATATAAAAATACTGATAGAGGGCTTTCAAAATGTTTACTATATGTATCTTTTTTTTCTCTTTTAGCCAAATGATTTCTCAGTATCACTAAAAGCACAAGGGAAAAACAAGCATTTTAAAGTCCAACTAAAAGAGACTGTCTACTGCATTGGGCAGCGTAAATTCAGCACCATGGAAGAACTTGTAGAACATTACAAAAAGGCACCAATTTTTACAAGTGAACAAGGAGAAAAATTATATCTTGTCAAGCATTTATCATGATACTGCTGACCAGAAGTGACTGCTGTGTAGCTGTAATTTGTCATGTAATTGAAGACTGAGAAAATGTTGGGTCCAGTCGTGCTTGATTGGAAATTGTTGTTTCTAAATCTATATGAGAATTGACAATAAGTATTTTTATTATAACTCAGCCCATACATATATACTATGTATGCAGTGCATCTGCATAGAACAGTTCCTTATCCTTGGCCTTCTGTTTTATTGTTTTTTTCTTTGCTGTTTTCCCTTTGCTTCTAATATTACAGTTTTGTATTTTGTAAACAAAAATCAAATAATGCATATCAGAATCTTTATATGGAAGAAATCCTTTATTGCCTTTCCTTTGTTTCCTTGTAAAGGCACCCTGTTCTGTTATGGTTTTTCATTATATAAAATTATTATATCTATATATGACATATGCTAAAATTTCTTGGAGAGTGTTAATCTTTTCTGTGACTAAATAGCAATAATAAGTGGAAAATTAGAAATTATTTCCAGGTATTATATTTGTCACAGGCCATTGTAAATACCAAGTATATTGTGTCTGCCATAATTTTTAAAAATACATTCATTGTCTTCAGTCATACAGCAAGACACATGAGACATAGATTAGAAAACATGTTGTACAATTTTAATTTACAACTGTTGGAAATAAAAATCACTTAATTTTTTTCCAGTGCTTCTCCCTCATCTGGTTATTCAAGAAAACAAAACAGTCTCTGAGATATTTAGCTTTTCAAACTGTAAATAGATGCTCTAGTGTTATTTATTTTTTTAATCCCACTTGTATTATTTTACCTCTAGAGCATCTTGTATTAGGACATGTTATATTTATGCCAGTGGGAAATAAGTTATGGCCAAGTTTTGCAAAAACAGGAAGCAGTGAGATACTTGTTTTTTTCTCCTCACTAAATATCAGTAATTGTCAGGAATGGTATTACCTATTTTCATTTCCTCTTTTCAGCTTTAAGTTTTGTTGATTGGGACACTAAAACTGATGTATACCTGAGGAAAAAATAGAATGTGCTCATGGTTAGGGAAAATTATATTATTTTTAATTTTTTAATTTGTTTTTTAACCAAGTAGGAATTTGGGTGTATGGATAAGAGGCCAATCTGCTTCTGTAGGCTATAGAAGAAAACCAGTTGTATTTTATGGTCATAATTTGTCCCCCTATTATTCTGGAGATTTAAATTTAAGTAAAGTAGCCATCAGTATTTTAATTGAAAAATACTAAAGCCACATAACTGAGTAGGATGTCGTATGATACTTTCAACAAATTCCCTAATGCTGCCTAAGCATATGGATGTTTTAATTCTTTGCTGTTATAAATAGATATCTAATACGCCAGAATTACTGATGGTAAAATTGAAGTTGTGTAACTTGTGAATTTTTTTTATCAATGTTTTAAATATTATTTAAATCTTAAAATCATTTAAAGACTTATGTTGCCACTGGGTGGCAGCCATGGCTTCTCCCACTAAGCAACAGAAGTGACCAAATATAATTAAGACAAATTTTCATCTCTATTACATCTGCTTTTAAAACATTTTAGTTCATATTCTATTATTTTTCTAACTCAGTACTCCTTTGTTGAGGGTAATTATTAGTAGTTAAGTTTTTAATGGAAATAAAAATCATGTATGCTTATCTTTGCTGTAAAATCAAATGAATATAAATTGAGGAAAACTTTAAATTGTTGTAGGATGACTAGTAGTAAACATCATCTTAATTTTTAACATATATTTGATGATGCTTTCCTTTTCTCTGTATGTTTCTGGGTTTTCCCCCAGTCTTCCTTATGAAAAAAATGTATGTTTGTAAAAAGAGAACAATTAATGCTTTGCATCACAGACATAAACTATTCATAGTAAACTGCACTGAGCTGATATTAATAGAGCAGACTTTTGAGAAAGTAGGAGTGTAGTAGCACTGGAAACAGAATGCAAATTTCTGTTCCATAATTAGGTTTATTGTAGCTATAGCGCTCCCAGATAACCCATGTGTGCTAGTAATATCTATTGTGTGCTCTTACTATGGTATAAAAACCTCGCTGGAAGCTACTTATTTTGTACTTAAATATTTTACCAATTTTTAAAAAGTCTTAATCCAATGCTTATACCAGTGACTGTTTTTATAATACTTGAAGTAACTTTAAGAACTGAAACAACCCTGGAAAACTCTACATAGCTAGATAGTAACAATACTTGTATAAGAAACCAAGTTTCCTTATTCCCAGCCTGGTGTCTGTATCGTGACACACTACTCTGTGTATGCTTGGTTTTAGACTAGGAGGAGAGTCCTGGGAAGGGCAATATTACAGAAGTTTTCTTCCACATGAGGAGAATGCTTAGTTTCAAATTTAAATACATGTGTCAGATGGAACCCTGCCTAACTCACTTCTACAAATAACTTCCCCAAAATCTTAGAAGGTTTTTTAGAACATGATATAAGCTTTGTGACAAAAACAAATGCCATTGTGTCCCTTATTTAGTCATAAAACCTTAGGATTCAGCTGAATATATATTCACACATGTATATTACACATATATCACTATACAGTTAACACATGCACCTTGCACTATTAGTGACAAATAATACTGCTAAACAAAATAGGCTTCATGCAATCTATTGCCATTGCTAGAAGAATAAATAGGCCTAGCAGATGGGCAACTTGGGTTGTTAGAATAAGGTCATTCTTGCAGAATATGGCACTTAAATTATCTCCAGCTGTAATGTCCTACCATATAATCCAGAGGTTGCATAGAAGCAGAGTTGTCACAGTCTCTGTAGCACGTTTGTGAGAATTCTCTAGGCAGGCCCAGCCCTTCTCTAGAAGTTTGAATTTCACTCCCACCTTGTTGCTGGGGTACCTTCTTCAGGGTACATCTAAACACAGTGGCCTTATACAGAAATGTTGTTCAACCCACACAGTGCTTTAAAAAATTAATTGCCAACATTTAAAAATCAGGGAGTTTCACATAAAATTCAGACTTCTTGTTTCCCTTTAAAAATGAGAAGCTAATAACATGAGTTGAATTCCCACAAGTCAACAATGAGCTGGAATCTAATATGGATGGTCCTCTTATCTTTACCAGTGCACATGGTGAAAAAATTCAAACAGTATAATAAAGTCTTCTTTCAAGTCAAAATATAGAGACGAATCTCTGAAACGTTTTATTTGGGAAGCAAGAATTGTAATTCAGGGCATATACACAGACAGTAGTTTTTGGTATGTCTAAAGAACAGAGAAGATGGGGAGTTTTATTATAAAGAGAAATGTTACGTATGTTTTGAAAGAAAACTCATTGGTTCTAGATAAGTTTTTGGGAGGTGGCAAGCTCTGATTGGTGTGTGACAGTGATAGGTAAAACCAGTCTTAGAGTCACAGCAGGTCATTTCAGCAGCTACTAGGTAAAACTGGTCTTAGGGTTTACAGTAGTCTGTTTAAGTAGCTGGGCTTGTGGAAAACTGAGTTCTTGGAGCAGCTGCTATGTCCTTCATGTACTTTTTCCCCTTAATGCATTGAATCTGATTTGGTTGGGTATGACAATAATTACCCAATTTGTATAATTAACTTTCACACTCCCAACCCTTATCCCCCTAGTTGAGATCTCCAGATGCAGTTTACTCTCCCTGTTTTTCCTATAACATGGAAAGTTTTGGGTTTGGAATCTGGAAATTACCATTTTTTTCAGAAACACTCAGTTACATTGTCCAAATCAAGAAATGAGGAGTGTGGCATTACAGTACTCCCTAAGTTTTCCATTTTAATACTTTGCTAGAAGATAAGGGGTCCTTTATAATCTTGCATTTATATAGAACTTTTAACTTTCCAAATGGCTTCACAATCAAGGTCACTTTTTTTCTTAAAGGACTTTTGATATAGTATAGATGCTATCTTATGTTTTGAACACTACTGTTTTTTAAAGAATGCCAAATTACTGTTTCTGGAGAAACACATTATTAGAAGCATTGGCTTGCTACTCGATTCTGATAGGCTGGTTCTGTTAGTGTTTAGCAAGTTTTTGTGACTCAATTCTCTGCTATCTTTTAAACACTTGACAGACCAGCATGATATGCATGCCCCCACACCCTAATTTCTTGCTGTAACATGACCTAAACCAAATGACTTAGGAACTGAAATGTTTATTTCTAGTTTACTAATGAGGTGCACCTTGTATCTGAAAGCATACATAGTTTGCTGAGATATGTTTAATGAGTAGAACCTAGGTTAGGCTTGGTGGGGTTTTGAACAGAGGAGGAGTTTGAGCTATCAGCCACCTTGTTCACAGAGGGAAGTGTTCTAAATTAGTGTCTTTGAGAATATTTCCTGGCGGGTTAAAAGTAGATTTCTAAGGTAGTTGCTTTAAATAAATTTCTGTGCTCAGATAATTTATATCTTTAGACTGTGGAGAAATCTTTCAGATAGCCTTCATGAAATTACTGAGACAAAAAGGTGAATTCCAGAATGAGACTGTTAAGTGTTGTCTATTTTAGGCTAAACACAGGAATGGTTATTAAATTGATATTTTTTGAGTACTTTTGAAGGAAACAGTAATCATTGAGTAAGGATGGCTTCTCTAGGAGAAGTAATGTCAAACTTGATGTTTTCTAGACTTAATAGGCAAGGGGGATGTTACAGAGAACAAATTCATCAAGGCATATGATGATGTCAAGATGCAAATATTTTTTTTAATTGTTACATCTCTATATGATTTTATGTTTAAATAGCTTTTGGAGATACTCGTAATCAATTTATCCAACCAACTCACCTCAAATATTTTATTGCTGAGCTGAGACTGTTCTAGCAATGTAACAGTGAAGAAAATGGACAGAGTTTTTATAAAACTTATATTTTAGTGATGTGATACGTAACGGAGAAGAGCTCTGAATTAAAATAGAACAGATTTGAGGGTTGAAGAGTGAGGGTGAGGGTGTTAATTTATATAGGATGATAAAAAGAGGCCTCTGATAAAATTGACCTTTGAGTATACTGTGTGCTCCACTTAATAGAATCACTGATGACTACGAACGACCAGTGACTGAATAAAATACAGCAACCAAAATCATTTGAAAACTATGTGGAACTTCACTATTACAGAGCATTGTTTCTGGTTTTCAGATTTTTAATTTGACTAAAATGGTATTTTATCGAAATGTGGAACATTTAACTACAGAAGGCTATTCTGAATAAACCCTGATTCTCCATTTTAAGAGGAGTTTTTTGGGGGGATGTCAGGTAGAAAAAGATAACTACAGGAAGAGGACAGTTTGGCCGACTTAAGGGTTCTAATTGAGCACACTCTAAGGAAACCCTGGAGGTTAAATTCCTGATGACCAGACAAACATTTGGGAGGAAATTGAAAAACTGAAGTATTTCAGAAGTGAAAAAGGAATGCAGGAGCCCTGAAAATTAGATTCTAAAAACGTGTAGAAATTCTACCTGGGGCCGGGCACAGTGACTCAGGCCTGTAATCCCAGCACTTTGGGAGGCCGAGGCGGGGGGATCACATGAGGTCGGGAGTTCAAGACCAGCCTGACCAATGTGGAGAAACACCGTCTGTACTAAAAATACAAAATTAGCCAGGCGTGGTGGCACATGCTTGTAATCCCAGCTACTGGGGAGGCTGAGGCAGGAGAATCGCTTGAACCCGGGAGGTGGAGGTTGCGGTGAGCCAAGATCACGCCATTGCACTCCAGCCTGGGCAACAAGAGCGAAACTCCATCTAAAAAAAAAAAAAAAAATTCCACCCGGAACAGTCTTGGTGGAAGCATGAATTAGAAGAGTCTAAGACAAGTGGAATTCCGCTATTTAAATTCCCTGTGTTACTTCTAAAAAGAAAAAATAGAGACACAGTGAAATCCAACTAAATGTCAGAAGTGCTACAAGACAGAACATAGATATCTAAGAATCTTAATGCAAAGGGAAGGAACTATTTTGTGTTAAGTAGGGGAAAGGAAGATTACTGGACTGTAATAATTGACCACATAGTTCATTCAAGGACACAGGGCCTATCCTGGACTTGCACAACCCTAAGAGTGAGTGCCTCAGATTTTGCGCCCTAGGTGCTTCCCTTAATTTTAGTCCTGGCCCTGCAGGGCACAGAGAGCTTAGGGTTCTCTTCCTTGGCCACAAAACTTCCCATCCCTCCCCACTGCCTCTACCTTTTCATAAAACCTTTTCTCTGCTTGCTTTTCCTTCCATAATTAAATATCAGAGATTTAAGTGGCAAATAGTGTAATCGAAAAAAAAATCCTATTTCTGAACTGTACCTACCTATAGGAAATTGGTCTATTCTTCCAGCGGTTTATCTTCTGACATGGATGACCCTCCAACTCTGTGGAAGGCACCAGAAATTAACTTGAGAAGTGCAGGAAACAGGATAGAGAATAGTTTCGTTGTGCATGTTGCATAGACAAGACATTACAACTTCTCTTTCTATAGAGGGGCACCTCAAAGCCAGAAGAGAAAGGCAAAATCAGGGTCAGGGATTATCCAGGAATGTTAGGGGCTAGCAGGTGAGGCACAGCCCTCCAGAAGTCCTCACCCAAAGATACAGCCCAGGCAGAGGTGGGTGGTCTGAGTTACTTGTTGGGTCATGACCCAGGCTTGAAACGGATTATTGTTCAAAAAATATGACAGGCAGATGGCATTATCTCTCAGTGCCCCTTGAGGTGTGCTGAACCCAGGGCAGACTCTGTGCAATGGCTTATGAAGGATTGGCAGGCAGTACTGTCTTGCCAGAGCATTGTAGTGCTGGACAGGAGTGTCTTGACAGGGACCAATGAGCAGGTGGAGCTAACTAGCCATCGTAACACTTCAAAGTTTGGTAAACAACTCTTCTTCTCCGACAGCATAGCTAAATGATTCTTATTCTTTCCTCCATTTTCTCTGTTTACTTTCATTTTCATCTTCTTAATTCAGTCTGTATTCCCCTCTACCTTTCCATCTTTGCTCATATCATTCTCCCAAAAGGAATGATGAACAGTGTGCCTCTCTTCCCCTCCTACCCATATCCAATTGGTACATCCGGAACCTCATATTGAGGTCTACCTATTCCCTAAAGCCTTTGCTGATCTCTTGGATCACTCCTTTGTGTCCCTCAGACACATTCCTTTGATGCTAACTGGGAGGCAGTTAAAGTGAGTGAAAAAAGCTTGGAGTTATGCAGACCTCAGTTAGAATTCCTGTTTCCATCCCTGAATAGCTCTGTGATCTACAGTAAGTTAATTTCCCTGAGCCCTGTGTTCTCACCTGAAAAGTGGAGAATCAAATCATATCTTACCTTGCAAGTCTGTTGTATAATATATGGACATGTATATAGTGTGTAGAAACCCTTTAGGACATTCTTGGCAGATAATAGATATCCAGTACACATTGGCTTATATTGCTAACTTTTGACATGCTGGAACTGTGAGCAGAAGCGAACTTAGGAGAGAGGAATCAGGAAGCCAAGATGGAGAACAAAGGTAACATTGGGGACAGACGTTGAGGCCATGTATGAAGCACTCTTAAGAGGAGCAGTGAGAGACTGTACAAGCAGCTAGTGACCAGAGGTCAAAGTACAGATGTGGCCACTGACTCACAGTGCTGGAATCAAGGAAAATATGCACCAGGTTTTCTTGACTATGGTGTGGTAAAAAGATATACAGCAATGTTTATTGTATACTTATTTTGTGCCAGATCCTGTTCTAAGTTTCACTTAATCCTCACAACAGCCCTGAGTCAGACACTATTATAATTGTTCCCAATTTTCAGATGAGAACCATAAAGCAGATAGTTTAAATGACTTGCCTAAAGAAACACAACTAAAAAGTTGACACCAATCAACCTGAGACAAAGATTATTTATATACTAGAGACTCCCCTGCCCATATAAGCATCTAAGCTCAAATTTCGCAAGCTGAACATTTGCAGCCTTTTTCTATAGCACCCCCAATCCTGCCTGTCCTGACCACACTCCACCCACTTCATTATTTCACTTGAGGTGCTGCCATCCACCCAGTTACCCAAACTCAGAACCTGAAAGCCATGTTTGGCTCCTCCTCCCCAGCCCTCTTAATGCACTCAATATCCAGGAGCTATCAGTTCTATCTTCTTTATCTTTTGAATTTGGTCATTTCTCTCTGCAGACATGAGAAACCTAGTGGAAGCCAACAATGTCTGTCACCTGGATCACTACCATAGCTCCCTCATGGCCCTCCTGCCTTCAATCTGGCCCCCTGTGCTGTTTTCTCCACCCTAGTCACAAACTTTTTAAAGCTCAAATGCAGGGAATGACATGGTCATATTTGAGCTTTGAACCCTTCCTTTGACCTTCATTCCTCTCAGGATAAATTCCAAGCTCCTCAATAAGGCATTCAAAACTCTCTAGAATCCTGTTTCTGTCTGCCACTAAGCCCTATTTCTCGCCATTTCAACCTTGTTCTCGTGTTGCACCAAACTTCTTCTTGCTTCCTAAAAACAACATTCCTGGCTGATTTTTTTTTTTTTTTTCCAGAGTTTAACACCCAGTCCTGGAGTCACCTCCTCCAGGAAGCTTTCTGTAATCCTACAAACTGGGTTAGATGTTTCTTTTTAGTGATGCTATGTTTCCTTACGAATATTGCTGTCCCTTCATTTTAAAAATTGACTTATGATTATTCCCGTGTCTATCTTCTCCACTAGTTGGGAAATTCTTGTTGAGGGAATGGACTGTTGAATTCCTAAGAACTAGCACATAGTAGGCCTTCAGTGAAGGTTTCTTGAATGAATAAATAAATGACCAACTTTCCCAAGGTTACATTGTAAGTTCTGAAACTTGAACCAAAATACATTATACTCTAGAACCCATGTTTATTCCACTATTGTATTTGCACATTAGGGTGGTTAAAGTCCTTCAAGGGCTAAATTTTAAAGGGCTAAATACTATCACAAGGTTTTTCTTCCACCTATTGAAATTGGTTTTAATTTTTCAGTAATACATTCACGTGACTCAGTAATCAAACGATATACAAAGATATTCAGTCAAAAGTCTTGTTCCCATTTTTCTCTTCCACCTTTCCAATTCCCACTTTCTCTGCCCCAAGGTAACCAATCTTGTTCATTTCTTATATCTTCTTTTAGTTTTTCTTTTTGCAAATGCATGCAAATATGAAGCTATATATTATTCTTTACCCTCCTGACTTTTAGAAGGGTATTTTAAATTTTTTCAAATATCTTTAGTTTTTCTGAAGTGGGTACATATTAGAAAAAAGAGCTAGTCAGTACCCAGCTTGAATGAACTCACAGAGAGAAACTTGGAAGAGGACAGCTATTTAATGAGGGAGGGAGATAATCCTGCCTGCTCATTGGCTTTTAGGGAGGTGCAGAGTCCTTTAGGACAGAGCCTGTGGTCCGGGTATTGCTCATAGGCAGATTCTCAAGCTCCCCAAAGTTACATTTTCTCTGGAACTCTCCTAGGCCACTCCCTGCTGATGCAACATCTGGGTTTGGGCAGAAAGGAGGGTGCTTCGGAGCCCGCCCTTTCTGAGCTTCCTGGGCCGGCTCTAGAACAATTCAGGCTTCGCTGCGACTCAGACCTCAGCTCCAACATATGCATTCTGAAGAAAGATGGCTGAGATGGACAGAATGCTTTATTTTGGAAAGAAACAATGTTCTAGGTCAAACTGAGTCTACCAAATGCAGACTTTCACAATGGTTCTAGAAGAAATCTGGACAAGTCTTTTCATGTGGTTTTTCTACGCATTGATTCCATGTTTGCTCACAGGTAAGTATGAATTAGAATACATCCAATAGTTTGGGCCTTGAATATAGGTTAAGAAGGCAAAAAATACTTTCCCAGGGCCTGGGGTTGAAATATGTGTATAGAATATCGTATATCTGTTTTACAAAAGATTTATCACCTCCTAAACCTCTATTCCCACATCCCAAAGAAAAGGCCTGCATTCTGTTTGGAAATCTCTCTTCTTAATGTCCACACAACAATCTAGAAAGAGAAATCATCAAAATAAATAAAAGCAGAGCTCTGTGCACTTTGTTACTTATCTCATCGTCTGGTTTTATATAGTGCAATGTAGTTCTTTCAGACTTACTGTGTGTGTCTTGGAGATGTTAACTGTAAGAACAAATTAAAACAAAGATTCTAGCAAAATACACATGAATAAAAAGACAATTTGTGAGCTTAACATTGGATACGAGACTTATAAAAATTGGATTTCTCTACTGGTCATTGAAGAAAAGGTACTCCATAGCATTCTAAAAAATATTTGGTTTGGGACATTTCCCCTGCCAGTGAGATTACATAGTTTTCTCTGCTCCACTCCTGGTTGCTTGTACCTATCTGCTTTATTGTCTTAAAATTGGAACTCTGTAGCCTTTGATGTTTGTTCATGTCAAATCACGTTTAAGAGAAACTTCTAATTTTGATACTCCAAGACACTAGGCACTTTGCAGTGTTGATGGGAGCCTTGAGTACTTTCTCTCTCTCTCTCTCTCTCTGTCTCTCTGTCTCACTCTCTGTGTGTGTGTGTGTGTTTTACACAGAACTAATTTAATTATTCTAGTTAGTTTACATCAGGTAACAAATCAGTACTAAGACAATTTGCAAAGGTGTAGAACTGGCTTAAACATCAAATTTATGGTGTTCTTTCCTAGCTTAAAAACCTTCACAGCTCCCAGTTGTTCAGCACATGGTGTCCAAATTCTGTTGTCTCTCATCACCCAGCATATTCAGGCCCCACCCTATATTTATTTAACCCTATTTCTCACTACTCCTTGAAAACGAATATGGACTACAAGCAGCTGCTGGCTTAACAGTCAGCATATTATACCTTCATTTCCTCCTCCTGGCCTTTATTGTTATAATTTCCCACCAGAAGCAGCATCTTCAGTATTTCCTTCTACGTCTTTCCAAGACCTCTCTTTGACCCCAGGTACTTTAGCTTCAGGTGGTTACTTCTCTTTCCAGCACTGACCTGGAGGGCCAGGGCCTGGGCATCTTTTCTGCTGTCCCCACATCTCCTAGCACAGGCTAAGCATGCTGGTTGTTTGGTTAGTTAGTTGTTGGTTATTTAGTTGTTGGAACAGAAATGTTGCCAAGAAAACATCCGTCCACTAAGCTGAAACGAGAAGATGGGAGGCTGAATGAGAAGAGGAAAGCCCAGCATTTTTCGACTTGACATTTTCTTCAATGACGCCCGTCTTATAAGTATTTTCTTGAAAACTCCTGTTTTAAATAGATCTGGAGGTGAGTGTGCACTTCTGACGCTTATAAACTTACATAGAAAACACACACACACCAAAAAAACCTCAGTGGTGAAATCACAAGGATGTCATAGCCAGAAAGACCTGTGTGTGAGTTTTGGCTCTGTTACTCACTAGCTCAGGACTCAATCATGTAACGTCAGTTTCCCTTCCTGTGAAATGGTCATAATAGCCACTTTGAGGTTATGAGGGGTTAAATAAGATGACACAAACAAAAGCGCTTTGAAGACTTCAACATTTCCCCACCCTCAAATGTTAGTTATTATTATCTGTTGGTTATACAGATGGTGGTATCAGTAGATAATTGCTTTAGCTGAGGTTGTCTTTATGCAGTTTTGACCATTTCCTCTGGATTGTGTAGGTGCCTGTGATGAATTCTGCAAATTCTAAATGAACTTCTATTAGTTACTAGATCACTGGGCAGATGGGTAGAGTTGTGGCTTTTTTTTTTTTTTTTTTTTTTTTTTTTTTGACCGAGTCTCGTTCTGTCGCCAGGCTGGAGTGCAGTGGCGCAATCTTGGCTCACTGCAATCTCCACCACCCAGGTTCAAGCGATTCTCCTGCCTCAGCCTCCTGAGTAGCTGGGACTACAGGCACACGCCACCACGCCCAGCTAATTTTTGTATTTTTAGTAAAGATGAGGTTTCACCATGTTGCCCAGGATGGTCTCGATCTCTTGACCTTGTGATTTGCCCGCCTCGGCCTCCCAAAGTGCTGGGATTACAGGCATGAGCCACCACATCCGGCCATGGCTGTCTTTCATAGAAATCATTTGCCTTGTCCTGTCCCTCCCAAATAATAGTGTGTGATTCAGAAAGCTGATTATGCTACCAATAGTAATAATCACAATGACAATCACAACTGCTATTTCTGAGTACACATTGTGCCTTCAGTTAGCAAAAATGTTATCTTGACTTCTCACATGAATCCTGCAAGTTAGGTGTTATCCCCATTCCACACATTAGGGATAGAGACTAGGAGAGGTTCAGTTATTTGTCCAAGTACCTATATCTAGTAAGTGCAGGAATTGGGATTTGATGATGGTTTGGTCTGCTCCAGAGCCTGTGCCCTTTATATATCTCTGCAGAAAAAGCTGAGACATTAAAACAAGGTAGAAGAAGGGAGGAGGGACAAAGGAAAGGAAATAAAGAAGATGGTGCTACCTTTTCTAATGCATTAGCCTTAAAGGCTGATAGAGGTAAAGGTGGCAGAAGAGGATCCAAATAAAGGGAGTGGACATCAGGCCCACTGAGCGTCCTTCAGAGAAGAGATGCAAAGATTTTTGCCTGGAAAGGTTGCCCCAGGGCTTTTTGGTGGGTAGCCTTCATGCTACTTCCCTTGGACTGACTCACTCAAGGTTTTACGAAATAGGTGTTCAGCAGCAGAAAGGGTCTAATTTAAAGACGAATGAGGGATTAAGAAAAGAGTTAGACCTAGGCTAATTTCCCCAAGGAAGCCAAAGCTTAATTTACTTGTTTAACTTTCATTCTTTTAACACCATTTATGTACCAGGTTCTGGGATGTGTGCTAGTTAGAGAGATTTTAAAAACTTGTCTTCAGGGAGCCTAAGAGCCTGCTGGGAAGTACACTAAAGTCTTTGGCATGTGGGAATTTAACAAAATTTTAACTATTCTTTAGCCACCAGAAGTAAAGTCTAGATTTGTGGTTCCCAACCTCAAATGCACATTGGAATCACCTGGGGAACTTTTTAAAAGCTAAATTCCGTGACTTCACAGCTAGAGATTCTGAGTTAATCTAGGGTGCTGTCTGGATGTTGGGACTTTTTCAAAACAATGTGGGTGGGGCTCCTTAGAGAAGTGATTGATTCCAGGGCTGGGCAGGGAAAAAACAAGATGAGACAAGAGCATTTTGTGGTAAGTAATGAAGTGATTAAAAAAGGATGAGGGCCTAAGTTAACAATTAACATAGTATCCTGGATTGGAGCCTGGGATGGAAGAAAGAACTGAGTGGAAAAACTAGTGAAATTCAAATAAAGTCTGGAGTTTAGTTAATGATAATGTGCCAGTACTGGCTTTTTAGTTTTGACAAATGTATTATGGTTACATAAGATGTTAGCATTCAGGGAAGTTGGGTGAAGGATGTATAGGAATGCTGTGTACTATCTCTGCAATTATTCTGTAAATCTAAAATTATTCCAAAAATTTAAAAATCTATTAATAAAAATAACATGAGTAAAACGGGTGGGAACAAGTTAAAAGGGCACAGGCAGCTTGAAAGTGTTCCCATTGGCCAAAAGCTAGAACAATTTGAATAATAAAATAACAATAGTGTTGGACTTTACAGAATAAATTAAAATATCCATGAGTCCATACCACTAAAAATAAATAATTGAATAAATAAATGGTGGAGAAGGAACAGCTCTTCCTAACAAAAGAATACAATTAAATAAAATATCACTACTAGAACATCACAGCAATAATTATTACAAGAAATATCCATCAGTAGATGTTAAAATTAATAGGTGAAAGTTTGAGGAGGAATGGAATATTTGCACAGTCTCAAAGTATCTCCCCCAAGGTATTTATTAACTACACAGGGGAAAATGGTAGCTTTACAGTAGAGACACTTTCTTAACCAAGTGATCAGGGTGGTTAACATCACCAGTAATAAGACGTATTGATATCATGTACTCCCTGTGAGTGTCTGGAAAAAATGTGTAACCTCAATCAAATCACGTGAAAATATCAGACAAAACCAAACTGAGATACGTTCTACAAAACAACTGGCCAGTACTTCTAAAAAATGTCAAGGTCGGCCAGGCGTGGTGGCTCATGCCTGTAATCCCAGCACTTTGGGAGGCCAGGGCAGGTGGATCACGAGGTCAGGAGATCGAGACCATCCTGGCCAACATGGTGAAACCCCGTCTTTACTAAAAATACAAAAATTAGCCAAGTATGGTGGTGGGCGCCTGTAGTCCCAGCTACTTGGGAGGCTGAGGCAGGAGAATCGCTTGAACCTGGGAGGCAGAGGTTGCAGCGAGCCGAGATTGCACCACTGCACTCCAGTCTGGCAACAGAGCAAGACTCCATCTCAAAAAAAAAACAAAAAACTCAAGGTCATTAAAAAAGACAAAGACAGACTGAAAACAGTTTGGAGGAGACTAACTAGACATGACAGCTAAATGAAAATCCTGAATTGGATTTTGGCCAAAAAAAAAAAAAAAAAAAGCATTAGGGGAAAAACTGATGAAATCTGATTAAATACTGAAGCTTAGTTAATAATATTGCATTAATATTAATATCTTAATTTTTTATAATTGTGCTATGGTTATGTACATATGGAGGGCTGAGTGAAGAGTATATGAGAGCTCTCTGTATTATTTTGCAACTCTTCTGAAAGTCTGAAATTATTTCAAAATACAGTTAATCTGTTCATCATATCACTGGGCTAACATCAAGGTATGGGCAGGACTACATTCCTTCTGGAGGTTTTAGAGAATCTGTTTCCCCCTTCCATGGTATGAATGTACTACAGTTTATCTAACCATTCACCTGTTGAAGGACATCTGGGCCGATTCCAGCTTGACTGTGAATATTTGTGTGCAGGTCTTATGTGATGTAAAGTTTTCATTTCTCTGAGATAAATGCTGAAGAGTGTAATTGCTAGATCATATAGTAACTACATGTTTAGTTTTACAAGAAACTGCCAAACTATTTTGAAAAAGAGTATCATTTTACATTCCTACCAACAATGTATAAGTGATCCACTTGTTCTGTATCCTTGCCAGCATTTAGTTTTGTAACTTTGAAAACTTTTAGCCATTCTGATAACTGTGTAATGCTATCTCATTGTGATTTTAATTTGGATTTCCCTAATAGCTAATAGTGTGCTTATTTGCCATCTATATATCCTCTTTGGTGAAATGTCTATTCATGTCCTTTGCCTATTTTTAGATTGGATTGTTTGATTTTTCTACTGCTGAGTTTTGAGAGTTTTTTATGTGTTCTAGATACTAGTTCTTTTTTTTTTTTTTTATTTTTTTTTTTTATTATACTCTAAGTTTTAGGGTACATGTGCACATTGTGCAGGTTAGTTACATATGTATACATGTGCCATGCTGGTGCGCTGCACCCACTAACGTGTCATCTAGCATTAGGTATATCTCCTAATGCTATCCCTCCCCCCTCCCCCGACCCCACCACAGTCCCCAGAGTGTGATATTCCCCTTCCTGTGTCCATGTGATCTCATTGTTCAATTCCCACCTATGAGTGAGAATATGCGGTGTTTGGTTTTTTGTTCTTGCGATAGTTTACTGAGAATGATGGTTTCCAATTTCATCCATGTCCCTACAAAGGACATGAACTCATCATTTTTTATGGCTGCATAGTATTCCATGGTGTATATTTGCCACATTTTCTTAATCCAGTCTATCATTGTTGGACATTTGGGTTGGTTCCAAGTCTTTGCTATTGTGAATAGTGCCGCAATAAACATACGTGTGCATGTGTCTTTATAGCAGCATGATTTATAGTCCTTTGGGTATATACCCAGTAATGGGATGGCTGGGTCAAATGGTATTTCTAGTTCTAGATCCCTGAGGAATCGCCACACTGACTTCCACAATGGTTGAACTAGTTTACAGTCCCACCAACAGTGTAAAAGTGTTCCTATTTCTCCACATCCTCTCCAACACCTGTTGTTTCCTGACTTTTTAATGATTGCCGTTCTAACTGGTGTGAGATGATATCTCATAGTGGTTTTGATTTGCATTTCTCTGATGGCCAGTGATGATGAGCATTTCTTCATGTGTTTTTTGGCTGCATAAATGTCTTCTTTTGAGAAGTGTCTGTTCATGTCCTTCGCCCACTTTTTGATGGGGTTGTTTGTTTTTTTCTTGTAAATTTGTTTGAGTTCATTGTAGATTCTGGATATTAGCCCTTTGTCAGATGAGTAGGTTGCGAAAATTTTCTCCCATTCTGTAGGTTGCCTGTTCACTCTGATGGTAGTTTCTTTGGCTGTGCAGAAGCTCTTTAGTTTAATTAGATCCCATTTGTCAATTTTGGCTTTTGTTGCCATTGCTTTTGGTGTTTTGGACATGAAGTCCTTGCCCACGCCTATGTCCTGAATGGTAATGCCTAGGTTTTCTTCTAGGGTTTTTATGGTTTTAGGTCTAACGTTTAAATCTTTAATCCATCTTGAATTGATTTTTGTATAAGGTGTAAGGAAGGGATCCAGTTTCAGCTTTCTACATATGGCTAGCCAGTTTTCCCAGCACCATTTATTAAATAGGGAATCCTTTCCCCATTGCTTGTTTTTCTCAGGTTTGTCAAAGATCAGATAGTTGTAGATATGCGGCATTATTTCTGAGGGCTCTGTTCTGTTCCATTGATCTATATCTCTGTTTTGGTACCAGTACCATGCTGTTTTGGTTACTGTAGCCTTGTAGTATAGTTTGAAGTCAGGTAGTGTGATGCCTCCAGCTTTGTTCTTTTGGCTTAGGATTGACTTGGCGATGCAGGCTCTTTTTTGGTTCCATATGAACTTTAAAGTAGTTTTTTCCAATTCTGTGAAGAAAGTCATTGGTAGCTTGATGGGGATGGCATTGAATCTGTAAATTACCTTGGGCAGTATGGCCATTTTCACGATATTGATTCTTCCTACCCATGAGCATGGAATGTTCTTCCATTTGTTTGTGTCCTCTTTTATTTCCTTGAGCAGTGGTTTGTAGTTCTCCTTGAAGAGGTCCTTCACATCCCTTGTAAGTTGGATTCCTAGGTATTTTATTCTCTTTGAAGCAATTGTGAATGGGAGTTCACTCATGATTTGGCTCTCTGTTTGTCTGTTGTTGGTGTATAAGAATGCTTGTGATTTTTGTACATTGATTTTGTATCCTGAGACTTTGCTGAAGTTGCTTATCAGCTTAAGGAGATTTTGGGCTGAGACGATGGGGTTTTCTAGATAAACAATCATGTCGTCTGCAAACAGGGACAATTTGACTTCCTCTTTTCCTAATTGAATACCCTTTATTTCCTTCTCCTGCCTGATTGCCCTGGCCAGAACTTCCAACACTATGTTGAATAGGAGCGGTGAGAGAGGGCATCCCTGTCTTGTGCCAGTTTTCAAAGGGAATGCTTCCAGTTTTTGCCCATTCAGTATGATATTGGCTGTGGGTTTGTCATAGATAGCTCTTATTATTTTGAAATACGTCCCATCAATACCTAATTTATTGAGAATTTTTAGCATGAAGGGTTGTTGAATTTTGTCAAAGGCTTTTTCTGCATCTATTGAGATAATCATGTGGTTTTTGTCTTTGGCTCTGTTTATATGCTGGATTACATTTATTGATTTGCGTATATTGAACCAGCCTTGCATCCCAGGGATGAAGCCCACTTGATCATGGTGGATAAGCTTTTTGATGTGCTGCTGGATTCGGTTTGCCAGTATTTTATTGAGGATTTTTGCATCAATGTTCATCAAGGATATAGGTCTAAGATTCTCTTTTTTTGTTGTGTCTCTGCCTGGTTTTGGTATCAGAATGATGCTGGCCTCATAAAATGAGTTAGGGAGGATTCCCTCTTTTTCTATTGATTGGAATAGTTTCAGAAGGAATGGTACCAGTTCCTCCTTGTACCTCTGGTAGAATTCGGCTGTGAATCCATCTGGTCCTGGACTCTTTTTGGTTGGTAAACTATTGATTATTGCCACAATTTCGGAGCCTGTTATTGGTCTATTCAGAGATTCAACTTCTTCCTGGTTTAGTCTTGGGAGAGTGTATGTGTCGAGGAATGTATCCATTTCTTCTAGATTTTCTAGTTTATTTGCGTAGAGGTGTTTGTAGTATTCTCTGATGGTAGTTTGTATTTCTGTGTTATCGGTGGTGATATCCCCTTTATCATTTTTTATTGTGTCTATTTGATTCTTTTCTCTTTTTTTCTTTATTAGTCTTGCTAGCGGTCTATCAATTTTGTTGATCCTTTCAAAAAACCAGCTCCTGGATTCATTGATTTTTTGAAGGGTTTTTTGTGTCTCTATTTCCTTCAGTTCTGCTCTGATTTTAGTTATTTCTTGCCTTCTGCTAGCTTTTGAATGTGTTTGCTCTTGCTTTTCTAGTTCTTTTAATTGTGATGTTAGGGTGTCAATTTTGGATCTTTCCTGCTTTCTCTTCTGGGCATTTAGTGCTATAAATTTCCCTCTACACACTGCTTTGAATGCGTCCCAGAGATTCTGGTATGTGGTGTCTTTGTTCTCGTTGGTTTCAAAGAACATCTTTATTTCTGCCTTCATTTCGTTATGTACCCAGTAGTCATTCAGGAGCAGGTTGTTCAGTTTCCATGTAGTTGAGCGGCTTTGAGTGAGATTCTTAATCCTGAGTTCTAGTTTGATTGCACTGTGGTCTGAGAGATAGTTTGTTATAATTTCTGTTCTTTTACATTTGCTGAGGAGAGCTTTACTTCCAACTATGTGGTCAATTTTGGAATAGGTGTGGTGTGGTGCTGAAAAAAATGTATATTCTGTTGATTTGGGGTGGAGAGTTCTGTAGATTTCTATTAGGTCTGCTTGTGCAGAGCTGAGCTCAATTCCTGGGTATCCTTGTTGACTTTCTGTCTCGTTGATCTGTCTAATGTTGACAGTGGGGTGTTAAAGTCTCCCATTATTAATGTGTGGGAGTCTAAGTCTCTTTGTAGGTCACTCAGGACTTGCTTTATGAATCTGGGTGCTCCTGTATTGGGTGCATAAATATTTAGGATAGTTAGCTCCTCTTGTTGAATTGATCCCTTTACCATTATGTAATGGCCTTCTTTGTCTCTTTTGATCTTTGTTGGTTTAAAGTCTGTTTTATCAGAGACTAGGATTGCAACCCCTGCCTTTTTTTGTTTTCCATTGGCTTGGTAGATCTTCCTCCATCCTTTTATTTTGAGCCTATGTGTGTCTCTGCACGTGAGATGGGTTTCCTGAATACAGCACACTGATGGGTCTTGACTCTTTATCCAACTTGCCAGTCTGTGTCTTTTAATTGCAGAATTTAGTCCATTTATATTTAAAGTTAATATTGTTATGTGTGAATTTGATCCTGTCATTATGATGTTAGCTGGTGATTTTGCTCATTAGTTGATGCAGTTTCTTCCTAGTCTCGATGGTCTTTACATTTTGGCATGATTTTGCAGCGGCTGGTACCGGTTGTTCCTTTCCATGTTTAGCGCTTCCTTCAGGAGCTCTTTTAGGGCAGGCCTGGTGGTGACAAAATCTCTCAGCATTTGCTTGTCTATAAAGTATTTTATTTCTCCTTCACTTATGAAGCTTAGTTTGGCTGGATATGAAATTCTGGGTTGAAAATTCTTTTCTTTAAGAATGTTGAATATTGGCCCCCACTCTCTTCTGGCTTGTAGGGTTTCTGCCGAGAGATCCGCTGTTAGTCTGATGGGCTTTCCTTTGAGGGTAACCCGACCTTTCTCTCTGGCTGCCCTTAACATTTTTTCCTTCATTTCAACTTTGGTGAATCTGACAATTATGTGTCTTGGAGTTGCTCTTCTCGAGGAGTATCTTTGTGGCGTTCTCTGTATTTCCTGAATCTGAACGTTGGCCTGCCTTGCTAGATTGGGGAAGTTCTCCTGGATAATATCCTGCAGAGTGTTTTCCAACTTGGTTCCATTCTCCACATCACTTTCAGGTACACCAATCAGACGTAGATTTGGTCTTTTCACATAGTCCCATATTTCTTGGAGGCTTTGCTCATTTCTTTTTATTCTTTTTTCTCTAAACTTCCCTTCTCGCTTCATTTCATTCATTTCATCTTCCATTGCTGATACCCTTTCTTCCAGTTGATCGCATCAGCTCCTGAGGCTTCTGCATTCTTCACGTAGTTCTCGAGCCTTGGTTTTCAGCTCCATCAGCTCCTTTAAGCACTTCTCTGTATTGGTTATTCTAGTTATACATTCTTCTAAATTTTTTTCAAAGTTTTCAACTTCTTTGCCTTTGGTTTGAATGTCCTCCCGTAGCTCAGAGTAATTTGATCGTCTGAAGCCTTCTTCTCTCAGCTCGTCAAAATCATTCTCCATCCAGCTTTGTTCCGTTGCTGGTGAGGAACTGCGTTCCTTTGGAGGAGGAGAGGCGCTCTGTGTTTTAGAGTTTCCAGTTTTTCTGTTCTGTTTTTTCCCCATCTTTGTGGTTTTATCTACTTTTGGTCTTTGATGATGGTGATGTACACATGGGTTTTCGGTGTAGATGTCCTTTCTGGTTGTTAGTTTTCCTTCTAACAGACAGGACCCTCAGCTGCAGGTCTGTTGGAATACCCTGCTGTGTGAGGTGTCAGTGTGCCCCTGCTGGGGGGTGCCTCCCAGTTAGGCTGCTCGGGGGTCAGGGGTCAGGGACCCACTTGAGGAGGCAGTCTGCCCGTTCTCAGATCTCCAGCTGCGTGCTGGGAGAACCACTGCTCTCTTCAAAGCTGTCAGACAGGGACACTTAAGTCTGCAGAGGTTACTGCTGTCTTTTTGTTTGTCTGTGCCCTGCCCCCAGAGGTGGAGCCTACAGAGGCAGGCAGGCCTCCTTGAGCTGTGGTGGGCTCCACCCAGTTCGAGCTTCCCGGCTGCTTTGTTTACCTAAGCAATCCTGGGCAATGGCGGGCGCCCCTTCCCCAGCCTCGTTGCCGCCTTGCAGTTTGATCTCAGACTGCTGTGCTAGCAATCAGCGCGATTCCGTGGGCGTAGGACCCTCTGAGCCAGGTGTGGGATATAGTCTCGTGGTGCGCCGTTTCTTAAGCCGGTCTGAAAAGCGCAATATTCGGGTGGGAGTGACCCGATTTTCCAGGTGCGTCCGTCACCCCTTTCTTTGACTCGGAAAGGGAACTCCCTGACCCCTTGCGCTTCCCAGGTGAGGCAATGCCTCGCCCTGCTTCGGCTCGCGCACGGTGCGCACACACACTGGCCTGCGCACACTGTCTGGCACTCCCTAGTGAGATGAACCCGGTACCTCAGATGGAAATGCAGAAATCACCCGTCTTCTGCGTCGCTCACGCTGGGAGCTGTAGACCGGAGCTGTTCACCAGAGCTGTTCCTATTCGGCCATCTTGGCTCCTCCTCCCTCTCTAGATACTAGTTCTTTGTGAGATAGTGGTTTGCTGTTTTTTTTTCCACTTTGCAACTTGTCATCTCATCCTCTTAACATGGGCTTTTGCATAGCAAAAGTTTTTAATTTTGATAAAATTAAAATCATGGTTTTTCTTTTATGGATTTTGCTTTTGGTGTCACATCTAAGAACTTTTTGCCCAGCCCTGAAGATTTTCTCCTGTTTTTTCCTAAAAGTTTTAGAGTTTTATATTTTACATTTTTTTGCACAAGGTGTGAGGTTTAGATTGAGGTTTTGTTTGTTTGTTTGTTTGCCTGCAGATATCCAATTGTTCCAGTATTATTTGTTTAAAGCGTTTTTTTTGTTTTTTGTTTTTTTGTTTTTTTTTTAGACAGGGTCACACTCTGTCACCCCAGGCTAGAGTGCAATGCCTCAATCACAGCTCACTGCGGTCTCAACCTCCTGGATTCAGGTGACCTTCCACCTTAGCCTCTGAAGTAGCTGGGACTGTATTAGCTGAGACCACCACCCCTGGCTAATTTTTGTATTTTTTTATAGAGATAGCGTTTTGCCATATTGCCCAGGCTGGTCTCGAACTCCTGAGCTCAAGTGATTCACCTGCCTCAGCCTCCCAAAGTTCTGGGATTACAGGTGTGAGTTGCCATGCCAGGCCTAAAAGCCTATTGGATTTTAGGATTACTTTTGTCTGGAATTGTCAAAAAGCAGTTGAGCACATTTGTGTGGATTTATTTCTGGAATCTCTATTCTGTTTCATTGATCTTGGGTCTATTCCTTTGCCAATACAATATAGTTTTAATTACCATAAGTCCTGGAATTGGGTAGATTGATTCCTCTCACTTTATAATTAAAATGGTTTTAGTTATTCTAGTTTCCTTCCTTCCTTCCTTCCTTCCTTCCTTCCTTCCTTCCTTCCTTCCTTCCTTTTTTTGAGATGGAGTCTCGCTCTGTCATCCAGGCTGGAGTGCAGTGGTGCAATTTCAGCTCACTGCAACCTCCGCCTCCCAGGTTCAAGCGATTCTCCTGCCTCAGCCTCCCCAGTAGCTGGGACTACAGGCGTGTGCCACCACACCAGGCTAATTTTTTGTATTTTTAGTAGAGATGGGGTTTCACCGTGTTAGCCAGGATGGTCTCGATCTCCTGACCTCGTGATCCGCCCGGCTCGGCCTCCCAAAGTGCTGGGATTACAGGCATGAGACGCTGTGCCTGGCCTTATTTTCTATTTTCTTTATTTCACGTGGGGTAAATGTGAAATATTGTTACTGTATATAATGTATAGTGATAAATTCAGGGTACTTAGGAGAGTCATCACCTGAGTACAACACATTTTTGTTGACTATAGATAACCCTAGTCTGCTATCAGGTATTGAATTTATTCCTTCTAACTATATGTTTTGTTTTGTTTTTTTGAGACGGAGTCTCACTCTGTTGCCCAGGCTGGAGTGCAATGGCGCCATCTGGGCTCACTGCAACCTCTGCCTCCCAGGTTCAGGTGATTCTCCCGCCTCAGCCTCCCAAGTAGCTGGGACTATGGGCATGTGCCACCACACCCGGCTAATTTTTGTATTTTTAGTAGAGATGGGATTTCACCATGTTGGCCAGGCTGGTCTTGAACTCCTGACCTCAAGTGATCTGCCCACCTTGGCCTCCCAAAGTGCTGGGATTACAGGTGTGAGCCACCGCGCCCGGCCACTTCTATCTAACTGTATGTTTTTACCATTTAACCTACGTCTCTTCATCCTCCCACTCCCACCCCACTCACTCTTCCCAGTTTCTGTTATCTGTCTTTTCGCTCTCTACCTCTGTATGATAAAATCGTTTAGCTCCCACATGTAAGTGAGAACATATGATATTTGTTTTTTTGTTTCTGGCTTATTTCACTTAAGATACAGTTCAATTCACATTGCTGCCAATGACATGATTCCTTTCTTTTTATGACTGAATAAATAGTATTCCATTGTGTATATGTACCACATTTTCTTTATCCATTCATCCACTGATGGACACTTAGGTTGATTTCATATCTTTGCTATTGTGAGTAATGGTGCAATAAACATGAAAAGGGAGGTTTCCCTTTGACATATTGATTTATTTTCCTTTGGGTAGATACCCAGTAGTGGGGTGGCTGGATGGAATGGTAATTCTGTTTTTAGTTTTTTGAGAAATCTCCATACTGTTTTCCATAGTGGCTGTACTAGTTTACATTCCCACCAACAGTGTGTAAGAGTTCCCTTTTCTCTGCACCCTCATCAACGTTTGTTATTTTTTGTCTTTTTAGTAATAGCCATTCTGACCTGGGGTAAGATGACATCTCATTGAGGTTTCAATTTGCATTTCTCTGATGGTTAGTGATATTGAACATTTTTTCATATATCTGTTGGCCATTTGTATATCTTCTTTTGAGAAATGTCTACTTATGTCCTTAGCCCACTTTTGGGGATTTGTTTTTTAGTGTTGTTATTTGAGTTTTTTGTATATTCTGGATATTACTCTGTTGTTGGATGAATAGTTTGCAAATATTTTCTCCCATTCAACGGATTGTCTCTTCACTCAGCTGATTGTTTCCTTTGCTGTGCAGAAGCTTTTTAGTTTAATGCAGTCCCATTTGTCTCTGATTTTTGCAATAGTCTCAGGAGGATTGATATTAATTCTTCTTTGTATGTTTGGTAGAATTCAGCTGTGAATCCATCTAATCCTGGGCTTTTCTTTGTTGGGAGACTTATTATTGATTCAATCTTGCTACTCATTATCCATCGTTAAGGTTTTCTTTTTCTTCCTGATTCAATCTTGGTAGGTTGTTTGTGTCCAGGAATGATCCATTTCTTCTAGGTTTTCCAGTTTGTCAGCTTATAGTTGTTCATAACAGTCTCTGATGATTTTATGTGGTATCAGTTGTGACATCTTCTTTTTAATTTCTGATATTCTTTATTTGGGTTTCCTCTCTTCTTGATTAGTCTAGCTAGTGGTTTTAAGATTAACTTTGTTAATCTTTTTGAAGAAAAATTTTTTTTTTTCATTTTCTTGATGTATTTTTTTTAGTCTCTATTCCATTAAATTCTGCTCTGATCTTTATTATTTCCTTTTTTCTCCTAATTTTGGGTTTGCTTTGTTCTTGCTTTTCCAGTTCCTTGAGATGCATTGTTAGATTGTTAATTTTTAATCTTTCTACTTTTTCAATGTAAGCATTTATTGATATAAATGTCCCTCTTATTACTGCTTTTGATATATCCCACAGATTTTGCTATGTTGTGTTCGATTTTTATTTGTTTCAAGAAATTTGAAAATTTCCATGTTAGTTTCTTTGTTGACCCAATGGTCATTCAAGATCATGTTGTTTAATTTCCATGTACTTAAACTGGACTTTACACCAGTTTAAGTTTTTCTTGGTGTTGGTTTCTAGTTTTATTCCATTGTGCTCTGAGAAGATGCTTGATAGGATTTTGATTTTTAAAAATTTGTTGGCTGGGCGCAGTGTCTCACGCCTGTAATCCCAGCACTTTGGGAGACCAAGATGGGTGGATCACAAGGCCAGGAGATAGAGACCATCCTGGCTAACAGGGTGAAACCCTGTCTCTACTAAAAATACAAAAAAAAAAAAAAAATTATCCGGGCATGGTGGCGCATGCCTGTAATCCCAGCTACTCAGGAGGCCGAGGCAGGAGAATTGCTTGTACCCAGGAGGCGGAGGTTGCAGTGAATCTCAAAAAAAAAAAATTGTTGACACTCGTTTTGTGACCTAACATATGGTTTATTCTGGAGAATATTCCATGGGCTGATGAAAAGAATATATATTCTGCAGTTGTTGGATATAATGTTCTGTAAATATCTGTTAGGTCCATTTGGTCTAAAGTCCAGTTTAAGTACAATGTTTCTTTGTTGATTTTCTGTCCAGATGATCTGTCTAATGCTGAGAGTGGGGTGTTAAAGTCCCCCATCCCCAGTCATTATATTGTAGTCTTTCTCTTTAGATCTAGTAGTATTTGCTTTAAGACTCTGGGTGCTCCAGTATGGGGTGCATATATATTTAGAATTGTTATAACTTCTTGCTGCATTGATCCATTTATCACTATATAGTAACCTTCTTTGTCTTTTTTTAATTGCTTTTGACTTGAAGTCTATCTTATTTGATATAAGTATAGCTACTGCTCCTTGCTTTTGGTTTTCATTTGTGTGGAGAATATTTTTCCATCCCTTTTAGTCCATATATGTCTTTACTGGTAAGGTGAATTTCGTGTAAGCAGCATATAGTCGGAACTTTTTTTTTATTTATTCAGCCATTTTATATCTTTTAAATGGAGAATTTAATCCACTTATATTCAAGGTTATTAATATGTGAGGTTTTTTCCTGTCATATTGTTAATTTTTTTTCTGTTTGTTTTACATATTATTTAGTGTTTTCTTTTTCTCCTATTGTTCATTGTGTTTTAGTGGATTTCTGTAGTGGTACCATTTGAGTCCTTTCTCTTCCTCCTTTGTGTGACTGCTTTACCTATGAGTTTTATACTTTCATGTGATTTCATAATGGTAAATGTTATTATTTCAATTTCAGGTTTAGGACTCCCTTGAACATTTCTTGTATGTCTGGTCTAGTGATAACAAATTCCCTCAATATTCGTTTGTCTGTTAAAGACTATTTCACTTTGATTTATGAAGGATGATTTTGCCAGATGTAATAGTCTTGGCTAGCAGGTTTTTCTTTTTTTCCTTTCAGCACTTTAAATATATCATTCCATTCTCTTCTGGCCTATGCGATTTCTGCTGAGAAATCCACTGATGGGGTTTCCATCAGACTAGATGCTTTTTTTCTAGCTGTTTTTAGGGTTTGCTCTTTATCTTTGACTTCAGACAGTCTAACTATAATGACCATTTTACATTGTATCTCTCTGGACATCATGAGCCTCCTGTAACTAGATGTCTAAATATCTTGCTAGACATAGGATGTTTTAACATATTATTTGGTTAAATAGGCTTTTTAGTCCTTCTGTTCTTTCTTTCCCCTTAGGGATACTGATAATACATAAATTCAATTGCTTTGTGTTATCTCAAATGTCACGAAGCTTTTGCTCATTCTTTTTAAAAACTTTTGACTGGATTATTTCAAAAGACCTGTCTTCAAGTTCTGAGATTCTTTCTCCTGCTCGATCTAGTCTATTGTTGAAGCTTTCAAATGTATTTTGTATTTCTTTCAATGAGTGTTCAGTTTCAGAATTTCTATTGGTTCTTTTAAAAAATATCTATCTCTTTGGAAATTTCTCATTTATATTCTGAATTGTTTTTCTGATTTCTTTTTATTGTTTTTCCAAATTCTCTTGTATCCCACTGAGCTTCTTTAATATCAGTGTGTTTAATAATTCCTTCTCTGGGATTTCAAAAATTTCTTTTTGATTAAGGTCTATTGCTGGAGAATTGTGTTCCTTTGGAGATGTCATATGTCCTTGCCTTTTCATGTTTCTTGTGTTCTTATGTTGATATCTGCACATCTGGTATAACAGTTTCTTCTTCCCATTTTTGAATTTACTTCCATAGGGGAGGATGTTTTCCTGAAGATGTATCTGTGGTGTTCATTGGCTACAGCATTTGGCATTTATTTATTTATTTTTATTTTTATTTATTTTTTTGAAATGGAGTCTCGCTCTCTTGCCAGGCTGAAGTGCAGTGGTGCAATCTTGGCTCACTGCAACCTCTGCCTTCCGGGTTCAAGCAATTCTCCTGCCTCAGCCTCCCGAGTAGCTGGGACTACAGGCACACACCACCATGCCCAGCTAATTTTTGTATTTTTAGTAGAGATGGGGTTTCACCATGTTAGCCAGGATGGTCTTGATCTCTTGACCTCATGATCCACCTGCCTCTGCCTCCCAAAGTGCTGGGATTACAGGCATGAGCCGCTGCACCTGGCCCATTTTTGCTTTTATTCTGGGTACTTTGGCTGCAGCGTTAGTAGTATATGTGATTTCATCAGTGGGTTAGGGTACAGTTATTGGAGTCTGTGGTGAAGTTGTGCTGTGGGATGCCAGATGGGCTGGTCTACAGGCCCCAATTGTGGCAGTGGTGGTCTGAGTATGCCTGTCCGTGTTTCCCAGGGTTATGTATGCGGGCACTGGTGTTGGTGGTTACCAGAATGCTGATCATTGGGCCTCCACATGGCTTGCTTGGATGCTGGCAGTGGTAGTGGTGGACTGGGCAAGGAGGTGGGTTCTTGGGGCCCTGGACAGCTAGCATGGCACAAGTGATGGCAGTAGCAGTGGCAGGATAATTATCTGGGTTCCGAGAGTTGTCCTTTTATGATGGCAGTGGGTGTGACAGAGTGTGTAGGACAGTCTCCAGGACTGCAGGTGGTACTTGCAAGTAGGTGCCAGTTGAGGTGATGGCAGCTGAGAGTTTAGGCCCAACCTCAGGACCCCAGAAGGAGTACTAAGGTGCCCAAGGTGCCCTTGTCACCCTCCAAGGCCCTGGCCTATGTGCTGTGTCTCAGAGAAGGGAGTGAAGCTGGGTTGGGTGGGCTTGTGCTCAGGCCCTTCAATGGTGGGAGCAGGCAGCAGTCATGGTGGGTAGGGGTCAGGGCAATCCTCAGGTCTCAGGTGGAATGCATGGGTGAGGAGTGGTAGTAGCCATGCTGAGGTCCTCCCACTGGAGAAGGTGGGGCTGACCTCTGTGGCTACAGCCTGGGCCAGTAGGTGGGGAATATGCACCTGTCTCATGCTTCACAGCCCTGGCGGGGCTTACCCCCCAGCCCTGGCAGCAGCCAGCCACACCTAGCTTGAGCCCTTACCTTGCTGCAGGAGTCCCCACCAGCTTGTGACTAAGTCCCAGTGGCAACTTGTGCCTGTTTTCCTCCCAGTCTCAGCCCCGGCAGCACTCACTTCCCAGCATTGTCAGCTGCAGCCCATGCCTCATTTGATTCTCAGTCTCAGCTGTGGGAGCTCATTCCCAGTTTGTGCCCCAGTCTCAGCAGCAATAGCCTGAGTTTCCCTAATGCTTCAGTCTTGGTGCTGCTGGCCACCAGGATAGCATGTGCATCTGCCAAAGACTAGGATTTAAAATGGTGCCTTGCTGTAACTGTTTGGGTCTCAGAAAAAGTGTGGGACGCAGCATGAGTTCCCTTCCTGGGACAATTTTGTCCCCCAATCTACTGGCAGCTCCCTATGTATGTTTTCAGGGCTTAGGAGGGTTGAGGAATTCTCTCACGGTCAGGACTACATGATTCCATGGTGGGAATGAGGGCCACCAGAAGTCTCTCACTTACTCTGCCCACATTGAGAAGTCACTCTTGGCTGCCAGCTGATCCTAGCCAAGCAGGCTGCCTCTCCTCCTCCTTCCTTGCTTTTGGTGTTTCCTGTAACTTTTCTGTTGAGTTCCAGTGTTTTCTTTTGGATAATGTATTCAAAGTGTGACTGTATATACATGATTTCGGTTCTTCTAAGTGGAGGAGGTAAGCATGAAATGCTTCTGGTCAGCCATCTTGAAGCCCCTCCCCCTCCTTTTATGTATTATAGTTCCTTTGACTTTTCTTATAAAATTTAGGAAAAACTTATCTATATTAACAAAAAGCTTGCTGAACTATTGATAGGAATTGCATTAAACCTATATACAATTTGGGGGAGAATTGGCATCTTAACTGTTGAATCTTCTAATGCATGAACACAGTATGTCTCTCCATTTATTTAAATCTTCTTTGATTTCATTTAGCATTGTGGAGTTTTCCCTGAGTATATTTTGTCAGATTTACACCTATTTTTTTAGTGATTATAATTTTAATTTCTGTGTATGTGTTTGTTGCTGGTATATAGAAATATAATTTTTTTTTGAGATGGAGTCTTGCTCTGTTGCCCAGGCTGGAGTGCGGTGGTGCAATCTCAACTCACTGCAACCTCCACCTCCTGGGTTCAAGCGATTCTCCTGCCTCAGCCTCCTGAATAGCCAAGATTACAGGCACGCACTACCACGCCCAGCTAATTTTTCTATTTTTAGTAGAGATGGGGTTTTGCCATGTTGGCCAGGCTGGCCTCGAACTCCTGAGCTCAGGCGATCTGCCTGCCTTGGTCTCCCAGAGTGCTGGGTTTACAGGCGTGAGCCACCAGGCCTGGCCTGGTTTTAGATTTTTTTTTAAGATTCTGTGGGACTTTTCTACATGTGGGAGAGCATATCATGTCATTTGCATATAGGGCAAGTTTTACTACTTCTTTTATAATCTATATTTCTTTTACTTATTTTGCTTGCCTTATTACAGTGGCTAGAACTTTCAGTAGTATGTTGAATAAGAGTGGTAAGAGTGGACATTCTTGCCTATTCCTGATCTTGGAGAGGAAGCATTCAGTCCTTCACCATTAAGTAAGATGTTAGCTGTAGGTTTTTTGTAGATGGTCTTTATCAAGTTGTGGTAACTCCCTGCCTGCTCTTAACTTGAAGAGAGTTTTTGGTTCTGTCTTGTTTTTTTTTTTTTTTTTGAGATGGAGTCTTGCTCTGTCACCCAGGCTAGAGTGCAATGGCTTGATCTTGGCTCACTGCAACCTCCGTCTCCCAGGTTCAAGCAAGTCTCCTGCCTCAGCCTCCCAAGTAGCTGGGATTACAGGTGAGTGCCACCACACCCAGCTAATTTTTCTATTTTTAGTAGAGACTGGGTTTCACCATGTTGGTCAGGCTGGTCTCGAACTCCTGACCTCAGCTGATCCGCCTGCCTCGGCCTCCCAAAGTGCTGGGATTATGGTGTGAGCCACCGCACCTGGCCTGTTTTGTCTTGTTTTTCATAATGAATGGATGTGGGTTTTGTAAATCCTTTTTCTGTGTCAATTGATATGATTTATGATTTTATTCTTTAGTTTATCGACATGGTAAATTACATTAACTGATTTTCAAATGTTGAACCAGCCCTGCATACCTAGAACAAATCCCACTTGGTTATGGTATATAGTTCTTTTTGTACATTACTGAATTTGGATTGCTATATTTTGTTGAAGATTTTTGTCTAAGTTCATGAGATATATTTTTATGTAGTTTATGTATATATTTTCCTCATCTGATTTTGGTATCATGGTAATACTGGCCTCATAAAGTAAGCTGGAAACTGTTCTTTCCTATTCTATGTTTTAGAGGAAATTGCATTTTGTTGATGTTGTCATCTTTAAATGTTTGGTAGAATTTTCCATTAAAACCATCTGTGCCTGGAGATTTCATTTTTGAGAGCTTTAAAGTTATATAATTAAATTACATTAATTAATAAATTGATTTGTTGACATAATTTAATTATGTAATTAAATTAGTTATATAAAATGTAGCTTTGTATTTATATAGGTTTATATTCCCCAAATAGCTGGCTAGAGAATTTTTTTAAAACTTTACCAGAGGAAGGTGTCAGAGGGGACCATTCCTTGTCCTCCTGTACCACTCTACCCCTTTTCCTTTCCATCCCTTGGGTGATTTCAAGCTTAGGGGTGGGTGGGGGTCAGGAAGACTGCCTTGTGGGTGCTCCAGGTGTTTCCCCACAGAACAGACCATGGATGCTGAGGGTGAGATGGAGGTGCATCACTAGGGCCCTACATTAGAGAAAGGGCAGGGAAACCAGGTGGGGTGTCCCCAGCAGCCTTCCATCCCTTTGTGGTCACAGGGCTTGATAACAAACAGCAGGTGCCAATCTGGAGATAGGCACAGAGATGAAAAGTCCCAAATGAGGACTCCAGCCCCACCCCCACTATGCTGTAGATGCTATCACTGCACTGTAACAGCAAAGGGAGGCAGGTGTTGGGCATTTAAACAGGAACATAGCAGAGAGTTCAGACTGTACCTTTGGGTGACATGTGAGGATGAAGTTTTTGGCTTTGTGACTGCCCAAAGTCCTTATGAGCAGGTTCAGCTTCATAGGCCTCTTTCATTCTCTACAAATCATAGTCCCACTGTGTGCATACTCTGGGCACACTGTGTCTGGGTACACTCGGGGCATACTTGTGTCCCAGACTGGCTCAGGGGCCTGCAGTCTTTCCGGGGTGGACTCACAGAGCTGGCTTGGTGTCCCACTTGAATGGACTCTCTCCACAGCAGATCTGAGCCTGTACTTCCCACCTGGCAACTGATGACCCATTTGGCCTTGTTGAGGGACATGAAACGATTGCTTTGGCATCTGAGGATGGCAGTAGCAGGAGAGGGAGGTGATGAGAATGTTGCAGTAGTCTGCATTGGTTTTCCATGAATGATTAAGAGGCTCACGTTTATGCAACTTGCTTAAAGCCACATAGTAAGTGGCAGAGTCACTGGATCCTAGCCAGTCTAACAGAAGAGTCATAAATAATGTGACTCAGTTTTCTCATTTGTACAATGGAAAAACTAATGGTCTTTACCTCCCAGTATGGTCATGAGAATTCAATAAGACAGTCATGTAACAATCCAGCACATGGTCTAGATAGAACATGGTAAGTATTAGATAAATATTAGTCATTATTATTATTAATATTGATATGTCATTTATCAACAAAGTCAGAATTATAATGGTGGTACCCAAAATTTAGTGTTAACATAAGCATGATAAAATTAGAGTTGTTTCTGGTTTATAAACATGTGAGGCTTTTTTTTTTTTGAGACAGAGTCTCATTCTGTTGTCTAGGCTGGAGTGCAGTGGTGCAATCTCAGCTTACTGCAACCTCCGCCAGTGAGGCCCTTCATTAGACACTAATTTGAAGCTATGGCATTCCCCCACTATGAGCCCACCTGTCAGCCAGGCTATCTGCCTTGATCCTAGATGAAGTGGCCATTCTGCCTGCCCCTCAGAACCTCTCTGTACTCTCAACCAACATGAAGCATCTCTTGATGTGGAGCCCAGTGATCGCGCCTGGAGAAACAGTGTACTATTCTGTCGAATACCAGGGGTGAGTTTTTTCTTTTAATAGTTCTTCTCCCTTAAGCAGAAGTTGGTTCCTGAAGGCATAGCCCTTCCTCCTGAGCCCAAGGTGGCTTTTTGAGTCCAGGGATAGATTATCCCCAAAGATCTACCCCCTCTGTCTGCATAGGCATTGAAAGAGTTGAAGAAGCAAGGGAAATTGTTCTGTGGATTTGACAGTGAACTCTCTGGGAAGATGAATGTGCATAACACATTTTGGTGGAGTTATTTTAAAAAGTGAATCAACTGTCCAATGGGTTTGACTCTGACTTGAGATGGATAAATCACTGGAGACTCAGATCCTTTAAGGGTGGAGGAGTCCTCACTTTTCCTGACTATAAGCTTATACCTAGAGCCAAAACGAACTATAATCCTAAAGGTCAGCTGGCCCTGGGGCTGAGCAGGCTCTAGTCTTCTCCAGGTGTTCAGGTGCTTGCAGCTATTGAATAGTGATAAGGACACAGAAATTGCTCCATATATTTCATTAACAATGAATACAGACTGAACACCTACATGTGTAGACATTCTTCTAGGCTCAGGGATACAGTTGACAAGGTTTCTGGATTTTGAGAGCTTACATCTAGAGGAGGATACAGATGATAAATATACTAGGCCAGCATTCTCTAGTATGGTAGCCACCAGCCACAGCTGGCTATTTAAATTTAAATTAAATTAAATTAAATTAAATTAAATTAAAATGTCTGTTTCCTGCCACACTAGTCACATTTTAGGTGTTCAATAGCCACATGTGGCCAGTGGTTACCATATTGAACAACATCGATTTAGAATATTTGCATCATCACAGAAAGTTTATTTTTGGAAAGCACTGCTCTAGGGAATTTTGGATAGTAATCAGTGCTAGGAGGAAGCTAAAAGGCTGATGCCATAGAGAGTTGACACTGAGGCTCCTTTATATTAGATGGCCTGGGATGGCCTCTCTGAGGAGGTGATATTTATGCCATATCTGAAGGACAAGAGGAGCCAGCCATGCGAACAGCAGGGGCAGAGCGTTTGAGATGGAGTGAACAGTTAGTCAAAGGTCCTAAGGCAAAAAGTGCTCAGCATTTTGGAGAAATGACCAATGTGGCAAGAATATCACGCTTCGGAGCAGAGTGAGAGAGAAGGCCAAAGCATCTTGTAAGACCACTGGCAAGAGTTTGGATCCCATTCTAAGTCCTGTAGGAAGCCATTAAGGAGAGAAACGTCACAATCTGCTGAGTGGTGAATGGTTTTGAGAATGGCAGGTGTCCAAGCTGGGAGATCACAGCAAGGCAAGGAATGACAGTGGCTGAGATTAGGGTGATGACCCTGGAGATGAAGAGATAAAAGAGATCCAGACACATTGATGTTTATGCCTAGCTTTCCCTATCTGGCAATAAAAGGAGTAAGGGACGATGGATGGTTGGTAGGGAGGAGAGTGGAGGAGCTAGGATAATGAGAAAGTACTTATTTTACTTACCTGTACAAAGTAGGTGAACGAAGTCAGTTACTTGCAACCATAACTGAGCCTGTGTCAGAGGGGCTGGTGTAACTCTGTGCCCTCCTCTCTTTGACAGGGAGTACGAGAGCCTGTACACGAGCCACATCTGGATCCCCAGCAGCTGGTGCTCACTCACTGAAGGTCCTGAGTGTGATGTCACTGATGACATCACGGCCACTGTGCCATACAACCTTCGTGTCAGGGCCACATTGGGCTCACAGACCTCAGCCTGGAGCATCCTGAAGCATCCCTTTAATAGAAACTCAAGTAAGGCACTTCTCTCCTTACACTCCCACCCCAACCAGCCCCTCCTTTAGGAACCATGTTCACCTAAACTTTCTAGACTCTTTTTAGCATCAGAATAGTCCTGCAAAGCCAGAGTATTGTGAACACAAACAACCCTTACTGGTATATTTGAAAAATTGCCAACTGCTTTCTACATGCTGCTCTCTGTCATGCCCTTTGACTACTCAAGTCATTCCTGACTGTCTGTGTCAGGGTGTGCAGGTGTTGGGGATGCTGACATTGGGAACCTGGAAGGAAAGCTGCTCTGGAAGTGAAGAGGTGGCACCAGGACTGCTGCTCCCTACTCTGATTGTGCCTCCATAAATTGTGCCTCCCACTTGAGGCCTCATTAACTGCATATTTACTGCCCACGTAAGCAGCTTTGTTGTGCAAGAGGATTTATACACTTAACAGAGCCACCAGAAAATTGCCCTTCTGTAATGACTTCTGTGGGAAATAAATAACTTTTCTTTTGGAGTAGTACCTGGAAAAGGATTGAGAAAGAAGTAATAGAGGAATCCAGATAGGTGGCCAAATGTGGCTGAGTACAAGCACTGGTCATTGTATAAAAGGACATGTGTGTTTGCGGAACAGGAGAGGCAAGGGCTGATGGGCAGGGGGTAGGGAAGCAGTTGATCATGTGGTGAAGGGCTTTGACACGAAGCTTGACCAAGTCAGTAGAGGGTAGCCAATGAAAGAGGAGAGGATCTAGACCAGGTCTATCTCTTTTTTTTTTTGATACGGAGTCTCACTCTGTCACCCAGGTTGGTGTGCAGTGGCGTGATCTCAGCTCACTGCAACCTCTGTCTCCTGGGTTCAAGTGATTCTCCTGCCTCAGCCTCCTGAGTAGCTGGGACTACAGGCGTGCACCACCATGCCTGGCTAATTTTTGTATTTTTAGTAGAGACAGGGTTTCACTATGTTTTCCAGGCTGGTCTGGAACTCCTGACCTCAAGTCATCTGCCCACTTCGGCCTCCCAAAGTGCTGGGATTACAGGCATGAGCCATGGCGCCCGGCCGACCAGGTCTATCTTACAAAGCAACACTCTGGCTGCTGTGTGGAAAGTGAACCAGAGTAGGGCAAGCCTGCAGGACAGGGGAAGAGTGAGGAGGGGGTTGTAATACTCCTACTGATCCCAAGAGTTTGGAAGGGGATGGGAAGGAGATGATGAATCCAAGAAACATGGCTGATTTAGAAAGGACAGAGCTTAGGAATCAAGTTTGTGGGGACAGAAAAGGGAGAGATAATGATAGTATTCAGCTGTCAAATGGAATTGGTGAGAACACCAGCTAAGGCAAATAACCCAGGGGGAAACAACTGGTCTTGAAGAATAGGAGACACCCCCGGCTTTGAGACTGAGATTTCTACAAGATGTCATCTTGTGGATGTCTGACTGGCAGCTGGAAATCAGTCCCTGAGGCTTAGAAAGCTCAAAGGCAGATACATAACACAAAGTGGTTTTGTTTGTTTGTTTGTTTTGTTTTTGAGGTGGAGTCTTGCTCTTTTGCCCAGGCTGGAGTGCAGTGGTGCCAACACAGCTCACTGCAGCCTTGCCCTCCTGGGCTCAAGCGATCCTCCTGCCTCAGGCCCCCAAGAAGCTGGGAATACAGGCACATGCCACCATGCCTGACTAATTTTTTTGTATTTTTGGTAGAGATGGGGTTTCACCATGTTGCCCAGGCTGGTCTCGGACTCCTGAGCTTAAGTGATCCTCTTGCCTCAGCCTCACGAAGTGCTGGGATTATAGGAATGAGCCATCGCACAGGGCCATCACAAAGTTAACAGCTAAAGGCTTGGAAGTAGACGAGACTGTTTAGGGACAAGACGCTGAAGATAAAGAGAGGACAAGGTCCTGGAAAACCTCAGACTTTAAAATGTGGATGGAGGGAAGGGCACCAGGGTAGAGGATAATGGAAAGGAGAATAGAACAGCTCCTGAGAGGCTGGAGGAAGCCCCTGGATGGGCCCTTGAGAAAGTAACTTCATGGAGTGGAAAGGATGACCATCTGGCTGCTGGAGTGGAGGATTGCATGGAGGTAGGAAGGAGCAAGGAATGGGTGGGAATGTAACCAGTTTAGAGCTGCAGGAAAGGCAAGATAAGGGTCTTCTTTGGTCTCTGTTTTCGTGATGTGGCAGAAGAGCTTCTGTTGTGAAAGATGGTGGAAGAAGGTTTGGGGCAGAATTTGCAGCATTCGGATGAGTCAAAATTTACTGAGGAATGTATGATATTAGGTGGAAATTAGGAAGGTTTAGAAGAAGAGGAGCCCAAGCTGAAGAGCAGAGGAGGGAAGGGATGGGGCAGGAATAGGACCATTGGAATGGGATACCAAAAGGAATTTTGGTGCAGATTGTGGGCTCCTTTGCCCAGGCCTCCTTCCCAGGCACCAGGACTGGAATGGAATGGAATGGAATGACTTCATGGAATGGAGAGGATGATCATCTGGCTGAATTTGGTCCAAGAGGAGTTGGTCGAAGTGGCAGGATCTGGGGGAGATTAAGGGGCCCTGTAGGGCACTGCAAAACTGCCACTACCTGCAGTGCCCAGGCAGCATTCAGCACCACCTCCCTCTGGCTCCTAAGAGCATGGGGATCCAGCCAAGACCATTGCTGGGGGCTGGCAGCTGTTGCTGGAAAGCAGGCATGGGTCACATAAAGATAAGGGAGTGCCTACAAAACTATGTGGGTGGGGATGTGCTGTAAAACCTTGTACTTACGAAGGCCTGTATAAACAGGAAAAGAGCTTGCTGCAGGGGCAGCTGAGGAACAGGAGTCTGTACTTGCATCAGAAGATGGAAGATACGGTTCTATGATATCCAAGCAAATAGGCTGGGATGGTGTCATGATCTCTTAAGGGCATTAAGTTTGTCCTCTTCCATTTGAAAAAGGCCACTCAGACTTCTCCCCAGGAATGTGAAAAATCTTGATTTAAGGCTCTCCTGAAAAGGATCCCTACTGTCTCTCTCTCTCTCTTTTTTTTTTTTTTTTTGAGATGGAGTTCCGCTCTTGTTGCCCAGGCTGGAGTGTAATGGCATGATCTTAGCTCACTGCAACCTCCACCTCCTGGGTTCTAGCGTTTCTCCTGCCTCAGCCTCCCAAGTAGCTGGGATTACAGGAATGTGCCACCATGCTTGGCTAATTTTGTATTTTTAGTAGAGACAGTGTTTCACTATGTTGGCCAGGCTGGTCTCGAACTCCTGACCTCAGGTGATCCGCCCACCTCAGCCTCCCAAAATGCTGGGATTACAGGTGTGAGCCGCTACGCCTGGCTGAGGGTCCCCACTCTTAAAGGGAAACTTTTTATTGAGAGCAGAGGTTTTTAACTTTGCACATTTGAGTCACAGGGGAGCTTTAGAATCAATTATGCCTGGGGCTCTTCCCCAGAGAGTCTGGTTTAAATGATCTGCATGCATCTTATTCACTGGGAGTTTAAAATTCTCCCCAGATTATTTTCATGTACAGCCAGGGTTGAGATCCACTAGCAAAGAGGCTAAACACCCCACACAAGGGAGGTAGAAATGTAGAAAGAAATGGGCTCAAATTCTGTAGATTAACTCTGTGACTCTGGGCATGTCACTTAATCTCTCTGTAAAACAGGAACAATGTTAGGCTGGGCATGGTGGCTCATGCCTGTAATCCCAGCACTTTGGGAGGCCAAAGCCAGTGGATCACGAGGTCAGGAGATCAAGACCATCCTGGCTAACACAGTGAAACCCCGTCGCCTGTAGTCCCAGCTACTCCGGAGGCTGAGGCAGGAGAATGGTGTGAACCTGGGAGGCGGAGCTTGCAGTGAGCCAAGATCGGGCCACTGCACTCCAGCCTGGGCGACAGAGCGAGACTCCATCTCAAATAAATAAATAAATAAATAAATAAATAAATAAATAAATAAATAAAAATAAAACAGGAACAATGTTTACCTTCTAAAGCTTCCTGGGCAGATTAAATGAGATAAGCATGCAGAAGGCATAGGACAGAGGTTCCTGCCCCAACGCTGTCAAACAACTCTTCTCTGAACTGAAACTTCAGATTATTTTCTCTAATTCTGGTCTCAATAAAGATGGAGATCAGAAGACCCAATTCTGATGACATCTGACAGAAAAGTTGAGGAGTCAAATATCTGTTTCCCTTCTGAAGGTGTTTCAGAGGTAGTGCTAGTGGTGCTATGTGGTCATATGAACCTCAGGACTGAGTGTGTTTTGCACAGTTGGCCCTGGCTTCCCAAGTCCTCCTGACCCCTGTCCAGGTAGCTCTTCAACAAGCAGGCATAAACACTTCTCTGATGAGGGACGCGATGGGGAAAGGCTTTGTTCTCTGAAAACTCCCTGTAGGAACTGCCTTTCTTCTGAGTGTCCACTTGTGTCCGGAATTGGTGGGTTCTTGATCTCACTGACTTCAAGAATGAAGCCGCAGACCCTCGCGGTGAGTGTTACAGCTCTTAAGGTGGCGCGTCTGGAGTCTGTCCCTTCTGATGTTCGGATGTGTTCAGAGTTTCTTCCTTCTGGTGGGTTCCTAGTCTCGCTGGCTCAGGAGTGAAGCTGCAGATCTTCACGGTGAGTGTTACAGCTCTTAAGGCGGCGCGTCTGGAGTTGTTCGTTCCTCCTGGTGGGCTCGTGGTCTCGCTGGCTTCAGGAGTGAAGCTGCAGACCTTCGCGGTGAGTGTTACAGCTCATAAAAGCAGTGTGGACCCAAAGAGTGAGCAGTAGCAAGATTTATTGCAAAGAGCGAAAGAACAAAGCTTCCACAGTGTGGAAGGGGACCCGAGCGGGTTGCCACTGCTGGCTCGGGCAGCCTGCTTTTATTCTCTTATCTGGCCCCACCCACGTCCTGCTGATTGGTAGAGCCCAGTGGTCTGTTTTGACAGGGCGCTGATTCGTGCGTTTACAATCCCTGAGCTAGACACAAAGGTTCTCCACGTCCCCACCAGATTAGTTAGATACAGAGTATAGACACAAAGGTTCTCCAAGGCCCCACCAGAGTAGCTAGATACAGAGTGTCGATTGGTGCACTCACAAACCCTGAGCTAGTAGACACAGGGTGCTGATTGGTGTGTTTACAAACTTGAGCTAGAGACAGAGTGCCCATTGGTGTATTTACAATCCCTGAGCTAGACATAAAGATTCTCCAAGGCCCCACCAGACTCAGGAGGCCAGCTGGCTTCACCCAGTGGATCCCGCACCAGGGCTGCCGGTGGAGCTGCGTGCCAGTCCTGCGCCCTGCGTCCGCACTCCTCAGCCCTTGGGTGGTCGATGGGACTGGGCGCCGTGGAGCAGGGGGTGGCGCTCATCGGGGAGGCTCGGGCCGCACAGGAGCCCATGGAGGGGGTGGGAGGCTCAGGCATGGCGGGCTGCAGGTCCCGAGCCACGCCCCACGGGAAGGCAGCTAAGGCCCGGTGAGAAATCTAGCACGGCGCCGGTGGGCTGGCACTGCTGGAGGACCCAGTACACCCTCCGCAGCCGCTGGCCCGGGTGCTAAGCCCCTCATTGCCGGGGCCGGCAGGGCCGGCCGGCTGCTCCGAGTGCGGGGCCCACCAAGCCCACGCCCACCCGGAACTCCAGCTGGCCCGCAAGCGCCGCGTGCAGCCCCGGTTCCAGCTCGCGCCTCTCCCTCCACACCTCCCTGCAAGCTGAGGGAGCCGGCTCCAGTCTTGGCCAGCCCAGAAAGGGGCTCCCGCAGTGCAGCGGTGGGCTGAAGGGCTCCTCAAGTGCGGCCAAAGTGGGAGCCCAGGCAGAGGACGCGCCCAGAGTGAGCGAGGGCTGTGAGGACTGCCAGCATGCTGTCACCTCTCACACTGACCCCAGGGAAGGCAGATTTAGCCCAGAACATGCCCCACCCCTTTCCAATCCAAGACCAGTGATCAGGGTGGCCCTTCTGGTCCTGCAGTATCTGGGTCTGAAAGGCAAGTATAACTCCATCACCAGTAACCAGGGTGTAGAGACTATCTGTGTGGGCCCTTCTGTTCTTGGTCTGCTGATGGGAAGGTATCCACAAGGGCTGTGGGCCTCTCTGCTGGGGACCTTGCAATATGGAAGATGATGTTTGTACTTATGCTGTAATTTCTAGAGTTGATTATTGGAATCTGTAAAAAGCCTGTGGGCTGGGCACATTGGCTCACTCCTGTAATCCCAGCACTTTGGGAGCTCGAGGTGGGCGAACTGCTTGAGTCTAGGAATTAGAGACCAGCCTGGGCAATGTGGTGAAGTCCCATCTCTACAAAAAATACAAAAAACATTAGCTGAGTGCGGTGATGTGTGCCTGTAGTTCCAGCTACTTGGGAGGCTAAGGTGGGAGGATTACCTGAGACTGAGAGTTCGAGGCTGCAGTGAGCCATGATAGTGCCACTATACACTCCAGCTTGGGTGACAGAGTGAGACCCTGTCTGAAAAAAAAAGAAACAAGAAAAAAAAAAGCCGGTGACTTGCCAGCTGAGAACTGGGCTGAGAATAGAATGGCCAACCCTATTCACAGGCTGCTCATCTGCTGATATGTGAAAGTTATCAGTAGCCAGTACATGCCACAGATCTGTGTGAGCTGTGGGAATGCACATGGCCCTGCCAGGTATGCTCATTCCTAAGGGGCAAAGACTGGGGCTGGCTGTTCAGTATAGACCTGAGCTCACATAGGCATTTGGCAAGCATTAAAATATAGCATCTGCTCACTTAGATGAGCCAAAGTGAGGAGCAATTTCTGCTGAAAAAGTGGTGACAGGAGGGGCATGGATCATAAAATTTTAAAAGAGCAAGAGATAATGTTTACTGGAGTTTTTAATCACTTTTCTTGTGTATATGTGCCTCCTGGAGAAGGAACAGTGGACTTTATTAAAGGATTAAAAAAGAAGAGAATTATAGCATTTGTCATTTGTTTCTTCATTTATTCATCACTCAAAAAGCATTTACTGAGCACCTGCTGCATACAGGAGAGTATTTGTGTACATGTTTCCATGAGCTTGAAGCTACAGCAGACTCCCTTCCTCTCCTACGGAGACGGACATATTTCCATACATGACCCGGTCATTGTGTTCCAGGGAAATCAACCCTGTCTGGGGCTGGCTTTGACTCTCCTGTTGTCTTGCCAACAGCCATCCTTACCCGACCTGGGATGGAGATCACCAAAGATGGCTTCCACCTGGTTATTGAGCTGGAGGACCTGGGGCCCCAGTTTGAGTTCCTTGTGGCCTACTGGAGGAGGGAGCCTGGTGCCGAGGTGAGACTCCAGCCTTGGCCTTTGGGTCAGGCTTCGGGAAAGAAGGCACAGATTTCTGAGGGTGAGCAAGGGAAGGCTGCCCCTGCTCACTGGGTGACCTGGGGATGAGCAGTCCTGGGTGAAGTGTGCAAAAGATGAGTATGCTGACCACCCCATCAGCCTCTTCTCCAAAGAACTTCCTTGGTCCATTCAATCATGCCTTGGCTGGGAGCATTTCCAGGCCAGATCTGCTGAAGTATGGGGCTGCCCCCTTACCCTAAACTCTAACATAGTTGGACCACAATATCTTTTCAATGCCTTTTTTCTCCCTCATCAGCTCATCTCCTCAGCCACTTAGGGGCAGCAATCAGGATTTGTAGATCAACAGGATGATTTCAAAAGCACACAACGCTGGTACAAACCTCCTGAGGGTGTGTGTCTTGGCAGGGTGAAGAGGTAGAGGCAGGGATCCAGGAGTTGGCTTATGAGTAAACCCATCTAACTATGAGCAGGTGGGCCATGCAGAATGCTCAGGTGGGGTGCTGCCCTCCCCATGGGAAGGGTGCTACAGCCTGGGATGGGTGGGAGGCCAGCCCTCACAGAGGGAATAGCCAGACAAGCAGCAGCAGTATGAGGAGTGGAGCACGATCAGGAACTAGGGGACACTCAGACCTGTGGAGCCTCTGTCCAAGCATATGATGACAAAGCTTAGAGGCCCACTCCAGGCAGCACAAGCAAAGATAGGCTTTATCACAAGGACTAATACGGTGCAATAAGGAGCTCTCACAGATCTATAAACAGCTGGCAGAGGGCCAGGCTCCAGCCTCACTTACCCAGGGCCCTTGCTCCCCTCTGGTGGGTCCCTGCTCTTGCACACTTTCTATGGCCCTTTCCTAGCTTATTCCAGGCTGTGATCCCTCATCAATGCTTCCTACTCATGCCTATGATGTGCCCCCAGCCTCTCGAGGCCTCTCAGGCCTGACTTCTCCTCACTGTGTCCTCTCTCCTTTGTCCCTGCTTCTAGCTCTCGGTATTCAGTTTCCCAAGACCAAATCCTCAGAAGAAGAATCCAATTGGTCTTGCTCGTCTTATCAGGCCAAGCTTCAGGGGTTGCTGGTAGCCAGCTCGCCTCTGATTGGACCCTTCTCAGGCCAAGGGTACCCTTGATCTTATAGCAGTATCTGGACTAAGAGCACATGCCTCACCACCCATTCAAAGAGGGCTGTAGGTTGGGTAGCTTCCCATGAAAGGTGGTGTGGGCAGGTACAACACTGGGTTTCGGTATTTACCCCTGCTAGGCAAGAGCCCACGGTAGGATATGGCATTGCCAGCCAGGCAGATGGAGTAGTGTTGGGGACAGGGCAGAGCCTGTGCAGGAGGAAGCATGCAGCTCCCTCAGATTCGCTGGGATGGAGCCCACTACCCACCTTTGGTAACTGGCAGGGCCAGGGCTAAGAGGGGAGCATGTACCCTGAGTCATCTAGGCTTGGTCCAGGCAAGCCTCCACAGGATCAGATGCAGAGCACAGCCTCAGGGAGGGGCATGGAGGTGGAAGGGTGAACAGACGGATGGACAGATGGGTGGATGAGTGAGGAGGTGCTGCCCGTGGCTCCACTGCACACTGATTCCTTGGCAGCAGTGGCCATGCCAAGCCCCTGCTCAAGTCAGGGTCTCTGCACAAATGTTACCCTATCAGAGAAGCCTTCTCTAACCACTCTGTTTAAGATGGTGCCTCCTCGTTACCATCTCTTTGCTCTGCTTTTTCCTTCACAGTCCTTGTCACCACCTGATGTGTATTTTTTTATAGTCTGTTTCACCCCATGTAAGCCCCATGAGAGCAAGGACTTTGTCCATTTTGTTCAATGCTAGGTCCCTGTGCTTAGAGCAGTGCCTAGCACATAGTAGGTACTTAATAAATATGATTGAATGAATGAGTGCCTGAATGAATGTATGTGTGAGAGGGAACATTCTGTGTGCATCTGGAAAGGAAGTATCTGCAACTTTCCTTCCCTGGCACTTTTTGCCCTTTCCAGTCCTGCTGCCTTCTGGGAATAACTGCTTTCTTTTTATCTTTTATTTTTTGAGACAGAGTCTCGCTCTGTCGCCCAAGCTGGAGTGCAGTGGCACGATCTCGGATCACTGCAACTTCTGCCTCCTGGGTTCAAGTGATTCTCCTGCCTCAGCCTCCTGAGTAGCTGGGATTACAGGCACCCACCACCATGCCTGGCTAATTTTTTATTTGTAGTAGAGATGGGGTGTTTCACCATGTTGGTCAGGCTGGTCTTGAACTCCTGACCTCAGGTGATCCGCCCGCCTCAGGCTCCCAAAGTGCTGGGATTATAGGCGTGAGCCACCGCACTTGGCCAATAACTGTGTTTTCTGGTCTGTCAAAGGAACATGTCAAAATGGTGAGGAGTGGGGGTATTCCAGTGCACCTAGAAACCATGGAGCCAGGGGCTGCATACTGTGTGAAGGCCCAGACATTCGTGAAGGCCATTGGGAGGTACAGCGCCTTCAGCCAGACAGAATGTGTGGAGGTGCAAGGTAAGGATGGCTTCTCTGTCCCTGGAGCCCTGCACAGGTGATAGCCCCTCCTGGCATATCTCAGAGGCCTGCTGGGTTCCTTTGGTTCTGAGTTTTTCCTTGATTTCACTGACCTCCCTCATGGACTGGGTGGGTTCCCATAGTGAAATTATGTTTGTGAATCTGATTCCCCTAGAGGCAGGAGTCCACCCTGGGGCTGGGTGGGGTTACGAGCAGCTGTCTGAAACACTTTCCCCCTTAAAGCTTCCTAGGCCTGGGGGCCAGGTGTTGCAAGACTGGTTTACCAGATGGTTACTGCCTGTGAATCAGAGTGGGCTGCAGGAGAGGCAGCCACAGGCTTCAGAGGGTCAGACCTTGGAAGGAGGTGCTACGTTGTATAACACCACAGCCTTCTTCATCTGGAAGGGACCTTATGGAAAGCCTAGAGAATCCTCTTGTTTGAATTACTCTTTTCCCTTGAATATTTTAAGGTCAGAAAACCTACAATGTTTAAAAACCCTTTGAAAAGAAGCAAAACCAAACAAGAGCCTACATCCCATGATCTGTCACTCAAACATCACTAGTTACATTTTTGTGTATAGCCTTTTAGTCTTTAAAAATAGAACTATTTTTTTAAAAAGACGAATTATTATCTTAATTATATAGTATATTTATTTATTTATTTTTCTTTCTAAAAAAATTTATTTTGTTTCATATGTAGAGACAAGGTCTTGCTCTGTTGCCTGGGCCTTGGCCTCCAAAGAGCTGAGATTACAGGTGTGAGCCACCATGCTCAGCTCATTTAGGGCATCATCCTTCAGTCATTGCCATGTGTAGGCACATGCTGTAGTCCTATAACATACACATTTTGTGCCTGCTTTTTCACAAATATCATATCCATAACATTTTTCATGCAGATTTCCTGATTACTATTTTATGCTACTTTATAAAATCATACAAGTCAAGCTTGCTTAACAATCCAAACAACACCAAAGCATATAAAGTAAGAGGAGGGCCAGGCATGGTGGCTCACACCTGTAATCCCGGCACTTTGGGAGGCTGAGGCAGAAGGATTGCTTGAGCCCAGGAGTTCAACACCAGCCTGGGCAACATAGCGAGACCTCGTCTCATTTTAATAAATAAATAAAGAGGTGAGTGTGCCCCATTCTCCTGCACATCACTCAGGAGGTTTCCGTTGGTGAGTCTGGCGTTTAATCTTCCAGGCGTTGTCTGTGTGGTACCAATGCTCACACACATAGATGGGATGATATTGTACCTACTACTCTGTACTTGGCTTGTCTTCACTCAGTAGTATATTGTGAACATCTTTTCATGTCAATACATATGGATCTACCTCATTCTTTTTTATTATACTTTAAGTTCTAGGGTACATGTGCACAAAGTGCAGGTTTGTTACATATGTATACATGTGCCATGTTGGTTTCCTGCACCCATTAACTCGTCATTTACATTAGGTATATCTCCTAATGCTATCCCTCCCCCAACCCCCACCCCATGACCGGCCCCAGTGTGTTATGTTCCCCGCTGTTTGTCCAAGTGTTCTCATTGTTCAGTTCCCACCTATGAGTGAGAACATGCAGTGTATGGTTTTCTGTTCTCGCGATAGTTTGCTCAGAATGATGGTTCTCCCTCATTTTTAAAGAGCCAGGTGTGGTGGCTCATGCCTGTAATCCTGGCACTTTGGGAGGCCGAGACAGGTGGATCACCTGAGGTCAGAAATTTGAGACCAGCCTGACCATTGTGATGAAACCCTGTCTCTACTAAAAATACAAAAATTAGCCAGGCATGGTGGTGCACGTCTGTAATCCCAGCTACTGGAAAGGCTGAGGCATGAAAATCGCTTGAACCCAGGAGGCAGAGGTTGCAGTGAGCCGAGATTGCGCCACTGCACTCCAGCCTGGGTGACAGAGCAAGACTGTCTCAAAAAAAAAAAAAATCTATATGTCAATATATGTAAATGAAAGGCTGTTGCTCTAGTTCAGATGTTGCTAAGAACTGACTTATGTATATAGTTGTTTCCTTCCTTGGAATTAGTTTTTGGAATTAAAATTTCAGGAGTTGGGGAGAAGTGAGGATATGGGCACGAAAAAAACAGAAAGAATGAATAAGACCTACTATTTGATAGCACAATAGGATGACTATAGTCAACAATAACCTAATTGTATATTTTAACATAACTTAAAGAGTGTAATTGGATTGTTTGTAACTCAAATGATAAATGTTTGAGGGGATGGCTACCTATTCTCCATGATGTGCTTATTTCACATTGCATGCCTGTATCAAAACATCTCATGTACCCCATAAATATATACACCTACTATATACCTACAAAAATTAAAAATAAAAAATTGCAGGAGTGGATGAAAGGGTATGAACACTGGTGTATCTCTTGATGCATACCACCAAAATATTTTCCAAAATCATGGAAACAATGTACAGTGCCCCCAGCCACAAGTCCACCAGCTTCTCCAGTCTCATTGACTGGGCTACCCTTCACATTGCAGGTGAGTAGCCTGGCCCAGAGAGGCTAATGGAGTTGCTCAAGGTTACATAGAACTGAGAGATGGGAAAATAACCTGTCCCCTCTTCTGCATCTCCAGATGCTCAGATCGGGCCTTTTCTGCTACAATTATTTGGTAGAATGACTGTGAGCTTTGGAGCCAGTCCTACCTGGGTAACCTGGGGTAGCTCACTTAACCATTCTGAGCATAGATTCCTCTTCTATAAAAGCAGGGATACTCACACTCATTGTGAAGAACAAGCAACTACACGTCCAGCCCCCAGCATAGTTCTGGAAGGCAGTAGTAGCCCTAGCCTACAAAATAGGGGCTTGATATATTGTAGTTATTTTCTGACTGTTTTCTGAACAATTTCCTCCATAACATGAATCAATGCCAAGAGTGAATTGTGAAACACACTTTGTTTTCAGTTACCGCCCAGCCCCATTCTGTGCTGTTCTCTTTCAATACCTCCCCCTCATCCTGCCCAGGGCTTGGCACTCTGCCTTCCTCCTGGCAGTGGTGCCAAGGTACGTGCTAACACAGCAATTGGCTTAACACATGATACTCCTCCCTTTTGTGTCACAAGGAAAAGATTTTAATCTTCCCTGGGGCTTTCTGGAAACCATGCCTTCATCTGGATTCTAGAAAAATGCTTTTAATGGTGGTAATTTTGGTCACTAGGGCACACATCAAATCTCAGGATTCTGTTATCTGCCGTCTTAGCCAATGTGCAGAGTCAACTCCAGGAAACCGGGGGAGGCTCAGGATTGAAGTTTTAATCTTTGCTGCTGTTTTCTAAGCCTGTTTTTATCTTTTGTTTCCAGGAGAGGCCATTCCCCTGGTACTGGCCCTGTTTGCCTTTGTTGGCTTCATGCTGATCCTTGTGGTCGTGCCACTGTTCGTCTGGAAAATGGGCCGGCTGCTCCAGTACTCCTGTTGCCCCGTGGTGGTCCTCCCAGACACCTTGGTAATAGAGTAGTTCTTTATTCCTTTCAGTATAACACTGACCAGATGTAGTTTGGGCCTTAGCTGGGCATGGGCACATGTTTCCATGTTTCTATCATGAGATTATAGGCATCTGCACAGAGAGGGGAGAGGAATACTTATAAAATACTTCATTTCTAACTAGAGGTACTGGAAGAAATCTCCCTTCTCCAGGGCGTGGTGACCTTCCTGAGGCAAGCCACTTCTGCTTTCTCCCAGGACCTGGGATGGCAAAGAGAGAAGATGTGTTGCCCAGCCCAGGATGCTCAGCATTGCAGGAGTCACTCATGGTCTTACCCTCCCAGACTGGCCTGCTGAGCATTCTTGGCCTCTTCCCACAATTGTAACAGCAGCTACACCCAATAACATGTTCCAACCCAACTTATTCAATTCACATGCCAAAAGCCTCATTGTTCTCAGAGTGAAGAAGATGTACATGGGAGGCATGGACTGTGTTTTGATTTTGGTGGGGTAGGGTGGGGTGAAGGGACAGCAACCTGGACCTTGATAGTGACTGCCTGAGTTAGGGGACCCTACCTGTATTCTCAGATCCTCATGAGGTCAGAATTCTTATCTTACTCCTGAGGGCCCTGGACCACAGGTCTGGGTCTCTCCAGTGGGTATAGGACCCATGCACCCATGCAATCGTAGGGGAAACACAAAAGCAGGCCTCCAACAGCTCCCCCATGTTCTCTGGCTGCCTCTCCAGATGTTTCCCGCCAACCCCCAGACCTCAACCACACAAAGCAGTGCAATAAAACAAAACAAAACAAAAACAACAAAAACAAAATCAAAAAGCCCCATCCCTGTCACCCTAGGGAATTCTCACAGTTCTCTCCTGGGAAGAGGGAGCCAGTGTCAGCTTCTGAAAAGCAACTAAAGCCAGAACTACCTGCAACTTATACATGCCCATAGCTCCTTATCAGCCTGGAGTCACTCTTTCTGAAAGGAGTCATCCTTGTGACATCCCTGTGGCCCTGCTTTCTCTCCCTAAACAGGAGGAATAATTCTTACTATAATTCAGTCTTCAGGACACCCCTCCACTCTGTTATCCTAATGCCAGATCTCCCTTCTTTCCCATACTTCCAGGTAGTCATAACGATGTTAGCTGATACTAGTACAGAGCTAAGTGCCAGATACTGTTCTAAGGCTTTATATTTATTGACTCATTTCTTTTCATAAAGCTTGGCAGTGTCCTTTTTATCAGTTCCCCCTCCATCCTTCTCTGAATCACGAATGGCTTACTGCTATGCATAAAGGCAATGGGATATATCATACCCTGGGAAACAGGGTGGGCCTTTATTACCCTTTAGCAAGAACGTGAGGGTCTCAAAGTACCTTGAAGCATAAAAGGATATGTATTCTGCAGTTATTGGGGAAGTGTTTTATATATATCAATTAGGTCAAAATGTTTCGTGGTATTGTTCAGATCATCTTTGTCATTTTTTTTTGTATAGTTGTTTTAATATTGAGAGTAGGATATCAAAATGCCACCGAGTGTGGGCATATCTGTTTTTCTCTCTCTCTCTCTTTTTTTTTTTCGAGACGGAGTTTCGCTGTCATCGCCCAGGCTGGAGTGCAGTGGCGCAATCTTGGCTCACTGCAACCTCCGCCTTCTGAGTTCAAGCAATTCTCCTGCCTCCTGAGTAACTGGGATTACAGACGCCTGCCACCACACCCATCTAATTTTTGTATTTTTAATAGAGACAGGAGTTTCACCATGTTGGCCAGGCTGGTCTCAAACTCCTGACCTCATGATCCACCCACCTTGGCTTCTCAAAGTGTTGGGATTATAGGCGTGAGCCACTGCACCTGGCCTGTTTCTCTCTTTATGTCAGATTTTCCTTAATGTATTTCGAGGCTCTGTTTTAAGTGTATTCATATTTTGACATTTAAATGTATTCAGATTTTGTTATGATTTTCCAAGTAATGGAGTCTTTTATCATTATGATATGTTCTTCTTTACCTCTGGTAATATTCCTTAGTGTGATATCAGTATATCTTTTTTTTTTTTTTGCTCACTGTTTGTATGGTATATCTTTTTTATTTTTTTACATATTTTTACTTTAAATCTATCTGTATATTTATATTTAAGGTGTGTCTCTTATAGACAGCATATAGTCAGTCTTTTCTGTTATAATTATTTTTTGGTATAAATCCATTCTGACAACCTCTGCCTTTAAATTGGTATTTTTAGTCCACTAACTTTTTTTTTTTTGAGACGGAGTCCCACCCTGTCACCCAGGCTGGAGTACAGTGGCATGATCTCGGCTCACTGCAACCTCTGCCTCCCGGGTTTAAGGAATCCTGACTCAGCCTCCTGAGTAGCTGGGACTACAGGTGCATGCCCCCACACCCGGCTAATTTTTGTATTTTAGTAGAGACAGGGTTTCACCATATTGATCAGGCTGGTCTTGAATTCCTGACCTCAGGTGATCCACCCGCCTTGGCCTCCCAAAGTGCTGGGATAACAGGTGTGAGCCACTGTGCCTGGCCTCCATTAACATTTAATATAATGATTGATATGGTTGAATTTAGGTCCATGATTTTCTTTTCTTTTTTTTTTTTTTTTTTCCCCTCTGTTCTTTTTCTGCCTCTTTTTGGGTTAATTAAAAATTTTTTTTGAATTTCACTTTAGTGACTTTTTAGTTATTCTTCTTCACATTACTTTTTCATGGTTGTCCTAAGAGTTACAATATACATATTCTTAACTTTTCACAGTCTACTTAGAGTTAATATTATATCATTTCACATGAAATGTAAGAATTTTGGAATAATTTTTGCTTTATATAGTCATATATATTTTTAAGGTATTTAAAATAATCTTTTATATTTACCCACATATTTACCATTTCTGGAACTCTTTCTTCTTTTCTGAGATCTTTATTTCCATCTGGTGTGGGCTTCCTGTCATTTTATAAAACTTCTTGACTTTTTTTAATTATAGGTTTAGTAATGTAGATCTGCTAGTGACAAATTCTCTTTGATTTTTTTTATCTGAAAATGTCTTTATTTTGCTTTCATTCTTGAAGGATATTTTTGCTGGATTCTTGGTTGGCAATTTTTTCTTACTATATTTTCATTTTAAATATTAATTATAATATTTCAAAAATAATAACATTTTATTTTAATAAAGATGGCATCTTGCTATGTTGCCCAGGCTAGTCTGGAACTCCTGGGCTTAAACAATCCTCTTTCTTGGCCTCCCAAAGTGCTGGGATGACATGTGCGAGAGCCACTGCACCCAGCTCTTACTACTTTAAAAGTATTGTTTAATTGTCTTCTAGCTTACATTGTTTTTGATAAGAAAACATCCATGATTTTTTTAACATCATTCCCCTATGTGAAATGTGTTCTTTTTCTCTTGCTGGTTTTAAATTACCATTGGCTTTCACCAGTTAAATTATAACATGCCTAGATGGGGTTTGCATTATATTTATCTTGCTTATAGTATACTGAGCTTCTTGAATCTGTACATGTATATATTTTTAAGCTACAATTTGGAAAATTTTCAGCCTTTTTTTTTCTTTTTATTTTTTTAGAGACAGGGTCTCACTCTGCCACTCAGGCTGGAGTGCAGTGGCATGATTATGGCTCACTGCAGCCTCGACCTTCTGGGTTCAAGTGATCCTCCCACTTCAGCCTCTTGAGTAGTTGGGACTACAAGCATGTGACAGAGCAACCAGCTAATTTTTAAATTTTATGTAGAGACAGGGTCTTGCTATGTTGTCCAGGTTGGTCTTGAACTCCTGGCTCAAGCAATCCTCCTGCTTTGGACTCCCAAAGTGCTGGGATTATAGGCATGAGCCACTGCACCTGGCCACAGCTAATTATTTTATTTTTTTGTAGTGATGGGGTTCTCCCTATGTTTCCCAGGCTGGTCTGGAACTCCTGGGCTCAAGTGATATCCTTCCGCCTTGGCCTCCCAAAGTGTTGGGCTTAACAGATATGAGCCACTGCTCCCAGCCCATATTTCTTCAGGTATTTTTTTTTTTTTTGTCTCATTCTCTTCTCTCCTTCTGTGAGTCCAATCTTATTTATATTAGACCTTCAGATATTGTCTCCATAGATACCTGAGACTCCATTCATTTTTATAAAAAACTTCTTTTCCTCTTCTTTATTCTTCAGATTGAATAATTTTATTAACCTATCTTCTTGTTCACTGACTCTTCTGTTATCACCAGTCTGATTTTAGGCACGTCTAGTGAATTTTGTATTTAAATTTCAGATATTGTGTTTTTAAATTCTAGAATTTCCATTTGTTTCTTTTTTATAGTAAATATTCTCTGCTGAGATTTTCTATTTGGTCATTTATTATGAGAATATTTTCTTCTGTCTTTGAGCATCATTATAAATACCTTTGTCTGCTTTACTTTAAAATCTTTGCTAATTTCACCAGGTGGGTCATGTCAAGGTTGGCCTCTATTGATCGTTTTTTATTTGGTGTAGGTCACATTTTCCTATATTTTGTATGTCTAGTGATTTTGGATTACAGTCTGGATATTGCCAACAATATGTTATAGAGATTTTGGATTCAGTTATGTTCCTCTGAAAACTATTGATTTTTTTTGTTTGTTTATTTGCTTTAGTAAGCAGTTAGTTTAGAAGAAAGACTCAACTTTGGTCTCCTATGCAGTAGGCAGTTGATATCTATTAGACTGTTTAGCCTTAGACAGACTGGTAGGAGCTTTCCCCACACCTGTACCTCACACAGTTCAAAGGTCAATCAGATATTTGGGCAGAATTTATGTACAGAATTGCAGCTCCCCTTTTCTGGCTCTCTCCTTTTTGGGATTTTTCCTCTTACTTTCTAACTTCTGTGTTTGCACCAGTCTCTGTTTTTTGGCTTTTCAAAAACAGTAAGACTATGGCACCAAGTGGGACCTGCCTTTAGGCAAGGAGCTGTGAAAAATGGGAAACTCACCCAGTGACATTCCCTTCTTCCAAGCATGAACTTTTAGTTGCTCTACCATGATTTAAGGAATCTGTTTTTAATATTTGGGTCAGTTTTAAAAGTTGTAATCTGAGGAGTGTTGGTCTGATTGGTGCTCTCCTGACATAAGTGGAAGTAGAAACCTGCAATAAAAGAGGAATCCCTTGACCTAATCCAAAGCGATGGTAATGGTAGGGAGCATTTCTGGCTGAGGCATATCAATAGCTCTTCTTTCTCATACGTGGTGAAAAGCTCAGCCTTCCTCAGCTGGGCTCCATCAGATGGTCTTCTGTTGTGATTTCTCTCTGAACTCTGCTGCCCATGCTTACTCTTACAGGCAACTACACTCTTAACACTCTCTCTTATGTTTTCTTTACTAGTTCTATCAGGGGGCCAGAAGAGTTTTTCTCTCTACCTCAAGATCAGGGGAATGAAGATCTTCCCAAGACCCAGTGCCTTGTTAGTGAGGAACAGGGTAAAGAGACAGGGAAAGAACCATGTAAAGGGTTAATAACTTACAGGATTTCAGGTACACAAGAAGAGTCCTCAACAGCTAAGATCTCCTAGGAATCCTGATGTATCATGAGCCACACCCTAAAATCAGCTTTTGGAGAAAACGAAATAGCTTAGATGAGACCAGAGACTGGAAGACTCTGTGACAGTATGACCAATTTCATCCATGGCAGATAGACGTCACTACCCTTGACTACCTTTTGCTTCCCTGTTCTCTGTTACCATTCTTCCTACATCATTCTGATGTCTGTTCCTACGTGCATTCCCTTCCGTAAGGCTTTTAACTTTTATCCTTACTTCACGCTAAGATTTTTAAAGTGGACAAATTCTCTGAGTCTATGCATTTCCCCACAGTGCTGTGTGAGAAGCAGATCACTAGCGTCCATTGAATCCCGCACAAATTCTTGAGCTGTGAATCAATACTGCCACCTCCCCTCTCTCCGCTATGACTTTAGCATAGCCTAGCTGCATTTCTACATGTGTGTTACTTACAGATACTACCCCAAACTATTAAAAAGTGATTTCTAGCCATCCTTGCAAAGTCAACTCATCTTTCCAACTAAACCATGGAAAATTACCAATCAGAAATCCTTGACAATTCTTCAAAAGGGTCTACTGAGTTTGTGTTTAATTTATCTGTATGGACGAAACATTTCATGTCTACGTCTAAAATTTTATAGTAGGTGATGGTTGCACTCTGAAATATGACATTAAGAATTTTTTCCATTAAAGTTTATATCACCAAGTAATAATCTTTTATTATTATTATTATTATACTTTAAGTTCTAGGGTACATGTGCACAACCTGCAGGTTTGAAACATAGGTATACATGTGCCATGGTGGTTTGCTGCACCCATCAACTCATCATTTACACTAGGTATTTCTCCTAATGCTATCCCTCCCCCAAGTCCACCTCCTGACAGGCCCCGGTGTGTGATGTTCCCTGCACTGTGTCCAAGTGATCTCATTGTTCAATTCCCACCTATGAGTGAGAACATGCGGTGTTTGGTTTTCCGTCCTTGTGATAGTTTGCTGAGAATGATGGTTTCCAGCTTCATCCATGTCCCTGCAAAGGACATGAACTTGTCCTTTTTTATGGCTGCATAGTATTCCATGGTATATATGTGCCACATTTTCTTAATCCAGTCTATCATTGATGGACATTTGGGTTGGTTCCAAGTCTTTGCTATTGTGAATAGTGCCACAATAAACCTATGTGTGCATGTGTCTTTATAGTAGCATGATTTATAATCCTTTGGGTATCTACCAGGTAATGGGATTGCTGGGTCAAATGGTAACTATATTTCTAGATCCTTGAGGAATTGCCACACTGTCTTCCACAATGGTTGAACTAATTTACACTCCCACCAACAGTGTAAAAGTGTTCCTATTTCTCCATATCCTCTCTAGCATCTGTTGTATCCTGACTTTTTAATGATTGCCATTCTAACTGGTATGAGATGGTATCTCATTGTGATTTTGATTTGCATTTCTCTGATGACCAGTGATGATGAGCATTTTTTCATGTGTCTGTTGGCTGCATAAATGTCTCCTTTTGAGAAGTGTCTGTTCATATCCTTTGCCCACTTTTTGATGGTTTTTTTTTTCTTGTAAATTTGTTTGAGTTCTTTGTAGAATCTGGATATTAGTCCTTTGTCAGATGGGTAGATTGCAAAATTTTTCTCCCATTCTGTAGGTTGCCTGTTCACTCTGATGGTAGTTTCTTCTGCTGTGCAGAAGCTCTTTAGGTTAATTATATCCCATTTGTCTATTTTGGCTTTTGTTGCCATTGCTTTTGGTGTTTTAGTCATGAAGTCCTTGCCCATGCCTATGTCCTGAATGGTATTGCCTAGGTTTTCTTCTAGGACTTTTATGGCTTTAGGTCTAACATTTAAGTCTTTAATCCATCTTGAATTGATTTTTGTATAAGGTGTAAGGAAGGGATCCAGTTTCAGCTTTCTACATATGGCTAGCCAATTTTCCCAGCACCATTTATTAAATAGGGAATCCTTTCCCCATTTCTTGTTTTTGTCAGGTTCATCAAAGATCAGATGGTTGTAGATGTGTGGTGTTATATCTGAGGTCTCTGTTCTGTTCCATTTGTCTATATCTCTGTTTTGGTACCAGTACCATGCTGTTTTGGTTACTGTAGCCTTGTAGTACAGTTTGAAGTCAGATAGTGTGATGCCTCCAGCTTTGTTCTTTTGGCTTAGGATTCTCTTGGCAATGCGGGCTCTTTTTTGGTTCCATATGAATTTTAAAGTAATTTCTTCCAATTCTGTGAAGAAAGTTATTGGTAGCTTGATGGGGATGGCATTGAATGTATAAATTACTTTGGGCAGTATGGCCATTTTCACGATATTGATTCTTCCTATCTATGAGCATGGAATATTATTCCATTTGTTTGTGTCCTCTTTTATTTCGTTGAGCAGTGATTTGTAGTGCTCCTTGAAGAGGTCCTTCACATCCCTTGTAAGCTGGATTCCTAGGTATTTTATTCTCTTTGTAGCAATGGTGAATGGGAGTTCACTCATTATTTGGCTCTCTGTCTGTTAACGGTGTATAGGAATGCTTGTGAGTTTTGCACATCGATTTTGTATCCTGAGGCTTTGCTGAAGTTGCTTATAAGCTTAAGGAGATTTTGGGCTGAGACGATGGGGTTTTCTAAATATACAATCATGTCATCTGCAAACAGGAACAATTTGACTTCCTCATTTCCTAATTGAGTACCCTTTATTTCCTTCTCTTGCCTGCTTGGCCTGGCCAGAACTTCCAACACTATGTTGAATAGGAGTGGTGAGAGAGGGCATCCTTGTGCTGGTTTTTAAAAGGAATGCTTCCAGTTTTTGCCCATTCAGTATGATATTGGGTGTGGGTTTGTCATAAATAGCTCTTATTATTTTGAGTTACGTTCCATCAGTACCTAGTTTATTGAGAGTTTTTAGCATGAAGGGCTGTTGAATTTTGTCAAGGGCCTTTTCTGCATCTATTGAGATAATGGTGTGGTTTTTGTCTTTGGTTCTGTTTATGTGATGGATTATGTTTATTGATTTGTGTATGTTGAATCAGCCTTGCATCCCAGGGATGAAGCTGAGTTGATCGTGGTGGATAAGCTTTTTGATGTGCTGCTGGATTTGGTTTGCCAGTATTTTATTGAGAATTTTTGCATTGATATTCCTCAGGGATATTGGTCTAAAATTCTCTTTTTTGTGTGTATGTCTCTGCCAGGCTTTGATATCAGGATGATGCTGGCCTCATAAAATGAGTTAGGGAGGAATTCCCTCCTTTTCTATTGATTGGAATAGTTTCAGAAGGAATGGTACCAGCTCCTCTTTGTACCGCTGGTAGAATTCGGCTGTGAATCCGTCTGGTCCTGGACTTTTTTTGGTTGTTAGGCTATTAATTATTGCCTCAATTTTAGAGCCTGTTATTGATCTATTCAGAGATTCAACTTCTTCCTGGTTTAGTCTTGGGAGGGTGTATGTGTCCAGGAATTTATCCATTTCTTCTAGATTTTCTAGTTTATTTGCGTAGAGGTGTTTATAGTATTCTCTGATGGTAGTTTGTATTTCTGTGGGATCGGTGGTGATATCCCCTTTATCATTTTTTGTTGCGTCTATTTGATTCTTCTCTCTTTTCTTCTTTGTTAGTCTTGCTAGCAGTCTATCAGTTTTGTTGATCTTTTCAAAAAACCAGCTTCTGGATTCATTTATTTTTTGACGGGTTTTTTTGTGTGTCTCTCTCTTTCAGTTCTGCTCTCAACTTAGTTATTTCTTGCCTTCTTCTAGCTTTTGAATGTGTTTGCTCTTGCTTCTCTAGTTCTTTTAATTGTGATGTTAGGGTGTCAATTTTAGATCTTTCCTGCTTTCTCTTGTGAGCATTTAGTGCTATAAATTTCCCTCTGCACACTGCTTTAAATGTGTCCCGGAGATTCTGCTACGTTGTGTCTTTGTTGTCATTGGTTTCAAAGAACATTTTTATTTCTGCCTTCATTTCGTTATTTACCCAGTAGTCATTCAGGAGCAAGTTGTTCAGTTGCCATGTAGTTGTGTGGTTTTGAGTGAGTTTCTTAATCTTGAGTTCTAATTTGATTGCATTGTGGTCTGACAGACAGTTTGTTGTGATTTCTTTTCTTTTACTTGCTGAGGAGTGCTTTACTTCCATTTATGTGGTCAATTTTAGAATAAGTGCGATATGGTGCTGAGAAGAATGTGTATTCTATTGATTTGGGGTGGAGAGTTCTGTAGATGTCTATTAGGTCTGCTTGTTGCAGAGCTGAGTTCAGGTCCTGGATATCCTTGTTAACCTTCTGTCTCGTTGATCTGTCTCATATTGACAGTAGGCTGTTAAAGTCTCCCATTATTATTGTGTGGGAGTCTAAGTCTCTTTGTAGTTCTCTAAGGACTTGCTTTATGAATCTGGGTGCTCCTGTATTGGGTGCATACATATTTAGGATAGCTAACTCTTCTTGTTGGATTGATCCTTTTACTATTATGTAATGGCCTTCTTTGTCTCTTTTGATCTTTGTTGGTTTAACGTCTGTTTTATCAGAGACTAGGATTGCAACCCCTGCTTTTTTTTCGCTTTCCATTTGCTTGGTAGATCTTCCTCCATCCCTTTATTTTGAGCCTATGTGCATCTTTGCATGTCAGATGGGTCTCCTGAATACAGCACACTGATGGGTCTTGACTCTATCCAATTTGCCAGTCTGTGTCTTTTAATTGGGGCATTTAGCCCTTTTACATTTAAGGTTAATATTGTTATGTGTGAATTTGATCCTGTCATTATGATGTTAACTAGTTATTTTGCCCATTAGTTGATGCAGTTTCTTCCTAGCGTCGATGGTCTTTGCTATTTGGCATGTTTTTGCAGTGGCTGGTACTGGTTGTTCATCTCCATGTTTAGTGCTTCCTTCAGGAGCTGTTGTAAGGCAGGCCTGGTGGTGACAAAATCTCTCAGCATTTGCTTGGCTGTAAAGAATTTTATTTCTCTTTCACTTATGAAGCTTAGTTTGGCTGGATATGAAATTCTGGGTTGAAAATTCTTTTCTTTAAGAATGTTGAATATTGGCCACCACTCTCTTCCGGCTTGTAGAATTTCTGCCAAGAGATCTGCTGTTAGTCTGATGGGCTTCCCTTTGTGGGTAACTTGACCTTTCTTTCTGGCTGCCCTTAACACTTTTTCCTTCATTTCAACCTTGGTGAATCTGACAATTATGTGTCTTGGGGTTGCTCTTCTTGAGGAGTATCTTTGTGGTGTTCTCTGTATTTCCTGAATTTGCATGTTGGCCTGCCTTGCTAGGTTGGGGAAGTTCTCCTGGATAATATCCTGCAGAGTGTTTTCCAACTTGGTTCCATTCTCCCCAACACTTTCAGGCACACCAATCAGACATATATTTGGTCTTTTCACATAGTCCCATATTTCTTGGAGGCTTTGTTCACTTTTTTTTTTAACTCTTTTTTCTCTAACCTTGTTTTCTCACTTTATTTCATTAATATGATCTTCAGTGACTGATATCCTTTCTTCCACTTGATCAAATCATCTACTGAAGCTTGTGCATGCGTCATGAAGTTCTCGTGCCATGGTTTTCAGCTCCATCAGGTCATTTAAGGTCTTCTCTACACTGTTTATTCTAGTTAGCCATTTGTCTAATCTTTTTTCAAGGTTTTTAGCTTACTTGTGATGGGTTCCAACATCCTCCTTTAGCTTGGAGAATTTTGTTATTACCGACCTTCTGAAGCCTACTTCTGTCAACTCGTCAAAGTCATTCTCCATCCAGCTTTACTCCATTGCTGGCGAGGAGCTGTGATCCTTTGGAGGAGAAGAGGTGTTCTGATTTTTAGAATTTTCAGCTTTTCTGCTCTGGTTTCTCCCCATCTTTGTGGTTATATGTACCTTTCGTCTTGATGTTGGTGACTAGAGATGGGGTTTTGGTGTAGATGACCTTTTTGTTGATGTTGATGCTCTTCCTTTCTGTTTGTTAGTTTTCCTTCTAACAGTCAGGTCCCTCAGCTGCAGGTCTATTGGAGTTTGCTGGAGGTCCACTCCAGACCGTTTGCCTGGGTATCACCAGTGGGGGCTGTAGAACAGCAAATATTGCAGAACAGCAAATATTGCTGCCTGATCTTTCCTCTGGAAGCTTTGTCGCAGAGGGGCACCTGCCTGTATGAGGTGTCTGTCAGCCCCTACTGGGAGGTGTCTCCCAGTTAGGCTACACGGGGGTCAGTGACCCACTTGAAGAGGCAGTCTGTCTGTTCTCGGAGGTCAAATGCTGTGCTGGGAGAACCACTGCTCTCTTCAGAGCTGTCAGACAGGGACGTTTAAGTCTGCAGAAGTTGTCTGCTGCCTTTTGTTCAGCTATGCCCTGTCCATAGAGGTGGAGTCTAGAGGCAGTAGGCATTGTTGAGCTGTGGTGGGCTCCGCCAAGTTCGAGCTTCCTGGCTGCTTTGTTTACCTACTCAAGCCTCAGCAATGGCAGATGCCCCTCCCCAAGCCAGGCTGCCACCTCGCAGATTGATCTCAGACTGCTGCGCTAGCAGTGAGCAAGGCTCCATGGGCATGAGACCTGCCGAGCCAGGCACGAGAGAGAATCACCTTGTCTGCCAGTTGCTAAGACCTTGGGAAAAGTACAGTATTTGGGTGGGAGTGCCCCATTTTTCCAGGTAGTCTGTCACGGCTTCCCTTGGCTAGGAAAGGGAAATCCCCTGGCCCCTTGTGCTTCCCGGGTAAGGCGATGCCCTGCCCTGCTTCAGCTCGCCCTCTGTGGGCTGCACCGACTGTCCAACCAGTCCCAATGAGATGAACCAGGTACCTCAGTTGGAAATGCAGAAATCACCCATCTTCTGCATGGCTCACACTGGGGGCTGCAGACTGGAGTGTTTCTATTCAGCCATCTTGGAACGCAATCCCACCAAGTAAAAATCTAAAGCAAAACTATATATGGAAGGAAAATTATATTAATTCTGCCCAGTATATAGTCTCTGTTTAAAAATATAATTTATTTTCTTTGTCTTGCACCTGTATTTGCTTCATGGGAATGGGTGCTTTGGTGCTGAAGGGTCTCAGTTTCCTTTCTGTGACTCACTTTATTCTTTCTCTTCTTGCTGTCACATTCTGCTGTAATGTAGGTAGCAAGCATAAAGATGGTCCCAAATTAGTAATTCTTCAATGAACCGTCCAAGTATGACCTTGCATGCTTCATAGAAAGTGGAGTTTGTGAACTCAGATGCCTCTGAGTCCACACAGGCTCTGGAAAGAAGAAAAAAAAGCAAAAGGAAAGAACTTGCAGTGCAATGAATGTAACTCAATAGGGAGGGGGATGGGGATCATGGCAAATATGTTTCATCTTCTCAGCGACAGCAGGTTGCTACCAAGAGGAAGTGTGAGCCAGTGCTGCCAGATCTCCAAGTTTTAAATGAGAAGCCCAGAAATCTAGATTTTTATGAGAAATCTCTTGATTTTTAAATGTTGAAAACTGATTCCGATTTTATAAAATATGCTGAGCTTTGCTTGAAAATTAGTTCTAAACTGTGGGACCACAGTTTTGCACCTTCCAAAATTCTGAGATTATGATGTTTGTTTTACATTAATGTGCTAGAACTGCACTGTCTAATACAGTAGCCACTAGTCATATCTGTTAGACAGTAGAAATGTGGCTCGTCCAAATTGAGATGTATTTTAAATATAAAATATGGAATGGATTTTAAAGGCAGAATAAAACAAGAATATAAAATATTTCAGTCATTTTTTAAGTGACGTGTTAAAATGATAATATTTTGGATATATTTGTTAAATAAAATATATTATTAAAATTAGTTCCACCTGTTTCTTTTTACTTTTAAAATGTGCTACGAGATTTTAAAAATTGCATATGTGATTCACATTATATTTCTATTGGACAGCACTGTTCTGGAATTTAAAAAATGATCATGTATGACCACTGCAGATGTAGGGAGTTAGTGTCCTGAGAATCTGACTGCACCAGCAGCAGCGAGCCAATGGGCTTCACACTAACACCCCCGCTTAGTGAATGCTGCTGTGTGTTGCCTCTTCCTGTTGGCATTTGCCCATGGACACCAAGAGTGAGCCTCTGTGGCTGCCTCTTTGCAAACAAGGATGAAGGGAGACTGGCTCAATGAAGCTGATGTCTCCTGAGGAACTGAGGTGGAGGAAACCATTGTGCCTATTTGTGCCCAGATGGTACCCTTGGGAGTGATGAGGAGAAGGGCCGAGAGAGATAACTGTAGAAGAACCTAGAGATTTTGGCAGAGGTGAGCAGGCGAGTAATAGGTGGGAGAGTCCACCTGAAAAGTTGATGTCTGCATGTTTATAACTAGTAATGATTGTGTACTGGGGCCACTGAAAGAAGATGGCGGGAACCTGAAATATGAGCAAGGAAGGGACTCCCATTTATGGAACATCCTCTCTGTATTGGGCACCATGCTAGGTGCTGTTCATAAAGCATCTCAGACCAGGTCATAATTCTCAGAGCTCTGTGGTGGAAGAAGGTTAGGGTTTTGTTGTTGTTGTTGTTGTTGAGACAGGGTCTTGCTCTGTTACCTAGGCTGGAGTGCAGTGGTGTGATCAGAGCTTAACTGCAGCCTTGACCTCCCAGGCTCAATTGATCCTCCTGCCTCAGCCTCACGAGTAGCTGGGACCACAGACATGTGCCACCATGCCTGGCTAGTTTATTTTTTGTGGAGAGGGAGCCTTGCTATGTTGCCCAGGCTGGTCTCTAAGTCCTGGGCTCAAGCGATCTGCCTGTTTCAGCCTCCCAAGGCAGGTGTGAGCCATTGCACCTGCCTTTAATTTTTTTTTTAAGAACCAGAATTACATTCTGGGTTTTTGTGGGGCAGGGTCTTAGAATGAGGAACTCTGACCAAGCAGGGCTTCAAGGGAACTGTAGGGTAGTGAACTGGGAGATATTCTTAGCAAATGTTGGAAGCCCCTGATCTAGGGCTTGAAATTGTTTTTTGGTTTTTGTTTTTGCTGCTTGGAAATTAATTAATCAAATAGTTAAAAATGTAATAATATTCTTTAGTATTACTACTACTGCTATCCTCTAATGAATATTAATGAAAATTATTTTTCAGAAAATAACCAATTCACCCCAGAAGTTAATCAGCTGCAGAAGGGAGGAGGTGGATGCCTGTGCCACGGCTGTGATGTCTCCTGAGGAACTCCTCAGGGCCTGGATCTCATAGGTTTGCGGAAGGGCCCAGGTGAAGCCGAGAACCTGGTCTGCATGACATGGAAACCATGAGGGGACAAGTTGTGTTTCTGTTTTCCGCCACGGACAAGGGATGAGAGAAGTAGGAAGAGCCTGTTGTCTACAAGTCTAGAAGCAACCATCAGAGGCAGGGTGGTTTGTCTAACAGAACACTGACTGAGGCTTAGGGGATGTGACCTCTAGACTGGGGGCTGCCACTTGCTGGCTGAGCAACCCTGGGAAAAGTGACTTCATCCCTTCGGTCCTAAGTTTTCTCATCTGTAATGGGGGAATTACCTACACACCTGCTAAACACACACACACAGAGTCTCTCTCTATATATACACACGTACACATAAATACACCCAGCACTTGCAAGGCTAGAGGGAAACTGGTGACACTCTACAGTCTGACTGATTCAGTGTTTCTGGAGAGCAGGACATAAATGTATGATGAGAATGATCAAGGACTCTACACACTGGGTGGCTTGGAGAGCCCACTTTCCCAGAATAATCCTTGAGAGAAAAGGAATCATGGGAGCAATGGTGTTGAGTTCACTTCAAGCCCAATGCCGGTGCAGAGGGGAATGGCTTAGCGAGCTCTACAGTAGGTGACCTGGAGGAAGGTCACAGCCACACTGAAAATGGGATGTGCATGAACACGGAGGATCCATGAACTACTGTAAAGTGTTGACAGTGTGTGCACACTGCAGACAGCAGGTGAAATGTATGTGTGCAATGCGACGAGAATGCAGAAGTCAGTAACATGTGCATGTTTGTTGTGCTCCTTTTTTCTGTTGGTAAAGTACAGAATTCAGCAAATAAAAAGGGCCACCCTGGCCAAAAGCGGTCTTTAAAGTTCTAGTTACATTTTCAACCTCAAGTCCAGAGAGGCTCCAAAGGATACCTTTGGTCAAGAGGACTCGGGGTGGGGGTGGGGGTGGGGATGGGAGCAGCGGAGGAGCAGCCCCAGAAGTCCAGAGCCCAGGGCTGCCTGGTTGGGGGCAGCCTCTGGCTGCATGAGAACCCCAACTGAGGCAGCTGGCATAAGCTTCGCCTGGTTAGGTGCTCCTAAGCCTTTCCTGTTGGCCCCACCCCACAGGAAATCCCTGGGGAACCCTCTTTTCCTTGACAGCTTACTCAGGGTATCCCCAGCCCCTCTTAGTCTGCTCATTTAGGACCTACCTCTGGAAGCTTCTACCCACCCCTTTGCCCCACCAGGTGAAGAAAAGAGCCAACCACAGAGAAGGAATGATGGGAGGAAACTTCTTGAGGGGTGAAGGGATTGATGGGCAGGGCCTGCGCCTTGCTTTCTAACCCCCTCGAAGCTCTGGAGCCTCCAAGTTGGTTTATCTTCACCCTCACTTCCTGGGCCCTTTCCAGCCAGCCCAGTGGTGGGACAGTCTAACTGCATCAACTGGGTGTTTCCCCAGAGGCCCACAGCCCTTCACCACCTGGAGGGGTCTCTCCAGGAGCATGAGATCGCTCAAGACCCGTTCCTTCTTTTCCTTTGTGTTATTTTGTATGCTTCTCTGTGTTGTTCGTTAGAGGGTGTGTGCTAATTTTATATTTGACCTAAACTAGAAACACACTTTCAGTTTGCAAAAACAAAGACCATATTACTATTCCAGTCATCACCCTCCCTCCTCTCTCTTCCTGCCCCCTTATGGTGGGGTGGTGGGGGGCACTATCCTTCTGTCACAGCCCAGGCGCAGAACTGAGAAAGGACCCTGACCTCCATCTGCTTGAGTCTCTCACAACTATTCCCAGTGCCCATCCATTTTTTGGCATCTATAGGTACACAGAGATTTCTCTTGATTCTTCTGTTGTCTCCCCTTGCCCTGAATGTGCATTTATGGAGCCCCAGCCATGCACCCGACCTGCCAGCCCCCATTGGTGGAGGGGCTGCCTCCTCTACAGCTGGCTGTTCCCTCTCCCCTGGAGCACTTCTATCCCAAGTCCCCAGGCCTCCTCCCTGCCCCTCCAATGCATTTATCCCTACATCTGGACACTTACATGAGTGAAAAGGAATGTGATTAGTAATTACGGCAGGACCACAGCTGTAAATCGGGACTCCTCTGGGCAAACCAGGAGCCAGGTCACTCTCATCATAAGGCACAGCTTCCTGCCACATTCTTTTTCTAGAAGCTCCAACCCTCCAGATGCCCAGTCACTGAGTCCAGGGGCTCAGGCTCAGCACTACTGGCTTGCTTTGTTTTCACAGTTTCTCATTGAGTCCTGTGGGAATTGGGGGAAGTACTTGTGTGTGTGTGTTGTGGGGGGATAAGTATTTGGGAGCAGCCTAGAGTGGCTTCTGCTGTTTCACTGAAGACTGTCTCTTGCAGGCCAACCCAGTAGAGTCCCCTGAGCCCCCAGAATCAAGCCCAGCTTTCTTAGTCCTGCCTTTAGGGTGCAACTGCCAGGGTCCAGTGAATAAAATCCCTGCTCCATGAGGCTTACATTCCAATGGGGTAAGGGAGAAATAATAACACAATAACAGTATTATTATTCAGTGAATTATTTAGTATATTGGGAGTTTGTAAGTCACGGTAAAATGAAAAAGTAGAGCAGAAAACGGGGGCTGGGGGCAGGTTGCAGCCTCTTCAAAATGAAAGTGGATGGAAACAATGGACCCAGAACTACCTGTCAGATAAGTCCCTGCATAGCCACATGGTGTGAGATATTATGAGAGATTCTAGAACAAAGTAATTTGGCAACAAATCCGTAGGTGTATGTAGTCTAAAACAAAAACTTTATTGAGTATTTATCCCTTTGTATTGATAGTGTATTTTTGCAACTATTATCTTATCAGATAAAGCAAGTAAATAATATATATTTTGTATATTTTGATAAGAATCTAGATTTTAGGATTAGTGACAAGGAAGGCTAATTTTAGGATCCCAAATTTGACTAAGAACAGGGCACTGTTGGAACTGAATCAAACATATTAATATGAAGTCATGTCTTTATGAAACATGACATTAAAAATATTTTGACTTTTTTCCACTGAAATGGCCCAGGAGAAATGTCACCTCCACAATGCATCTTAATGCTAAGATTTTGGTTTCTAGTGTTAGTTTTCTCCCAAAGGAGCCAAAGTTTCTTGGAGCAGTAATGGATGCCATGTCAGTTTGGAGTTGAAAGGTACAAGGTAATCTTAAAACACCTATACCTTTTTGAGACAGAAAGCAAAGCATTAAATAAGGGTCATTCAAAATTACACAAGGAACAATCTATACAGGGCTCCTCCTGGCCAAAGTTGGGACAATATAAGCACCAGAAGGAGAATATTGGCTGGCACAATTGATACCATATATTTGAAAAGTCATCAGTCCATGACACCCAAGAAGAGCGAAGCTACCATAATGCATTCTCAGAGAAGATGAATCTAATAGAATGCATTTCTACTTGTTATTCAATCGTGTTGGGCTTATCGACTCGTTTATCGTGTCAATGAGGAATACCAGTAAATGTAAATCCATCAGTCAGAAGGCATTTTTTCTCCTCTAAAGGCTCCTCTCCGCCCCTTAACGTCCAGTCTTTCCCCACTTGGCTCTCCCTGTCCTGTCAAGGGGTTCGGTGGAAAAGTCTTTTAAGTTCCCTTCACAGAAGAATTGTAGACTCTGCCGGTCTAGTCTCTGGGCCAACCCTCCCCGTCTCTTTAGTAAAGATGTTTTTTATTATTTTCCTTGTGCCGTGTATTATCCTTAGGCTAGAGTAACTTTCCGGGCCTGCAGACCTCTTGGTTTCCTTTCAATCTGGAGGACTTGATCCCATGGCCAGCTTCGGAGCTCACCAGGAGGGGAAGACCCATTACATCCACGGGCGTCTGGCGCCACCTTGTGGTCAGTGCTGAAAATGTTTTCTGTTCCCACTCGCAATGAAACTCCCTGGGCTTCCTGGATGAAGAAAGGAAAGCTCAGGTCGGTTTCCTAGAATAATAACTCAGTTACACAGTTTCCACGGGCTTGGTCCTTAACAAACCTCCACTGTCACTGGTGGAGTTAGAATTTAGCAGCCACCTTCTCCTCGCTCTGTGTCTGTATCTGTCCCGAGCTCATGGTTTGGGGCTTCACGCTGTACCCACGGCTCTCGCTCTTTTCTGGGACCTTGGCCTCTCGCACTCTCCTGTCTGTTGATCTTTCCACCATGCTGCCATTCCCTACCTCTCGGAAATAGACTTTTTTTGGATGTCTTTTTGTTTTCCTTCTGTGTGACCTATTTGTAGGATCCCTTTACTAGACTGACTTTCCAGGAGTGTTCCTCAGCCCCCGCACAGATCAGTAGGGAGGAGCCTGCCTGCTGCTTGCTCATGCTAAACCAGCGTGCTGCCCAGCCTGTGAAGTTTGGAACTGGAACACTAGAGTTGGCCCCAAATTACAGCTTTCTCTTCTGGCTCCTGGGACTCCCAGTTTCTTCAGCAACAACAACAAAACCTGGAAAAACGTATCCTTGCCAGAGGTGGGAGAATGAGGCTCACAAAAGGAAAACACGGACCTTTCTTGTCTCCCCCAGTGAGAGGTTGCAAGATCAGGTTGTAAAACCCCATTAAGGAGGACCTTAGAGGAAGAACTGAGCAAGGAGCCTTCTCAGGTGCCTGCAAACATCTCCAAGAGCAAAAGTATAAATCCTCATATTGTGGAGGAGGTACATGTTCCTGGTTCCTTCACTGGACCTCACTGAGAAAATTAAACAAACAACAACAACAACAACTACGTTAAAAAACAACCCCACAAAAACAAAAAAACAAAAACAAAAAAAACCCTGGTGGCCGGGCGCGGTGGCTCACGCCTGTAATTCCAGCACTTTGGGAGGCCGAGGCGGGTGGATCACCTTAGGTCAGGAGTTCGAGACCAGCCTGACTAACATGGTGAAACCCCGTCTCTACTAAAAATACAAAAATCAGCCGGATGTAGTGGCAGGCGCCTGTAATCCCAGCTACTCGGGAGACTGAGGCAGGAGAATCCCTTGAACCCGGGAGGCAGAGGTTGCAGTGAGCTGAGATCCCGCCATTGCACTCCAGCCTGGTCAACAGAGCGAGACTCCGTCTCAAACAAACAAACAAACAAAAAAACCATCCTGGCGTTTGGAGAAATGAGTGCCTGAACAAACCTCAGTAACTTCTAAATTTTGCCTCTGTACCTAAAACAGCTCCTCTAGGAAGTGGCCACATGCCTCCAAATTTCCTGGAGATGCCAGCCAGTCTTCTATGAAATTGCCTCAGTATAAGATTAGGCCTACAAAACATCATCTTGAGTTTCTGGCCCTAGGAGATCACAGCCCAGAAAGTAGGCCCCTCTGATGTCATCCCACCTGCATCAATCACGAGGACAAGCTTTCCCAGGTGAAATCATTTCATTGACATTAACTGCTCACTGTCTCACTTGAACTTTTTTTTTTTTTTTTTGAGATGGAGTCTTGCTCTGTCAACCAGGCTGGAGTGCAGTGGTGCTATCTTGGCTCACTGCAACCTCCGCTTCCCCGCTTCAAGCGATTCTACTGTCTCAGCCTCCTGGGTAGCTGGGATTACAGGCACCTGGCACCATGCCCAGCTAATTTTTGTATTTTTAGTAGAGACAGGGTTTCGCCGTGTTGGCCAGGCTGGTCTTGAACTCCTGACCTCAGGTGATCCGCCTGCCTCAGCCTCCCAAAGTGCTGGGATTACAGGCATGAGCCACTGCGCCCTGCCTCACTTGAACTTTTGAGTCTTGCAATTGGAAATAGATCAAAATGGAATAGTTTTCCCCTTTTCTTGGCCTCACCCCAGATCAGGCCTAGATTATGGAGGGCCAGTGAGGTGGAACGCTTACTGTGTGTTTTTGTTTTTGTTTTTGTTTTTAGACAGGGGTCTTGCTCTGTCACCCAGGCTGGAGTGCAGTGGCGTGATCTTAGCTCACTGCAACCTCCATCTCCCGGGTTCAAGCGTTTCTCCTGCCTCAGCCTCCCAAGTAGCTGGGATTACAGGCACCTGCCACCACACCTGGCTAGTTTTTGTATTTTTAGTAGAGACAACGTTTCCCAATGTTGCCCAGGCTGGTCTCGAACTCCTGGCTTCAAGTGATCTGCCCGCCTCGGCCTCCCAAAGTGCTGGGATTGCAGGCGTGAGCCACCGCCTGTGTTTTAAATGAAGAGTTTCAGTTTAGCTGATGGCAGCAAATAGAAGCTGAAATTTAAATACAAGTAACATTAAGTAACATCTCCCTCTGTTGCAACTTTGGGTTGACAAAGGCAAGGCTCAGGTTAAAGAACTGATAAAAACTTGGTCATGAGGTGTGGGTCTCATCATGTTGCTTAAAAACAAAAAGCCCAGCTTCCAGAGATGTGCATGGTGTTGATTGTGGCAGAGGGTATGAGAAAGTGGGGCCCACTCTTTTCTTTGGCTAATGACTCATTTAAAAACTCATTTGTCACCTAAAACATTTATTCCAAAATTGGGATTTTTAAATTAAATGCTATTTAAAACTTCAGAAAGGAATTAAAAACTTGATAATTGAAACAGGTGATATGTCAATTCACCTTTTAAATTCAAATAATATAGTTCAGAATAAATCATAAAATTTGGGAAGAATTTGGATTTCTTCACCAACACTAAATAGCTATTGCATAAGTGTGTGCTGTAATTGTAAACACTGGTGTATTTTACAAACTGGTTTTATTGGAATCCATGTAGTCTGAAAATTGTATGATTCTGTAAAAAAGTTTCCACTTGAACTTTCTGAGAACGGTTTAAAGGTGAAATAATCTGATACACTTCTCTGTCAATAAAAAATAAATCATGATATAATTGGACATATCTGCTCATGTGTTTTTTTTTTAGATGGAGTCTCTCTCTGTTGCACAGGCTGGAGTGTGGTGGCACCATCATGACTCACTGCAACCTCCATCTCCTGGGTTCAAGCAATTCTCCTGCCTCAGCCTCCAGAGTAGCTGGGATTACAGGTGCTTATGTATTTTTTTTTCTTTTTCTTTTTTTCATTATACTTTAAGTTCTAGGGTACATGTGCACAACGTGCAGGTCTGTTACATATGTATACATGTGCCATGTTGATGTGCTGCACCCAGTAACTCGTCATTTAACATTAGGTATATCTCCTAAAGCTATCCCTCCCCCCTTCCCCCACCCCACAACAGGCCCCCAGTGTGATGTTCTCCTTCTGTGTCCAAGTGTTCTCATTGTTCAATTCCCACCTATGAGTGAGAACATGTGGTGTTTGGTTTTTTGTCCTTGTGATAGCTTGCTGAGAATGATGGTTTCCAGCTTCATCCATGTCCCTACAAAGGACATGAACTCATCCTTTTTCATGGCTGCATAGTATTCCATGGTGTATATGTGCCACATTTTCTTAATCCAGTCTATCATTGATGGACATTTGGGTTGGTTCCAAGTCTTTGCTATTGTGAATAGTGCCTCAGTAAACATACGTGTACATGTGTCTTTATAGCAGCATGATTTATAATCTTTTGGGTATATACCCAGTAATGGGATTGCTGAGTCAAATGGTATTTCTAGTTCTAGATCCTTGAGGAATCGCCACACTGTCTTCCACAATGGTTGAACTAGTTTACAGTCCCACCAACAGTGTAAAAGTGTTCCTATTTCTCCACATCCTCTCCAGCACCTGTTGTTTCCTGACTTTTTAATGATTGCCATTCTAACTGGTATGAGATGGTATCTCATTGTGGTTTTGATTTGCATTTCTCTGATGACCAGTGATGATGAGCATTTTTTCACGTGTCTGTTGGCTGCATAAATGTCTTCTTTTGAGAAGTGTCTGTTCATATCCTTTGCCCACTTTTTGATGGGGTTATTTGTTTTTTTCTTGTAAATTTGTTTGAGTTCTTTGTAGATTCTGGATATTAGCCCTTTGTCAGATGGGTAGATTGCAAAAATTTTCTCCCGTTCTGTAGGTTGCCTGTTCACTCTGATGGTAGTTTCTTTTGCTGTGCAGAAGCTCTTTAGGTTAATTATATCCCATTTGTCAATTTTGGCTTATGTTGCCATTGCTTTTGGTGTTTTAGACATGAAGTCCTTGTCCATGCCTATGTCCTGAATGGTATTGCCTAGGTTTTCTTCTAGGGTTTTTATGGTTTTAGGTCTAACATTTAAGTCTTTAATCCGTCTTGAATTAATTTTTGTATAAGGTGTAAGGAAGGGATCCAGTTTCAGCTTTCTACATATGGCTAGCCAGTTTTCCCAGCACCATTTATTAAATAGGGAATCCTTTCCCCATTTCTTGTTTTTGTCAGGTTTGTCAAAGATCAGATGGTTATAGATGTGTGATATTATTTCTGAGGGCTCTGTTCTGTTCCTTGGTCTATATCTCTGTTTTGGTACCAGTACCATGCTGTTTCGGTTACTGTAGCCTTGTAGTATAGTTTGAATAGTGATGCCTCCAGCTTTATTCTTGCTTTGTTCTTTTGGCTTAGGATTGACTTGGCGATGCGGGCTCTTTTTTGATTCCATATGAACTTTAAAGTAGTTTTTTCCAGTTCTGTGAAGAAAGTCGTTGGTAGCTTGATGGGGGTGGCATTGAATCTATAAATTACCTTGGGTAGTATGGCCATTTTCATGATATTGATTCTTCCTATCCATGAGCATGGAATGTTCTTCCATTTGTTTGTATCCTCTTTTATTTCATTGAGCAGTGGTTTGTAGTTCTCCTTGAAGAGGTCCTTCACATCCCTTGTAAGTTGGATTCCTAGGTATTTTATTCTCTTTGAAGCAATTGTGAATGGGAGTTCACTCATGATTTGGCTCCCTGTTTGTCTGTTATTGGTGTATAAGAATGACTGTGATTTTTGCACATTGATTTTGTATCCTGAGACTTTGCTGAAGTTGCTTATCAGCTTAAGGAGATTTTGGGCTGAGACAATGGGGTTTTCTAGATATACAATCATGTCATCTGCAAACAGGGACAATTTGACTTCCTCTTTTCCTAATTGAATACCCTTTATTTCTTTCTCCTGCCTGATTGCCCTGGCCAGAACTTTCAACACTATGTTGAATAGGAGTGGTGAGAGAGGGCATCCCTGTCTTGTGCCAGTTTTCAGAGGGAATGCTTCCAGTTTTTGCCCATTCAGTATGATATTGGGTGTGGGTTTGTCATAAATAGCTCTTATTATTTTGAGATACATCCCATCAATACCTAATTTATTGAGAATTTTTAGCATGAAGGATTGTTGAATTTTGTCAAAGGCCTTTTCTGCATGTATTGAGATAATCATGTGGTTTTTGTCTTTCGTTCTGTTTATATGCTGGATTACGTTTATTGATTTGCGTATGTTGAACCAGCCTTGCATCCCAGGGATGAAGCTGAGTTGATCGTGGTGGATAAGCTTTTTGATGTGCTGCTGGATTCGGTTTGCCAGTATTTTATTGAGGATTTTTGCACTGATGTTCATCAGGGGTATTGGTCTAAAATTCTCTCTTTTCTTTTTATTGTGTCTCTGCCAGGCTTTGGTATCAGGATGATGCTGGCCTCATAAAATGAGTTAGGGATGCTTATGTATTTTTAATTTAAACTTTATTGAAGTATATCTGGTTGTATTGTTATGGCATTTTCATTTCACCTTGGGAAGTTTGAATTTTCTATAGAGTTAAGGTAGTTGGTAATTGTGTTTTCCAAAGACTTCTGAGAATTTGGAAATCTACACTCTATTGGTCTGTAATTAAAATAAGGATGACAGCAATATATATGAAGCAAAGTCTACATTTTTATTCATAAGTCAAAAGAGAGTTTGGGCCAAAATCTTAAGATACTGCATTTATAGCTACTATTCTTGGCTAATCATAAAGAATCTGATCCTCCTGTGAGAAAATAAAAAACTTTGGTTCTGGGTCAAGAAACTACTGATTGGGAGAACCATTTTGATTTTTCACTGAAAATCTTGATGTAATAACACATACCTGATATATTAGGTTGGTAAGGGGGTGTAGAATATTATAAAAGGAGGGAGAGCCTATAGCTCATAAAAAGGAGCAAGATAAATTAAAAGCTTGGAAGATAAGAACAGAATTAAAAAGAAAAAGAAAAAAACAAACAAACTCCTAAACCTGTGAAAGTAACATGGGTTTGATAGATAAAATGTCAGGGGCAAAACTGGCTAATTCAGCCAGAAATCATGTGTGCCAATCTGGATTATACCCATGTATTAAACCATTGTAGATGGAGAAACACAACCGTCATGCAGAATATTGGCCACTGCGCTGCTGGAGGCTCCTCTATCACCTCACGGTAGGGAGGATCCCCTGTTTCCTGGTGGCTGCCAGTCACCCCCCTCTAGAGCTTTGGTCTGTCAGCTGTTCTGATGCCAGGGCTCTCAAACTGCAAACAAACGAGAACAGATGAGCCAAAGCTCTATACAGAGCCAAAGAGTCAGAGGTTATGAATGAGTTTAGAGCAAAGAGATTTTTAGCAAATCCTTAGTGGAATGCCGTCTAAAAATAAACAAAAAAGAACTATTAGAAAAGTTGAGCTGTATTTGATAATTGGAAAATTTGCATTAATGTTGTAATATTATTTTAGAACTAATTTTTCCAGACAAATAAGTGATCATTTATTTTGTTAGAAATCTAGACTTCTTAGCATAGGAGAAGAGGAACTACAATTGCAGAATCAAGAATTTGAGTAGGTGATGAATATTTCAATTACACTGATTTAATCTTTACCAGTGAGGTGAACGTATTAAATTATCACATGTACCCTGAAAATATGTACATCTATGACTTATCAATAAAAAATTAAAAAAAAATAAAACCAGAATGGCACTGATGTTTCAAACCAAGCAAAAAATACCTTAATGGAATTCATAAAACTAAAATTTCTAAAGAAAAACACTCTATCCCATAAATATGTACAATTATTATGTGTCAGCTAAAAATAAAAGAAAAAAGTAAAAAAATAATTTGATGAGGAACACTTTATTGTTAGAACTGGACTGAAAAAATCAAGATAAATTCAAGCTTTTAAAAGAACAAAAATAGTAAATTAAAAATACGTATCCTTTGTCTCTCTGTCTATTGAAATGCCCAGGAGCCATGTCACCTCACAATGCACTTTGGCACCCACATTCTGGTCTCTAATGCTCTTCTTACCAAAAGCGTCTTGGGAGGAATGGCATATTCCATACTTTGAGCTGGAAATTCAAGGAAATCCTAAACACTGAACAACAAGGCCAGAAATCAAGAAAGTTTGAATAAATTAGTAGAGTCAAAAGGACAGAGGAGCCATCTAAAAGGGGTTCTGCTGGCCAAAGTTGAGGCAACTTGAATGTCAAAAGGAGAGTATCGGCTGAAGCCAATGGGCATATGGTGGATTGGAGAAGCCATGAGTCCAAGATGATACATAAAAGGAGCAAAAGACTACGAGTAGTAAGAGAAAATGGAGAAAAAAACAGAGGATTTGTCAGCCAGGCGCGGTGGCTCACACCTGTAATCCCAGCACTTTGGGAGGCCGATGAGGGCAGATCACGACGTCAGGAGATCGAGACCATCTTGGTTAACACGGTGAAACCCCGTCTCTACTAAAAATACAAAAAATTAGCCGGGCGTGGTGGTGGGCTACCCGGGAGGCTGAGGCAGGAGAAAGGCGTGAACCTGGGAGGCAGAGCTTGTAGTGAGCCAAGATCACGCCACTGCACTCCAGCCTGGGCGACAGAGTGAGACTCTGTCTCAAAAAAAAAAAAAAAGAGGATCTGCCAAGTCATTTACATGTTGGCATGTTGGTATTATGTTGGTGTTAGTGATTCGTCTGTTGTGTAGATGAAGAAAACAAAAACTAGGAAACACAAATACATCAGTCAGAAGAAGTTGTATAGCTCAAGGGGAGTATGAGTGGAATGACCCTGTAAGTTGCGACTTTGAGTCACACAATGCCACATAAAATATCACAATTAAATTGGGAAACTGATTATACTCTTGCACTAGAAGGACCCATAACACTGATGCTTAGGAATTGAAGTTTGATGGATTCCGGCTGCTGGCTGGTGGTCAGTCCCCCTCATTTCTTAGTGCATGGGGATCGTTAAGTTAATAGTAAAAGTCCTGCTGAAAAAAAATTTTTCCACAACATTGATCAAAAAGAAAATTCTCTTTCAAGAAATAAATTAACTCAAACTTCATAATAAGCCTGTACAAAGCTGACAAACTGGGCAATAAGTGTCATTAATTCCAAGAGTATTTAAGTATTTAACTTCAGTCAGAGCACGAACACACTCACACACATACATACACACATACGTATACACACATACACACATACATATACACACATACACATACACACATACAAATACACACATACACATATACACACATTCACACTCATACATAAATACATACATATATAAATGTACACATATATAAACACACTTATACATCAATACACACATATACACACATGCAAGTATACACACACACACACATACACACGCACACTTTGAAATGCCCTGAAAACTTACAGTTCATATTGTTAACTTATTTAAAAAACGCCAAAATTTATAAATTTAGAAAAGGAGAGATCTTTTGGATCAACATGTAGAAATGAGATTCGGACTCAAAAAAAAGTTTTCAATAGGACTTTTCTAAATTTCTTATAAAAGGTTACAGCTTGCAAGGTGGCCATCCCACAGGCTGGAAAGCCTGCCTCTGGCCAAGACCAGAGACAGGCACTTTGAAGAAGGAGGGGTTGGGATAGGAGCTTTATGCTGAAAGGATTGGCTAAACACACATGTTCCACAGTTACAGGTTCAAGCGATTCTCCTGCCTCAGCCTCCTGAGTAGCTGGGATTACAGGTGCACCACTATGCCTGGCTAATTTTTTTGTATTTTTAGTACAGACCGGGTTTCACCATGTTGGCCAGGCTGGTCTCGAACTCCTGGCTTCAAGTGATCTGCCCGCCTCAGCCTCCCACAGTGCTGGGATTACAGGCTGCCCTGCATTCTTACTGCTATGCTGTTCCCTGTTCTTTCTCAGGGAAGAAGGTCCTCACTGATCCCCTTCCAACCCAGCCCCTGAGCTTCGTGACCTTCCCAGCTCCAGGTTTCCACCAGTAACCAGTTTCTGGATCTGGGCCCCTTGGTTCAAATTCTTTTGAAAGAGAATCTGTTTGAGCCAGCTCATGGGTTGATGTCTGTCCTGGGTCTAGATAATTTTGGCTTAGAGGGCAGGGCCAAAAGCAAAGGAGGATCTGAGGAACGGAGACAAGCCTGGTGGCTGCCACTATCCAGGCAAGGGCTCCCAGAGGGAGCATGGACAGACCTGTGGTCAGGGCCAGCTTCATGGCATGTGGCCAGTGCAGTTGCACTCTGAGCTCACAAGGCTCCCGCCCCCTTGGATTTTAGTGCTCTGTGGTTACTGTTTCGAAATTCTTAATTTTACCTTTGAATTTGTGTTTTGTAAGTGAAGTCCAATGGGACAATGCAGTGTGCCAGGGGCTTGGAGGCTCAGCTGACATGTGGGCCCACCTTGCACTGCCTCCTTGGCATGGGTTCTCAGCCACCCGCTCCCCTGCCCCTGGCTCCGTGTGTGACTGACCTCCTCTTCCCTGCCTCCACCCCAGGACCATTGCTGCTCTCCACCTCTGCAGGGGCCTAGGTGGGGGCTCAGAGACTGCTGGGTGCTCACACTTTGTGATGTCTTGGGGCATGGCATGGTGGTAGCTGTCTTTACTTCAGGCTGGCATTGCTATGATGTGTCTGCGCCTCTCCCTACCCCCTATCCAGGTACCAAGTGCATCTCAGCATGGAGGTTTAGAGATCCCTGGGGATCAGCCTTATGCTGTGTGTTGGGGCTGTGAGTCTGTGGGAAGTGGAGGCACCTGCTTGAGTTTTCCAGGCCCTACCCCCAGGTGAGACTAGGGGCACTGGCTGGCTGGTGGGAGGTGGAACCCACAGGCAGGCAGTGTGCATATGCATGTGCGCTGTGTCACAGGGTGGCCCTGTGCCTGGGGAATCCTCCCTTCCTCCTTCTTTTTATTTATTTTTTATTTTTTTTGAGACAGAGTCTCACTGTGTCACCCAGGCTGGAGTGTAGTGGCATCATCTTTGGCTCACTGCAACCTCTGCCTCCTGGGTTCATGCAATTCTCCTGCCTCAGCCTCCTGAGTAGCTGGGGCTACAGGCGCTTGCCACCACGCTCGGCTAATTTTTGTATTTGTAGAAGAGACAGTGTTTCACCATGTTGGCCAAGCTGGTCTTGAACTCCTGACCTCAGATGATCCACTGGCCTTCGCCTCCCAAAGTGCTGGGATTACAGGAGTGAGCCACCATGCCCAGTCCTCTCTTCCTCTTTCTATACTTCCCTGAGTCTGCCTTGGGTGTGCCTCTTCTGGCCAGCTCATGGCACCCTCTGGGGACAAGCCATGAAGGAAGAACTGTGCAATTTCGGTGATTCTGCACCAGCTAAATGCTCTGGTATTTGCATTTAAAATTGTCATTGCACACTATAAAATGAGCAGCAAAGAGACTGTACTAACAGTTTTAATTTTTTGACTTTTTTTCACTTAGAATACCATTAAACAGCAAATAATAATTAAAAAACCCACCATGACAATCCTAGAAAGAGATCACAAAAGAAAGGAAAAAGCTTTCCATGCACCTTTAATGACACTTTTTCTACTTCATGCATGAGGGGCCTCACAATGTACCTAGCTTGTGCTCAATGTGTGCAGCCAATGAAGGAAACGGAGGAGTCCAGGGCCGTGGGGCAAGGATGATGAGTTTGTGTTGGGATGTGTTGGGTTTGGGGTGCTGGATGTCTGGAAGGCTGTAGGTGTAGCAATCCCAGCACAGGTGATTAGCAGCATTTTATGCCGCTCAGAGAGGAGGCCCCTGGGTTTGGTAGGAGAGCTGTGTTAATAGTGGGCAGCTGCGTGTCCCACTGAGGAGTGGAGGGGTGGCAGCCCACTCCTTCCAAAAGCATGGATGCAGGAGGGAAGCACCAAGGAGAGCAAGTCAAGGTTGGCTGGAGTAGGGGATCTCAGCATGCTAGAGTCAACTGGGGAGCATTACAAAGGGCAGATGCCTGTGCCTCGCTCCGGATCATTTGAAGAAAAATCTCCTGGGGTGGGTGTGGTCATCTGCCATTCAAAAAATCACAAACACATACACAAACAAAAAGGCAATAAGAAATGGAAAACAGCTCTGGGTTGTGCAGAAGGATGGTGGGTTCCGAAGCATCAGGATGAGGCTGCTCTTGTTTAGAGATGCGTTTTGGTCCTGGTGTAGCTGGTTTCTTGCTGTGTGACCTTGGACAGTTCACTGTCACTTTTCTCACCCTTATTTTCTGTCCCAGTGAACAAGGAGCTTGGACCAGATTGTTGTGGAGGGGCACTGGGCTCTGACTGTCTGTGGGGACAGGGGTCTCTTTACCTGTCCATGCTGCAGGCCTTCCTTACTCCCCACAGCCCTGGTCTGCTGTGGGCCCAGCACCAGCCCTTCTCATCCTGCCCAGAAAAATGGACACTTCTCCATAAGAGCTGATGTAGTGGGGACCAGCTCAACATTCTGGAGAGTCACAGTGCCAGAGGAAGCGGAGCAGAGGGACTGGCAGTGTGGCTTCCAGACTCAAACTACCCATGTTCTGACTCGATCACTTAAAAGTTATGTGACCTTGGACAAATTCCTTGGCCTCTCTGAGCTTTGATTCCTCACCTGGAAAATGGAGCAAATAACAACATTTCCCACATTAGGATAGGGAGAGGATTAAATGAGACAAGCGTGCAATGTTCTTAGTGCTGTGGCGGGGGTACAGTCAGCACTCAGTGATTCCAGCCGACTGGAACTGACTGTAATCCAGCCTTGCTGCTTGGCCACTTGCTCTGCTTTCAGACAGGGTGATCTGTGGGTTCTGAGGCTTGTGGGCTACACTAGATGGGCTGCTTCCATGCCAGACTAATACAGTTCCCGAAACATCCAGGTTACCTCCTGGGGTGTAGACTCCCCATCTGCCCCAGTGAGCTGTGCCCAGGCCCCTCTTCTTGCCCCTCTTACCTGAATTGGCTGTTGGAGCTTCCAGGCTTGGGAAGCTCAAGCCAGGCTGGGTTGGTGGTGTAGCCATAGGAGAGAGCAGGAGCTTGTGAGCAGCACCACTGAGGCCCAGAGTCTTCTGAGCCCTTTAGGGCAGAAGGGAGAGTCTGGTCTATGTGATACCAGCATTTACACCTGAGATTCTTATCCAAAAGTCCTGTGTCCACAGTCAAGCCTCTGGGGTGAGAAGGAGGGCTTAGGGAGGCCTCTGGCATGGTGGCTTCTTAGAATATTGAGCCAGACTCTCCAACATCAGTTCTCTTGGAGAGGTGTCCACTCTTCTGGGCAAGACAGGCGAGAGAGGGAGGGATTCCTGCCAAAGCCACTAATAAACAAATTCCTCCCATCACTGAGTGAAGATGTTGCCACTTTGGAAATGGGCTTGTCCACTCTGTTGGAAGGCTGAGATGTCCTGGTGGCTGGGGCCTACATCTTGCTCAATAGTGTCTGAGACATGACTGGAAGACATCTGCTCAAGATGGTGGAGTGAGCACACATCAAACCCTCTCTGTAACTGCCTCGAAACCTGGAGGAATGATGGGGACACACACATACTCTTTCTTTCCCTCTCTCTCCGTACTAAGAATGAAGAGTAAACTTACAGGATAAGCTGGTTAAGAGTAGCCCAGGGGTAGAAGGAGTTGGATATACATAGGCTGGCTTTAAAGCTTATGTGAGAATGGGGATGAACATGCCTATGCTTGGCAGGAGACCCGACCCATGCTCCCTCCATGTAGCTGGGGTTGAAAACACTCCAGAAATGTGCTGCTTGCTCATGGTGCAGGAAGAAAAGGGCACTGATGTAAATATGAGAACCAGGCTGGTGCTGCACATGGGTGCTGCATCAGAAATATTTTTGGCTGAGAACCAACACCCCAAACTCTATAACATGAGACCTGCTCCTGGGTGTGCAAATCAGGAAGAAAGGGCTCAGGCAACCGCAAAAGCACCTAACGTGGAAGAGTCTGTCCATCAAAAAAGAATTCCCACGCAGAATGAGCTATAAAACAAAAATTGCAAAGGACATGTCAAAATTTATCATGAGGCATACTTCTCAGGCTTAAGAAGCAAAATTAATAACAGGAGAGGTGGAAATTATGAACCATTTGAAAGGATGATAATTAGTCTCACAGAAAGTCTCTCATCCTCCCTTAAAATTTGTCTAGTTGGGGGCAGTATTTCCCCTACCAGTGGATGACTTTCTGATCATTCCTGGGTAATAAAATGCTTGGTAGTCACATGAAACCATGGTTTCAATTCACGTTAAAATAGTCTATTCCCAGATAGGAAAATAGTCTGAACTTTTTTTTTTTTTTTTTTTTTTTTTTTTTTGAGACAGGGTCTTACTCTGTTGCCCAGACTGGAGTGCTGTGGCAGGATCACGACTCACTGCAGCCTTGACCTCCTGGGCTCAAGTGATTTATCCTGCCTCAACCTTCCAGCAGTTGGTACTACAGGTACGTGCCACTGCACCAGCTAAATTTTGTATTTCTTGTAGAGACAGGGTTTTGCCATGTTGCCTAGGCTGGTCTTGAGCTCCTGAGCGCAGGTGACCCACCTGCCTCAGCCTCCCAACGTGCTGGGATTACAGGCATGAGCCACCACACCCGGCCCACTTTAAACTCTTGTAAAAGATAAAGCCTCTTTGGTCTCTAGCAAGGAGCTTTCTTACTTCAGGGAGGGGTGTGGTCAGCTTCTCTTTTTTTCCTCCTCCTCCTTTATCTGTTGCTGTTGTGCACCCACCTGGGATTGGAGTTCCAGAAGGGGAGAGGGATTGCAGCACTGTTCACAAGAGCCAAGATTCAGAAGCAACCTGAGTGTCCATCAACAGACAAATGGATAAAGAAAATGCGGCACATACAGACAATGGAGTACTATCAACCATAAAAATGAGTGAGAGCCTGTCATTTGCAACAACATGGATGGAATTGGCGGTCATTATGTTAAGTGAAAGAAGCCAGGCACAGAAAGACAAACTTTGCATGTTCTCACTCGTCTGTGGGGACTAAAAATTAAAACAATTGAAGTCATGGAGATAGAGCATGGAAGGATGGTTACCAGAGGCTGAGGAGGGCAGTGAGAAAAAGTGGGGATGCTTAATGGGTACAAAAATAGAGTCAGATAGAATTAATAAGATCTAGTATGTGATAGCACAATGAGGTGACTACAAGTCAACAATAATTTATTGAATATTTTAAAATAACCAAAAGAGTATAATTGGAATGTTCATAACACAAAGAGATACATGCTTGAGGTGATGGAAACCCCATTGACCCTGATGTGGTTATTACACATTGTATGCTTGTATCAAAACATCTCATGTACCCCATAAATATATACACCTACTATGTATCCATAAAAATTAAAAGAAAAAAGAAAGGAAGAAGGGAACTGGGCTCAGGAAGGTCTTACTTGATTGGAACAGTTGAAGGCTGGTTTTGGCTCTCTGGGCCCTGTTGAGGTTTAAAGCTGATTCTTTCTCCTATGGGCACTTTTGTGAGTTTTTTGTAGGCATCCCTGCTGAAACTCAGACTGTCACTCCTATGATGTAGGCAACACATTTTTTTTAAAACTTTATTCCTTAGCCTCCGGTTTTCCTAGACGCCGCCTTCCACTCTGCATTGCAGGCTGTTTGGCTTCCTCAAGGTGAGCCAGGCTCCCACCTTCTTTCTTCCTTAGTGGCAGGGACACAAACCAAGCTGTCTGCATGGGACCCTAAGCTTGGGGCTAAGAGGTCATCTGCTCCATTCCACCCTTTCCCTGGGGCCATGAGACTCAGAGGGCTTCAACAGCTCTCTTCAAAGACATCCTCTTCACATGTCCTTGGAAATGTCTAACAACTCAGTCCTTTTCATATGCTTTCAAAAGGTGGCAGGCATGATTTTTAAATATGACTTTTAGTCTGGGTGTGGTGGCCCACACCTGTAATCCTAGCAGTTTTGGAAGCTGAGGCAGATGGATTGCTTGAGCCCACGAATTCGAGACCAGCCTGGACGACATGGCAGAACCTCATCTCTACAAAAAATTAAAAAATTAGCCAGGTGTGGTGACATTCACCTATAGTCCTAGCTACTCAGGTGGCTGAGTGGGGAGGATCACCCAAGCCTGGGAGGTCGAGGCTACAATAAGCTGTAATCACACCACTGCACTCCATCCTGGGAGACAGAGTGAGACCCTGTCTTAAAAAAATTAGTTTTAAGGTTAACATTATGTTACATACTGAAATGGTAAGGAGGGAACGGTGTCCTTGCAATGAGAGCAGGATATTATTAAACAAAAATAGGCAGTCATGAAATATATTGCTATTGGAAATAAAAAAAAGACTGCAACAGGCAGGATAGACAACCGGTGAAAATAGCTGGTGAAAGATAAGTGAATTAAAAGATAGAAATGCTGGGCGCATTGGCGCCTGTCTGTAATGGGCTCACAGTGCATTGAAAGGCCAGAAGTTTGAGACCAGCCTGAGCAACATAGTGACACCCCATCTCTTAAAAATAAAAAAAAAATTAGCTGAATGATGACATGTACCTGTAGTCCCAGCTACTTGGGAGGCTGAAGTGAGAGGATTTGCTTGGGCCCAGGAGTTTGAAGTTGCAATAAGCTATGATCGTACCACAGCACTCCAGCCTGGGTGACAGAGTAAGACTGTTTCTTTCTTTCTTTCTTCTTTTTTTTTTTTGAGATGGAGTTTCACTCTTGTCGCCCAGGCTGTAGTGCAGTGGTGCAATCTCAGCTCACCGCAACCTCTGCCTCCCGGGTTCAAGTGATTCTCCTGCCTCAGCCTCCTGAGTAGCTGGGATTACAGGCACCTGCCACCATTCATGGCTAATTTTGTATTTTTAGTAGGGACGGGGTTTCTCCATGTTGATCAGGCTGGTCTCGAACTCCTGACCTCAGGTGATCTGCCTGCCTCAGCCTCCCAAAGTGCTGGGACCACAGGCATGAGCCATCGCACCCAGCCCTGTTTCAAAGAGAGAGAGAGAGAGAGAAAATGTACATAAAACATAGCACCAAAAGATGAAGAAATGGAAAATATGAATAAGAAGTTGAGAGCCATGGGAGATAGATTGAGGAATTCCAACACACATCCAAGAAGAGTTTCTGAATAAGAAAAATAGTGAGAACAGGGGAATGAAAATGAAATGTTTGCAGAGGTAATGGTTGAAAATTTCCATAATCAAAATAAAATTCCATTTCAGGAAAGTGCACTGATTGTGATGGGGTAAAGTAAGTAAAGTAACAAAATACCCAAATAATTCCTTCTGAACACTACCATGACTCAGAGGGAACAGAAAAAAAAGATCCAGCCTCAGTGAGGCTGTGAGCCCATGTCACACCTGATCACATTCCCATCAAGGGAAACACCTGGCTCTGAGTGTCTCCTCCCTTATTTTGGGCCCAGGGTAGCAGAGTGGAGGACATGTGATTGGAGTCTCCACAAATTTCTACTGCTTCCTTCTTTCTCCATTAAAGTTATTAAGCTGGACTTTTCTTCCATTAAATTAAAAAAAAAGAAAGAAAGAAAGAAAGAAAGAAAGAAAAGACTTTCTGCTGCTTCTGGTCCTCAGGCAGCTTCAGATGATCACAAGACACTTGTTATTTAGGGCTCAGACACATGGCACAGCACACGGCAGGCACTTATTTCAGGATTTCCCAAGCACTGGAACCTGGCTCCATGACTGGGGCCCTGCTGACTCCAGTCTTCTAGAAGAGGCAATGATGGGGACAGGGTGACGAGTGTGGAGACAGCAGTGCCTCATCTCCTGGGACATACTCTACTTGCTGTTCTGTGGCACAGCTTTCACAGGCTATGATTGCAAGAAGAGGAGGGGAAATAAGGTGTTGTTAATCTCCCAACCTCTAATATTTTTTTTTTCTTGAGACAGGGTCTTGATATGTCAGGCTGCAGGCTGAAGTATAGTGGCACAATCACGGCCCTCTTCAGCCTTGACCTCCCAGCTCAGCCTCCAGGTAGCTGGGACTACAGGTGCGCGCCACCATGCCTGTCTAATTTTTAAATTTATTGTAGAGGTGGGATCTCACTATATTGCCCAGGCTGGTCTCAAACTCCTGGGCTCAAGCAATCCTTCCACCTTAGCCTTCCAAAGTGCTGGGATTACAGATGTGAGCCATTGCATCCATCCTTAACCTCTAATCTTTAGACTAATTAAATCCATTTCCAAAAAAATACATGTTTATTGTAAAAACAATGTAAGCAATATGGAAAGATGTAAAACCAAAAGCTTCTCCCTTCTTTCTCTTGGTCTTATGCCCTGGGTGTGAACTCTGTTAATATTTGGTTTGTGTCCTTCACATCCTCTGTCTCTCATAGCTGGGATAATATGTGAGGTTTCACCAGTTATGGTCCTCCCATCCCACACTCCCTTTTCTCTGGATTCCTCCTCCAACCACCATTTGGGGAAGTAGATGCAAGATATCCATTGGTTATGGAAGCTGTCACAGTGGAATCAGTGAAGAATATGCCAAATTCTTGAGTTTTAAGATAAAAGTTCTCAACCCAGATATAAGATAGAAAAAAAACTGAGCAAACTGTATATTGGCTCAATCAGTTTTTTTCCCCCTCTTCCCAACCCCAGATTAGATAAAGCTGAGTTGAGGGAAGAGGTGAAATGGGGAGGAAGTAATGAGAAAAGCAGTCATGGTCTCCAAGAAGGGATATCCCTGTGTCCTCCTCTGGCGATTAGATGTAAAGAAGTATTGGAGGGTATTATCGAATTCTCCAGATAGAGTTTGGGGACTCAGGTGCAGAAGTGTCAGCGACAAACTTCCACTTGGAGGTCTGGGGAGCAGACACCTCTCCCTGAGACTGAGATATGAGGTAGATCTCTAAGCCTAGGAGCCAGGGTAAGAAAAAGAACACTTGTTAATTAACTAAACTTACATATAAAATGCCTGAATTTACCCGGAAATGACCATGACTAATTTTCTGCCATTATGAGGATTGGAGATTCCAAATAAAGGTAAAACTGTATAATGGAACAATAAAAAAGTTATATTATGTACACCCTACACTGCTTGAAAAATTTGTGCATCTATATATTTTGTATATCTATGCTATCTATTCCTCTTTTCCTTTTCTTCATGACCTGGCTTTATCCTGAGATGGATGAAAGAGCTATGATTTCAATTTCTCCTTCTCTTTGCTAAGTTAATATATTTGAACACGAATTGTTGGTTTGTCTATCACCAAAGAGCTGGTGAAAACAAAAATTTGTTTCCCACTCCGTCCTCTTCCCGGATACTTGGAGACAGCAGCGTCAGTGGCATTGTTTGGCGTCTCTGAACGCGGCTTTGGCAGAGCCCTCCGGAGCCAGCTGTAGTTCCCGGAGACGCCACTAGGTGACAATGTAGGTCTTGGTTGGTCAACTGCAGGCTACGGTTGATTTGGTTGGGTCCCAGCGGAGCCTTAGCGTCCTCTCCGGCAAAATAACAAATGTCCGTCGTGCAGGGCACTTTCTTCGGGAAGGACTCCTGGGAGCTCAGGAGTTTGCATACGAAGCCGAGGGAGCGAGGGGCTTCTGATAATGATATTCAGCGTCGAACAGAGTCGCTCATATGCAGAGCCGGAGTCTCTCCCAGCTTTGATATATGAGATTATTATGGAGAGTAATGCAGGCCGAGTGATGCTTGCTCGGCAGGCTGTGGATGTGGATTCCTATGTGGATTGCGAGGCCGGGCGCAACAGGGATGTCGCTTCCTAGGGACAAAGAGGGGTGAGGGGAGAGACGGCCAGGAACCAAGGACTGTCATAGGAGTGCCAGGCATCTCTGTCTGTTCTCAGCAACAATGGATTGGTCCTTTTCCCGGAGGTACAAGGGAGGCCAGTGGATGGGTGGATTAGCATTTGTCCCGAGTCCTGTAGTGGAAGGCAGTGCTCCCCCAGGCAGAGCCAACCCTTGGTGAGATGGCCATAGGGCTGCTACTCTGGACCCCTTATATGGAGGAGCTCTTCACTCCAGGGCTTTACAAAGTTGACCAAAGAGGAAAGGAAGACTGGGCGGGCACCGGAATGAGATCTCAGTGGAGGGTCCTCTGTTGGCAGTTGGGGGTGGTGCTGGTAGACACCCTAGAGAGGGTTGTTAACAGAATAGCCTTTCCTGTCTTCCTAGAGGTTCTGCCAAACTCTCCCACTGCTCATTCTAGTTTAGACTGGAACGTTGTTTTGTTTTTGTTTTAAGATTTTTTTTTTTGAAACACACCGTCAGTTTGGAATAAAAATTCTATCCTCTTGGTTTAGTGTTTCTACTCACTTGCATGAGTCCCGACGAGCTTCTACTACCAGGGTCATGAGAATCGCCCCTCAAAGCACTGTTCTGCCATGACAGAGGATTTACCTCTGGGCACCAAGCTGTGATCACTGCCAGCGCATCCCTGTCAAAGTCTGGTCCTGGACAGATAGATGCTTGCCCTCTGCAGTGAGAATTCTCACGCTCTCATTAAAGTTATTGACTCAGTTGATTCTCACTTGCTCAGCTGTTACCCTCAGAACCAGGCACAGGCTCTAGCCAAGGGCCCTGCCAGGTCCAGTTCTTCCCTCACAAACCCTCAGGTCCCAGACCTCAGATATTTGGTTAGAGCTTGGGTCCACACCCTCAATTAGGCTTTCCTGCCCACAGACCTGTCTGCCCTGACAACTTTCTTGGCCCCAAGTCTGGATGTTAGACCCTTTGCTCCCAGAAGACTCCAGCTCCTACCGCAAACTGTCCAACCCTTTTCCAGGTTCTGCAGATGTAGGGGCCTCAGGCAGGAGCATGCCTTCACAGCACCACAAAATCCTGTTACACTCCTCCAGGGCATCAGCAATAAGGTATTAAACGCCTTATATCCCTGGGGGCCTTAACATCCTCTGCCACTATGTGTATATGTAAAAATAATATAGGCCAGGTGTGGTGGCTCATGCCTGTAATCCCAGCTCTTTGGGAGGCCAAGGCGGGAGGATTGCCTGAGGTCAGGAGTTTGAGACCAGCCTGGCCAACATGGCGAAAACCCATCTCTACTAAAAATACAGAAATTAGCCGGGCGTAATGGCACACACCTGTAGTCCCAGCTACTCGAGCGGCTGAGGCGGGAGAATCCCTTGAACCGGGGAGGTGGAGGTTGCAGTGAGCCCAGATCGTGCTACTGCACTCCAGCCTGGGTGACATAGCGAGACTCCATCTCTTAAAAAAAAAAAAAAAAGCCTTAATTTGCATAACTAATAAGGTTTCCCCAAGGACTCTAAGGTGACTTGCTATCCTTAGCCAATGGACTAAGAGGCAGCCAGTGTAATTTGATTTTGGACTCCTTTTGTATCTAGTTATTTTGATTTTTGACAATTAGCTCATTATCTTTGTATTTGCAGATGTTCAAAGTAAAATCTCTAAATATCGACTCTTATTGATTGTTATGGGCTCAGTAGGCAGTCATGTCTGTTTTTTGTTTTGAGACAGAGTCTCACTCTGTTGCCCAGGCTGGAGTGCAGTGGCATGATCTCAGCTCACTGCAACCTCTGCCTCCCAAGCTCAGGTGATTCTCTTGCCTCAGGCTTCTGAGTGGCTGGGATTACAGGCATGTGCCACCATGCCTGGCTAATTTTTGTATTTTTAGTAGAGATGGGGTTTCACCATGCTGGCCAGGCTGGTCTCAAACTCCTGACCTCAGGTGATCCTCCCACCTCAGTCTCCCAAAGTGCTGGGATTACAGGTGTGAGCCACTGCGCACGACCCATCGTGTTGGTTTTTGAATGAAGGAGTGTGGCGTTGCTGGCGTGAGTGCTCTGTAGAAGACTGATTGCCAGTGTGGAGGGATGGGAGGGTGGAGGGGCTGCATGGCCTGTGCTTATTCTCCCTCTGGCTCTCCGGCTCTATCTCCTCTCATTTTCTCACCCTCTCTCATTCCCTGGCCTCTCCTTCCTGAGCCTGAGCCCTCAGCCTGTTTCTGGGGTCTTGATGTTGGGTCCCTTGCCCTGCCCCGTGTTCTTTGCCGCTACAATCTATAATGAATGGTGCACTTAAAACAACGTTAGGGTAGGAGAGGCTTCTTTCTGGGTCTGGGGCAAAACGCAGGCCTGATGGCACTGTCTGTGTGATACCACTCAATGTGCCTCCAGGCTCTAGCAGCTGAGGGCAAGGAAGAGGGTGTGTGAGGGGGGCATCGGGTTCCTGATTTAACTATTTTGTGCCCATTGTCATGTAGAAGGCAACATACATATGATTCACTGATTGGCAGACAGGCAGTTGGGGGATGGGATCAGCAGAAGGCGGGGGGATTAGGGAAGGCTGGAAATACATGAATGATGGGCCAGAGAGAATTCTGGAGGTCTGGCTCAAGCTCTGGGAAATGGCCAAGACTCTTTCCTAGCGTTCAGTCCTGTCCAGGACCCATTAACTGACACCCCCTGTGAAGGGTCTGAAGTCCAGAAGTGGAAAACATGCCAGTCATTAGGGTGAAAGCACAGTGAAGCCAGGAGAGGGGCGCACAGCAAGGTGCGAGATCCAGGGGGATCTGAGAGCAGCACCCACCTGAGTCCTCCCTCAGCCTTAGTGCATGTGGTTTGAAACTGGAGCTGTCAGAGTGCACCCTCTTGAGGCACATGATGGTACAGAACCCAGCCAGCCCTGATGGAGGACTCACTCCTTTGGAGGCTTACTCTCCCTGTGCTGAGACCCGCCTGTTGGGGCCTCCTGACAGGCGCCTTTCTACGCCTTGTGAGGTCCCCTTTTCTCAGTACCAATTCTAGTCTGGGCTATTCTCAGGCATGGGGGCTCAGGCAGAGCTCAAGTGAGGTCCCCGGCCTGCGCCTCAGCTGCTGTCAGGAGGAAGAAGCCCTGAAATGTGTTGAGCGGGCTGACTAGAGTGCATTGTGCACAGACCATCAGAGTGCGAAGGGTGTCACTGCCAGTTAGTCACTCCAGGTCTCTCACAGATGAGGACACTGAGGCCCAGAGAGATGGGGGCTCTCAACTCGCCTGGGCTTCTTCAGCCCCATGGGCTCCTGGGGCCGACCCTGGCTGCCCTGACTGATTTCATCACTGCTCATCATCTACATTTCTGCCTTCCTGGATCCAGAAAAATGGGAAACAATGTATTGTTCCACTGCTTTCTGAACACCTCCAAAACAGTTTCGCACGACTCTGAACTCCCCAGGGAGGGGAGGGTCTTCACAGGAGGACAGGAACTGTTCCCCACCATTGTAGCTGGGGCTCACTCCATGGCACCGTAGGCTTCTGCTGAAGCAAACACTAGGTGGGACTGCCTGGGTTTCCCTAGACTGATCAGTTCCTGGATGTTAAAGAAGAAACAGCCCAGGGATGACGATGGCACTTTCTGTCCCCACTTCTCCCCTCCCTACCCTCTGCAAAGCGGGCTCATAAACAAAACTTTCTTTTTTTTTGGGGGGGGGGGCAAAAAAGCCCACCCACTTCCATACATTTAAAAACAGCAAAATTGAGGCAGAATCATAACAGACAGTATTTAACTAGTTCATTCGCCTCAGGCCTAATGGCCTAGAAGTGCTGCTGAATCATCCTGAACTATGGAAAACTCCATTCTGAAAAACCCACACATTTGACTAAAGCATAGTTGATGTTCCAGTTTTATACATCAAGGATAACATGTGGTATGGGTTGAATCTGTGGACATTTTTCTCCTTTTTTTAAAAAAAAAAAAACAGATGACATCCTGTGGTCTCTTTTCCTTTTTTATTTATTTTTTTTACCACAAGTACAATGCACACCGATAAAAAAGATGTACGTCGCATGTATCCGTGATAATAGCCATGGCAAAGGCAGTCTAAGGCATATTAACAACAGACTTATCTATGGAGCAGCACCTTATGTAAGATGCATTTTCCTCTAGAGCCAAACAGCAAAGAATTTACCTGCACAGTAGATAAAGTGGCCCCTGGGCCCACATGCAGTCCCGTGCCAGGCCCTGTGGCCAGGGGAGTTTTCTCACCTACATAAGTGACATAACAAGGGTAGGGTTTCCACTTAGCACAACAGAAGCTAACATGTAAATTGGCACCTGATGCTCGGCAGTCTGGCTGTACTAATGTCACCTATGGAGCCCAAGATAATTTCAGTGACATCTTTCTTTTCTCTTGGGGAGAGGTGTGCTTTCTGCCAGTGTCCGTCTGACAAGCCTGGATAAACATTTTCTTGGCAAGTGGAGACCCATATTTAGGGTTTACTTGAATTTAGCCATTCAAGATGTTTTTATAAAACCTCTCTCATCCCCTCAAAAAACCCTATTGAGCTAAATAGTGACAGAAAACTAGGTTGAAGCTGATGGGATGACCTTGAGTCCTCTTCCTCCTTATGGCCAGGGGCTCACCAGGCTATGGTTAGCAAACAGAACATCCAAGAAAAGCCTGTAACTTTCACCTGTGCAACCCTGTGCCATAGGGATGTGACATGGTCAGGGATGCGATGCGGTTCACCTCCTGCCTCCCCCATCTGGTCACAGCTTCCTCTTCTGCAGCCCCACACTCTTCCTCTCACCCAGTGGAGCAGCAGTGCTGTGACCATAGATTGGCTGTCCATTCTTCCATGCAGGCAATCATGGAGCTAGTGCTGATGGGGCCCCTTACCTAGTTCCTTATCAAGGCTGCTATCTGCCATCCTGTCTTCAGTTCTTGCTGCCAAGCCTTCCCTGGCTTCTCGGCCAGCTCAGCTTTTCTACTGTCACTCTCTGTAACAGCTCAGCATTGCTCCCCTCCCAGAGCCTCCATTCAGCCATCCTGTCAAGCCTCTGATCCAACCATCTCCACTGCTGGTCTTCTCTGCTCCTTATCCAGGCCTCTGAGCCTGCTCAGGGAAGTCATGCAGGTTGAGTCAACACCTAACCTCAGCTGGACACACTGAGCCATGTTGAACTCCTCTTCCTCTTGGGGCCCTTTCATGGCATATCTACCAAGGTGCCTTCAAGCCTGGACCCCTCAAGGCCGGGCCTGTTTCTGCCTCCCTATGCTCAGGGTGTTCGTCACCTCCAACTTTCATATTTCAATGGCTCTGTCATTCCTCATTCTCCTGTGGCCTGATCACCCCTCAGACAGTAGGCCTTTCCTCATCTTCCGTGGCTGGACTTTTCTAAGGAGTGGTCAACATTTCTGCCTCCTTTTCTTTATCATCTGTATATTCCTAATCTCTTGACGTTTAACTTCCACCCCTTCTACTTTATGAAAATATGTTTTTGAAGAACACAGATGAGACTATAATGCCTAGACCTCAGGGGCTTTTCCTCAAGACTATTGGCAGTGTTTGACCTGCATGACCATAATATTGTTCTTGTGATAAGACAGAATAATGACCCACCAAAGATGACCGTGTCCCAACCTACTGGAACCTGTGAATATATTACCTTACGCGACAAAAGAGACTTTGCAGATGTGATAAAGTTAAGGACCTTGAGATGGTGATCCTAACACAGTCCAAAGAATCCTCATAAGGGAGAGACAGGAGAGTGAGTTTTAGAGAAGGAGATGGAATGATGGAAGCGGAGGTGGTGGTGATGTAAGGCTGTGAGCCAAAGAATGCTGGCAGCTTCTGGAGACTGGAAAAGGTAAAAATTGATTTTCCCCTGGAGCCTCTAAGAAGAACACAGCTCTGTCGATACCTTACTTTTAGTCCCATAATACCCATTTCAGACTGTTA